>NC_000014.9:56278379-56581409 GCF_000001405.40 Homo sapiens
TTAAATTGAAAATAGTTCTTTATAAATTTGGCTTTCAAAAACAGTCACTCTCAGTGAATTTATCTGACTCAGATCAATGAAAATTTAAGACGATGTCTGTTAGTAGTGTTGAGTACTTTAAGAAGTATTTTTTAGATTCCTGACCATGTTAAAGAAGTATTATCTTAAGGAAGCACATAAAATAAAACATCAGCTCAATCATGAAATTCCTCAGGGCAGATTATTAAATAACCATGAGATTAACCAGGCTAACTAACTTCAGAGTTGATTTGGAATGTTTTACTGTTTATTGCTGTAAGGAATTACATTAGTCAAATATAAATGTTTAGTACATTTTCATTAACATGCTGTGTGTGTCCAGTTTCTTCTAGATGCTTTCTTGGTCTTCATACAGTGTCATCATTCAATAAATGTGTAATAGAAAAGCTTATTAAAATTTTGTTATACTTAATGTAAAAGATTAAAAATGAAGATAAGTTAGATTGAAGTAGAATGAATAGAACACAATTGAAATAATTTGGAGTCCACTTTATATCGATTTATTTGTTAATTTAGAAACATTAAAAGTATGTGACCACAACTTTTTGTTCAAACATATCACTATGGACAAAATAAGAATGATATCATATTATTCCTAGGCTATTTGAAAAAGAATATTAGCTTTTTCTGGCCTAAAATTTGAAAAAAATAAAATTGCTAGTTACCTTATTTATTAATAAAGTAAATATCTGACTTAACTAGTTGCTTATACAAGATTTAAGTGAGATGTAGAACAGAATACAAATATGGTTATCATTGGCTAGGACGGTGTATTATGATATTGAAATCTTAATTAGAACATTGACAGATTTTCCAGTGATTCTTTTATGATGCTGATAATCTCTATCACCTAGGAAAAATAATAATATGTGACTTATCTGTTGTGTGAAATCTTAAAACTTGAAATAAATGACTCTATTAGTCTAAAAATTCTATTTCTGAGTTTAGGTAATATGGAGAAAGTGTGTGTTTTTCTAAGAATGTGATTGAATCGAGTCTTGCAAACTAGTAAATAAACTTTGATTTGATTTAATAAAATATTGTTCACTTTAAGACAGAATATTTGATAAAACCAGAATTGTGACTCTTGGCTTGTCTGTGATTGACGGAATAGAGCATAGGGGAAAAACCTGACTGTGTGGAAAATGCTGGCTTGTGCTGGGCTTTGCCAGTAGAGTGGTGGCTCATAACTACAGGCAGAATTGATAAGTTGTTGAAATGGAATTGTAATGGATTTTTTTAAAATTTTATTATTAGGCTATCAGCTGCAAAGGTCAACACAGTATATCCTACACTTTGTCAAGGAATCAGACTGTGGTGGTGGAGTACACACATGATAAGGATACGGATATGTTTCAGGTAATATTTTTCTTTTTTAATAGAAATTTTAGCACGTTTTCCTTTAATTCTCTATTTTTTATATGTAATCAGATCTTCCAGCCCAGTATGTCCAGGGGGAAAGAGTTGAAGATAATATAAAAATTATTCCTGTTTGGTTGTTGAAAGAATAAGAAAAAAACTTAATTCTTTAATTGTAAAGGGAAATTATAAAGGCTACATTCTCAGACCTCAGTGCAATAAAAATAGACATTAATTAAGCAAGAATAAAAATTTTAAAAGCTAACCACTTTTAAAAGCCAACATTTTCAGAATACTTTCTAAGTAGCATTTGAATGAAAGGGACATCCAAACTACATTTATAGGTCTTTTCAGAAATAACTGTGGGAATATCATGTAGCACAACTGACAAGACGAGGCCAACATCTTACTCGGAAGAAAATGCCTTACGTGCTTTCATTATTAAGAGGAGGGAAAGAGAGAGAAAGAAAGAAGATCAAGGGACTAAACATTTATCTCAAAAGTTCTTTTTTGACAAAGTACAGCAATTAAGAAAGTACAGGATGGGTTTGGGCATAGTTTTAGTGGTATATAATATAAAGTCTAGAAGCACATCAAAAGAGCAGAAGGAAGGAAAAAAACATTCGTCAGTTAATGAATTTAAAAAAAAGAGAATTAATGAATATATTCCAGATTTAGTACTTTAAAACAACAAACAATTAAAATTTAGACTAATAACAGAAAAAAGCAAGCATAAGTTGGAATTGATGAGGCTTTGCATTTCCATATGGAGAGTTAAATTATTACATAAATGATGTCGAAACAAACATCAAAAGAGTATGATAGATACTAACATCATACTCTGCTAAAGTAAATTCTAGAGAATAAACATTTAAATATAAAACTGAAGGAACAAAAAGTTCTAGAAAAAAACTTAGGAGAATTCATATTCTTGGAATAGGGAAGGATCAATAGTAAATGAAGAAATAGATTTTACCCTACGCATTTTCACTTCTTTTTTAAATGTCACAAAAATTAGAAGTCGAACTAGAGACAATTAGGGCAACAAATCAAGTAGACAAAGGATTGATACCTACTGTACAGTAATCACTTTTCCCATGCTTTCAAAAATGGACAAAGAACAAAACATATAATTCTCAGAAGAAGAAATATAAATGGCCAATAAATATATAAAATAGTTTTTAAAATACCAAATGAATTAATAATAAAATACTCTTTATTACCTATTAATTGGAAAATATTAAATAATACAGCACTGTAAAACATTGTATGGAATTGGTCCCCCTGGTGGGACTGTGAATTGGTGCAACATTTCTATAGGGCAACATTGCAGTACTACCATGAATTTCAGCGCTCAGACCAATTGACCCAGTAATTCTAACTTCAGTCATTTTTATACGTAAATAATTAAGGAATATGAACAAAGATTTAACCAAAAAGTTGTTCATTGTAGTGTTGTATATACTAGTAAAAAACTAAAAATAAACCTATACTTCCAGGAGTAGGTAAGAATGATTACAGTATGGTGCATTTAAATGCAAAATACCATGCAGCCATTACATGATTATTAAATGGGAAGCGCAATAAAATAAGTGAAAAAAGGCATATGTCCACTTCATGCTTTATTTTTATATGCACACACATAAACATAGGTATGGAAGAGAGATGGGACTAGAAAGAAATGCACCAGCTCTTTTTCCATTTTCTGTAACATTGTAAAGTACAGGCCTAATCTGGATCACCTAATTCAGTACTTTTGATTGAGAAAGAAAGAATATTTTATGTGGTTTTTAAATGTATTTGCAGTAGTCCTGAACTTCAGCACCTCAGACTGATAAGAAGAGCCAAAGGCAAATTACAAATTGGGGAAATATTTACAATTTGTATCACAAAAGGTTAATGTCACAAATATATAAGGTACTCTTGGAAATCTCTTTTTAAAATACCTACAATCAGATAGACAAATGAGCAGAGGATTTGACAGACAGTTCACCAAAAAAGGAAACTAAGTAACTCTTAAAAATAAGAAAATATGCTCAACCTCATTTACAAAAAGAAAAATGTGAATTAAAACCACATAGAGATACCACTTTTCACTTGTCAGATTGGCAGAAATCCAAAAGGTTTTGTCAAAGATATGGGGAAAACAGACATTATCCTACATTCTATAAATTGGTATAGCATTTATGGGGTAGCAATTTGAAAATAGCTATGAAAAATACAAAATGTTTACATAGTTTGACTCAGCTCTTTTCTTTGTAAAGCTCTTCTTTCTAGAGACTTACCCCAGAGATATCCTTACCTACATGCGCAACGCCATTTGTACAGAGTTATTGCTCAAAGCATTGCTTAATAGGAAAAGATTGGAAACAACCTAAATGTTCTTCAGTAGTGGACCAGTTCAGTAAATTTGGGTACAGCTATACAGTGGAGCCCTCCAAGGGTATAAAACAGAACAAAGAAAAGCTGTATATATAGCCACAGAAAGAGCTCCAAACATATTAAATGAGTTAAATATTAATATTATTGAGTATATGGAGTCATATTGGTAATATATATTCCATTAATTTAAAATGCTACTAAATAAAATGTTATTAAATAATATGAAATATTACATTATTAAATGTTAATTTAATATGGTAAAATGGTTTAAATCATGCTTATATGCATTAAAAAATCTCCAAAATGATTAACAAGACATGAATGTAGCAGTTGCCTTTGTGGGGAAAGGGACTGAGCAGGTGGTATACAGGGAGATATTTTACACTTTTCGATTTTTGGAACTATGCGTATGTGTTAGATATTTAAAAACTAAATAATCTTAGATAAAATATATAGTCATATTTATAAAAATAGTTATTAAAGTGCCAGTTTGAACTCAAAAATAAGATTTATCATGTTTGGGCAAAATACTAAATGTGGTTTTACTCTCCATGCCATTCCATTATATAATCTTATAAATGTCTTCTTATTCTGTTAAGGAAAATATCTTCCTACATAAGTATATGTATATTCTCCCCTGTTGATATTTTTATGGAACTTTATTATTATATCTTTTTAATACTCATTAAAATTATTTTCAATTTATAAGTTTTTTTACTACTTACAGTAGCAGTGAAGATTTTAAAGATTTTTTTTACAGAGAGAATTCTTAATACTAAAAAAGTGAATAAAGCCTATTTCACAATTGTCAGTGATACTTTTTTACCACTTAAATTCAAAAACTACTGTGATGGTACCTGTTATAGGTAAGTCAGGTACTCTCAAAGTGTGAGACATTAAATTCCTTTAAGAAGAATCTTGTTTCTTCGGAATTTTTCAGAGTTTCATAGATATTCTTTAGCGACGTACGTGTCACATAGTGTATTCCGCACTGTTGAACAGTCACATTCGACTCACATGCTCACTTTCTTCCCTCTCATCTCTGCAGAATGAATTAAAAGATTTAGTTGGACTTTTTCAGCTTCCCGTTACTAACTTCTGAGTACTTTATGCATACTTCCTATTTTGTCATACAGAATATCGAAAGACTCAAGATTTAATAAAGTTCATAATTTTTAACTGCAAATTCACAGCAATGAAAAATACAATGACTGCTAATACAGTTTGGTGCCACTGCTTTGAATCATGCCAAAGCACCAGCAGCTTTACCCACCATTGTTCTAGCACCATCAGCATAGAGACCAGCACAGTGGAAAAGGCAGTTAACGTCTTTGTATTATTATGAAGGTAATTTTGGCCTCATGTACCTAGACCCCATGGCAGGGTCTCAGGGACCCTCTGGGGTTCATCAACCACATGCTGAGAATACTGATTTGTACCAACCTCTTAATTTCATAGCTGAGAAATATGGGTGTTTGAAAGGAAAAGTAATGTAAACTAAGGCCAGAAGAGAAGAGGCATTAGGGGCAGAGCTAAGATTTAGGTCACTGAGCTCTTCATTCTCTGAATAGTACCAGCTCAGCCTCTTTAAATAAAGTATGGTAAGCCAAGCAAGAATTCACATGTTTCTTAAGGAAATATAACACATTACATTCACAGACTCACTGGACCTGTTAGAAGGATCTGTGGCAGATCATTTTAAGCAGAGAACTAAGCAACTCTCATAAGACCTTGAAAAGACAGGCTTGTTTCCATTTTTTCCTCCTTTTAACAAGTTTATATTTCCAAAGCCTACTACTGACAAAAATCACTGAGCAAAAAGCGCGACAGCACTCATAGTTCTGAAGTATGGACCTCAGTGTGGAGAGTTTGTTCGTTTTAGTCATTCCCATTAAAATGATTTCTAGGGTTAATTGAGTATTTAAAGGCAGAATATCAGAAAGAACCAAGAAAGGGCTTTATGCTGCATTTCCCACTGTTGGAGTCAGTTAGTAGACTCAGAACTCAGAAATATTATTGCCTGAGGAGAAAAATCAAAGCTAGATCTGAATTTAAGGTATAAGAAATTGTTAGTTAATATAATCAGAGTAAGATCTTGGTCATTATTTTCTGGAGTAGGCATAAACAAGGAAAGAAAGAAAAGTCTAACAAGAAAGTGAAACATAAAAGAGAAAATAGTTAATGGAAGGAATTAGAGGGGTGCATTGTCTTTACAGTGTCCCTAGAGTAACGTGTGGTGCCAAGTGCCTTCTGACCTTAGGGGCCAGGAGACTGACTGGGCCCTGCAGCCGGTGTTCAGGGGCCCTTTCTCTCAGATTTCACAGTTTCACAGGCTTCGAACGCGGTGCTACAAGGCCTAACAGTTTTGGGTTTTGGTTTTTTGTTTGGTTTGGTTTGGTTTGGTTTTCAATTTAGTTGATTTACTGTAGTTTTAGATGATAACATTTAATTAGTATCTATTAAGTTAAGAGGAAAATATTAAAGAATATCTACATTTTCTAGTGGGTATTTCTACAACCATTGTACATGAGCATGCATGTGCAGGTATGTTTGTATCTCATAGGATTCAGCCTCCCTGTCATAATCTTCCAATTACTAGTTTCATCTCTTGACCATCTGCTGTGTCAGAAACTCCTTTGATGACTGGGGAGAGATAACTAAGGCTCTCCTCTCAAGGAGGCTACATCTGGAGAAGGCAGACCACAAATAAACAAACCCTCTGGGCAGAGGAAACAGTGAGCGCAAAGGCTCCAAGTCAAGATCACAGTGGAGAAGGACAGCAGTGAACTCAGATGGACTTGGAAGGGCAGGTAGAGGCTGAGACAGGTAGGACCTTCAGGCCAGGTTGAGTCTGAGATTTATTCTAGGAATTTTGGGAAGCTGTTGGAGGATTTTAAGCAGGAGAGAGGTATAATCTGATTTATGTTTTTGTACGATTTCTCAAACTACTGTATGGAAAAGAATCTAGGTGGCAAGTATGAAAACAGGGAGACCAGTTTGGAGGCTAAGGTGATAGAACCCAAGTAAGACATAATGGTAACCAGAACCAAAATGGGAAAAGTAGAAGGATTGAGGATGTGTTTGGAGGTACAGCTGACAGTGTTTACACAGGGCTAATGTGGGCATGGAGGAAACTGAAGAATCAGGTTATTCTTGGGTTTTGACTTTTAGCTTGAGCAAATTGGATGTCAGTCAGTCATTGATATAGGGAAGCCCCAGGGTGAAGGGGGATCCAAGTTCTGTTTGGCATATATTACATTTGAGATATTTATCAAACATACAAGTGGAGATTGGGTGTGCCGGTCTGAAGCTCAGGGGAGAGATGAAGACTTTGAGCTGTTAGGTGGGATTTGGTGATACTATTTAGGGAGAGAACAGAAAGAAAAGGGAAGGGGGGACTATTTACCAACTGGCCTGAAAGTTTCATTATTTTAGTACCAGGTAGAGATGGACCGGCATATGCTGGCTCAGCATAAGCCCTGGATTTAGCAATATATTGATTTTTGGAATCTTAGCATGCGTGGTTTCAGTAGAGTTGTGGGGAAGGAAGCTCAATTGGAGTGGGTTGAGGAAGAAGGAAGCTAAAGATATGGGTGAGGAAGTGGAGGAGATAACAGGTTTTCCAAGAAGTCTTGCTGTTAAGTGAATCAGAGAAACAGGGCTGGAGCCTGGGGCTTGCTTGCAGGTGAAGGAAAGCGTTTTTAAAGGTGGGAGACTACGCCAGAGCAGGGCTACTCAAACTGCACTCCCTCTGCCCAGCAGTGAAATGTTTGTTAAAATACAGAATGAGATAAGCATACAAATTGAGAGGAAACTTTTATGACAGTTTGGCATTGCGGAAACATCCAAGCAGATGATCATTTCTCAAGTACTCATTTTTATTGTATGTTTAAAAGGCATCAGTGATGGGTTAAAATTTAAAACAACAACAGCAACTATACTGGTCCTTTAACCACAGAGTTTGAGAAGCTCCAGAACGTGTGTGAAAGCTGATGGCATGATCCAGTATAAAAGGAGAAATTGGTGACTCAAGAAAGAGAGGAGATAATATTAGGAGCAAAATCCTTGGGAAAGGGAGAACATTGGAATACCAAGTGTCAATGGAAAGATTGCTTTTAGATGGGAGCAACAATATTTCATCCTTATCCCAGGAGGGAAGTCAGAAAATAAAGTGATTGATGCAGGGAGATGGGAGGAATTGGTTGAGGGAGGTGAGAAAAAGGTGAGGCCCTTCTAGATGCTTTGATACCATCTTACCTGTCCTGGCTTCAGCTGACATCCAGGCAAACCCAAACTTTTCTTATATATATAAAATTTAACATGCTGAATGGAGCAAAGTTATCACTGTAGCTAGTTATATGACTACCGGCATTCTGTGACTATCACATGAAATTCAGAAGCACCCTGGCTTGCGTGCTATATGAATATCAGATGAAATTCAAAAGCATCTTGGCTTGTGTGCATGACTGCCTTTAAAATAATGTAGAGTTGATCCAGTAGTCAAAAGAAAGGGCAGGCTGCAAGTTTTCCACATTGAGTGATTTTTCAGCAGGAAAGTGACTTAGTTTTGTTTTTTTGTTGTTTTTTTTGTTGTTGTTGTTGTTTTGTTTTCCTGGAAAAAGCAACATGAGGCTTGTGTCATAAAGTATAAAATTTTACCAGCACTCTAGAGGTTAGATTTAAGTGGAAGCAAACTGATAAGTCATGTGTATGACCGATCAAGATAAGTGTCATGACTTAAAATCATTGATCCTAGCAGGCTGTTCCAGTTAGAATAAAATTTCCTCTTTTTACAGTCAATTTCAATTACTTCATCAAGACATTAATTTAATACATTTGGATGAACTCAGAATGTGGCCCTTCTAGAAAAGAGTAATTTCTGTACACAAGAAGGAACAGTTATGAAACATTCAAACCAGCAGAGTGGTTTTGGCTTTGAACTTAGAGCTTGAAAAGTCATTGCCCTCTTCCATGGAGATGGACAAATCTTGTGACAGTGACTGTCGCTATGAGGCTCCAGGTTTGGTGAGATGACTGGGAAATTCTAGAATTTATCACATTTTACTCCTAAACTTCACTGGAATAGAGGCTCAGGACAGGTTTACGCCTAAGTTTGAAGTTGGCTTTGTTTTCGCCTTTATACTTTTCTCCATTTGTTAAATATTTTGCAATAAGTCTTCATTACTTTTCTAATTTTCTTGTTAAAAAATGTTTAACAAAATTAAAGCAGTCTGAATCAGTAGAGTTTCCAAGTTACCCAGTTTTTAAATGAATCTAGCAGAGAGGAGATTTTGCAGCTTTAGAAGGATGAATTATATGATTTTATAATACATCTAATTTAGATTTTACATTGCATTTTTTAACAAGTTATGTGTTTTCAAAACCTGAAATGCATATATCTAGGCAATATGCATCTGTTCAAATTGTTAAGTTTCAATGAAACCAGCAGTTTAGTTCATTCCAGGCACATTTCATTAGGGCAAGAAATTAAGGGTGATAAAAAAACAAAAGAAAATAGATGTCTGTGGTCTGCTGGTTTTAGAGAGATAGTCTGTGCATGAGAACGTATATATGAGATTTACAAAAGAAATGTAATATTGTTCCAGGAAGCAAGCTGAGCTAAGTGATACAAGATTTTTTTTCTACTTTCTTCATTTGGATGAAAAATGTATTACATTGCCTAGTTTGTAGATAGAACTTTGAGACCAGAATAAAAATGCCTTGGAAATTGACTTTTGGGAACTTTATGTGCATACATCACAGGCCTCTGCATTCCTCCCATTGGCAACTTCAGAATCAGAGTTACAGTTGTTGGGATAGAACATTAATCCAAGAGATAAAATCTGATGAGTGGCCAAAGATCTACTCCTGTCCTCTTAATTGAGCTTTTTCTCAATACTTAAAATCTAATGAACTAGTGAGTGGCATAAAGTGAGTTAAGCAAGATGAGTAAGTTCTAGAGAGTTGCTGTGCACCGTTCTGCCTGTAGTCAACAATGACTGCATTATGTGCTCAAATATTTCAGAGGATACATCTCATATTATATTCTTAGCACAATACAATAAAATTAAAAATAGGTATCTCTAATATTTGGTTACCCTAATATCTTCCCTAGTTAAATAGGAAAAGGAGCACGAATGAAAATCTTGCATTAAATTCTAACCCTCAGAACAAGGATAGTGAATGTTAAAGGAATCCTGAATGCTTTTTCCTTGTGAATAAAATACGGCACCCTGCTATTTTCCAAGTGAATCACGAGTACATTTGATTTACTTAGGTGGGCAGATCAACAGAAAGCCCTATCGACTTCGTTGTCACAGACACGATTTCTGGCAGCCAGAACACGGACGAAGCCCAGATCACACAGAGCACCATATCCAGGTTCGCCTGCAGGATCGTGTGCGACAGGAATGAACCTTACACAGCACGGATATTCGCCGCCGGATTTGACTCTTCCAAAAACATATTTCTTGGAGTAAGTACTGTCAAGAAGTACACGATTTCTAGAAAAATGCTTGTGATTATGATATGGAACATTTAATTGGAGCAAAAAAAAATTGGCTTTGTATGTTGCCTCTAGTGAGATTTTGAGATTTTAGTTTTCAGGTGGCCAGTTTGAGAAACTTGTTATTAAAAATCTGAACATTAATAAGCATTGCTTGTTATTCATTATATTTTTTATATTGTAATATTTACAGTAAGTACTTTTTTTAAAGTATGCCTATAACATTGTCCATAATGTATTTACGGCAACGAAGAGGTTTATTTCAGAGAGAAAAATAAATGGGCCAAATTTAGATCATTAGGGCTTAGAGGAAAATGTTAGTGATTCACTCATTCAAAAATGTTTTATGAGTGTTTGCTATGTTCCATACTGGGTGTTTTAGTTATGGGATTACAGAGAACAACACAGACTTGAATCCCTGCCCTTATAGGGTTTCCTTGTAAACCCCAGAAGTTTTAGTGAATATCCAGGTTTAACATAGTTTCCTTTTGAATTAGGATATTTTTGCAGGAAAAAACCCACTCAAAATGATCTAAAATCAGTGAAAATGTACTATTCCCACATAAGAAGTGCCGATGAAGGCCAGCTCCAGGGTTGGTGGTTCAGTGGTTCTGTGACATCCAGTGCACTGGGTTCTCTCTGTCTTGCCTTCTGCCTCCCGTGGTGCACCAGCCTCTTCCTGGGAGGTCTTCTTGTGGGTGAGAGCTGGCTCCTGCACTTCCAGATGTCCCCTGCCACATGACAACTTCCAGCCAGAGAAGAGGGTGGCAGAAGCACTGTTTCTTCCTTGTCTCTTCTTAGAGCACAGACACCTTTCTTGGAAGCCTCCAAGAAGATATCATGTGTCATCAGTCAGAGCCCAGTCATGTGCTGTGCCCACCTGTAAACCAGCTATTGGGAAGAGGGCTGGGAGTGTCATGTTGGGTTAATCAGGATTCCCCACCACCCCCCAACCCCCGCCCCAGCCACATGAACAGTAGCTGAGCTCTGTCACCAAGAAAGCTGAAGGGAAGAGCTGTGGCACAAGCACCCAAGAGTGTCTGTCCTGTCGTCATGTCAAGCTACATGCGCCATCTACCTTTGAGAATTTAAACGGTGATTATTATGAAAACATAATGACCCCGACTTGTTGGCTTAACATTTTTGGAATTTTCTAGCTTTAATAAAAGGTCTTTCTTTATGACTGTCCTTTCTCTTCTCTATCCTGACAGTGAGAACATAGAAAGTACTTTTAGATAACAGGATAGGAGCATGGCATAAGTATAACTGAAAAGAGAAAACACACCAGATTCCTGGAATCTCATGGGGTTGTGGGGAAGGTAAAAAGAATCTTAGAGGGAGAAGCCCAGGCCTCGATTTTTTGCAAGTTCTTGAGAACTATGATGTGTGTCCAGTGATAAGTCATTCATCCATTCAGCACTTCTTTTATATTGTCGAAAGGATGGCATATGTTATCCTTGTGATTATTAGCTTTAAATAGAAAATGAAAATTCATCACCTTCCTCCCCTCTGCCTCTATGCAATGTATTAAAGAAATTCCAGAATCCTTTCCATTTCAACATCATCTTAACCTACTTTTTCTGTTCTGCTGTGTTCTCTCCAGGAAAAGGCAGCAAAGTGGAAAAACCCCGACGGCCACATGGATGGGCTCACTACTAATGGCGTCCTGGTGATGCATCCACGAGGGGGCTTCACCGAGGAGTCCCAGCCCGGGGTCTGGCGCGAGATCTCTGTCTGTGGAGATGTGTACACCTTGCGAGAAACCAGGTCGGCCCAGCAACGAGGAAAGCTGGTGAGTGTGCTTCACTCTGCAAGTGTGAAGTACGAAACTACTCAAGCCTAACTCGAAGGCTATCATTTTCCTCCCCTGATGTTCAGAACCTTTGTGCAGGTCCAAGCGCCATGTACTGTAACTCAGGAGAAGCAGAATTCCACAAGCCCCTGAAATCAAGAGGGAAATGGCCTTATCTCCTTCAGGGGTTCAACTTTTCCCATAGTGGGAGTAAATTGTGTTTTGCTCCTTACCACCTGAAGAGCATTATCTTTTATTATATACCTCACCACAAAAATCTACTTAAATTCACTTTAAGGAGAAGAAACTTATTTTTAGTGTAAAACTTTATTGATTTGGAAAACGTTTGAGCAGTCCAAAAACAATTAGTAAAAATTATGCATTAAGGAATTATTTACTAGACTTTCTGGAAGTAAAAAATAAGTCAGCTGGTTTTCCCTTTGAATTCCTATATATTAAGGCAGAATTCTCTATACTGTCCACCAAAATCATAGTTACAACTGTTTACTTGAAATGATTTATATACTGCATTGACCTGGCATGTTAATATTTTCCTATAAATATCACCACTTATCCCCATGCCCTAAAGCAGTTTTTTTAAACCCATTCTTTCTTGGAGAATAATTATAATACCTTAAATATAGAACTTTGGGTTTCTGATCTTGCCATAGCCATGTAGCACAGCCACTGATTTTTAGTAAGCTGTCCATTCCTGTACTTTTCTTAATTTGCTAGGTAGAAGCTAGAACGAGAGAGAACAAATGTCTTTTTCTAGAAGCTAGAAAAGAAGGAGTTCTTCAAAACTCCCACAGAATAAAATGTATACAGAATAGAGGATTTGACCTAGCACTTGTCAGAGAGAAAGATCATCACCAAAAATGTCTAAGATGGAAAAAGAAGTTGGGGGCTGTTTCACTGACCTCATTTGCTGTTCTCTACTGGATGTTTGTGTTTAGGGAATGGTTATTTTTATTTCTATTTTACACCATTTTTCAGCTTCAGGCACAGCGTATGCGTCTTACAGTGCACCATGGCTGAATAAATATGAGAAGCATTTTCTAAAAAAAAAGCAAATTCAATAAATTTTGTATGAATGTTTTCAAGAAATTGTAAACAAAGGAGGAAATGTGAAAGCAGTTTTTCTAAATAATCTTTTGTTTCTGATCACTGGATAGTTTTATACAAAACTGACCTAGATTGGCCAAACTGGTTATTCATCATTATAACAGCAAGAGTAAGAAGTCAGTAAATGGTTGCTGGGTGCAGACTCTGCGTTAACATTTCCGACATGAGCTCACTTCATCTGCACAGCAGCCCTCTTAGGGAAGTAGAGTCATCCCCATTTCATGGATGAGGAAGATGTGGCGTGAAGTTAAAGATTGCCCAGTGTCACAGAGTTAGCAGGTGGCAGCCAGTGGGATTCAAACTCAGGTCTCCCTGATGGAGAGC
The DNA here is from genome assembly GCF_000001405.40 of Homo sapiens. Taxonomy (NCBI): domain Eukaryota; kingdom Metazoa; phylum Chordata; class Mammalia; order Primates; family Hominidae; genus Homo; species Homo sapiens. The sequence continues at coordinate 56,291,906 of NC_000014.9, forward strand.
CTGGACACCTAATACTACTCAGTACCATGTTGTGGGGAGCCAGGGATGGTTTACACCTGAGCATTTGCCTCCCTGGGTGAGTATAAAGCATACGCTGGAGTCCGTGGGGAGCGCCTTTGTCCAGGAGGGCATATCACAGGATGAGTTTCTCGTCCACTCTGGTTATTGTGTAATGACCCTTCTCAGGCTGCTATGTGTGCTGGAGAATTTTACAGTGCGACTGAAAAGAACGAACTCCAAAAATGGCTTGTATTAATGAGTTGTATTAAATATACAGGCTATTTTTGAAGTTAGTCCCTATAAGCGACACTGAGAACTATGTAAAATTGTGCTGTCCTATTTGATAGCATCCGATTAACCTGGCCAGTTACAAAGGCTTCTATCAGCCTGATCTTGGGCTTATGGGACACTGAACGGATACATTCTTCCTGCAATCTCCTCTTGTTAACCTCTGGAGAACAGTTTTTGTCTGTCTTCGAGGAAAGCTTACTGACTCTTTGAACTTCTGTTTCAATTCATGACTCATTGGTCCTGTACATGTTGCTGGTAGCATTTGATATAAATTATGTTTATCTGGAGGTTAGATTTTGGAGACAGTCTCTGGCAGTACTTGTCATTTGCAGTCTAATACAGAAATATGAGAAATAAAGTGAGCTGCTAAAAGTCTAAAATATTTGTTAAAACAATAGTAGTCACATTGTGGAGCTAGTGCTGGTGGAAGATTATGTATTAATATCATACTGAGCATTTGATATGAATCAATATACTAATGTATGTGTAACAAGAAATCACCGTTGTTTTTCATTATTACAGCAAATGATGGAACCTCAGAACTGTGTACTAATCAACAAAATTAATTAAATATGGGGGAAATGTCTTTTCAGGCCTTTAACTCCCTGAATAAATAGGTGAATGGAGTTTGAATTGTGCCCTCCTTTTTTAGCTAGTTAATGATAACATATGGTAACATTTATAATATTACTCCAGGAGGGCCTTGAGTATTTAATTAAATTATATATGAAGTATTTTATTAAACTAAACTGGCTTTGTATAAAATTAAGTAAATTCAGTTAAGTTGATTGCATACCTAATTTTAGGTGAAATTATAAAAATAACCATAGCGTAGCTATGGTCAGGCTCTAGCAGGTGCATTACATTAATTGTCTTTCCAGTGTTGCTTAAAATAACCCGTGAAGTCAGTGTTGTTATTGTGTCCGTCTACAGATGAGGAAACCTGGGCTTTAAAAGGTTAAGTCACTTGCTAATAAGAAGTGGTGGATGGGGGGTTGAATTCACTACCCTGTGCTTAGATAGTTGCTATGTAGGGGCCATTAGTTGCCATGGTAGAGGCCAAATGTCTCTTGCTTCCACAATACTGTCAATTCCTGTGCCTGCTCATAGCTTTTCTTTTGTGGTAGAATTTAAAAAATAAAATCTGAATTCATGCCTACTAATGATTGCTAAATCAGGCCACCAGGTTCAAGTCCTGGTTTCACCACTTAGTTCTGTGGTATTGAATTGACGACGTAACCTCTCTGTGCCTGGCTTCCACATCTCCCAAACTGGAATAATATTAATACATGTCTAATAGGACTGTTGTGAGAACTAAATTCAGTAGCTGGAAAGGATTGGAACAGTGCTGGACACAGTAATGCCCCATGACTGGCTGGTTGTTATTACTAAGCAGGGGTTGCAAACTGGGGATGTGGCAGAAAACACCAAGTCCACGCTCTGCCCTCTAATTGCATGGTCTGGAGGAGGTCACAGACTAGGCAGCAGATCAGCAGATACTGTGTGATGAGCACAGTCATGAGAAGGTACCGAAGGTACTTTCCCTCCACAGGACACCTACCCCAGATGTGGGAGTCAAGGGTATGTGGAAAATAAAAAACCATACACCCCAGATTTATAATAAGACTTTGTTGTTTACCAAGAACTGCCCTGCAGGAGGAAAGGGGGGTTGTTCCACAGCCAGAGGCTAGGCCACCACCATACCTCAGCTTCTTACCACATCAGGGTGATCCTTTAGACACAGTTTTATCCTGCAATGAGGCCTCCTCTGAGAATTGCCTGTGGTCAGCAAGGTCAGGAGCCTCACGTCACCAGTTAGAGGAGAGGAGACCATGGGATGCTCGGTATGGTGGTGGGGCGGGGAAGGAGCATCAGCAAACTTCAGGCTGTCTGAAAGGAGTCACAGTGTATGTCCTGTACAGTATTAAGATTTATCATTTGTTGGGACCTTAACTTTTTCTAAAAACTAATACTTGGGAAGGGCTGATTTCTTCATGACAAGGAAAATGTCCAGGGCAAAGTGACATCCAGGTGAGACCTGGATGACAAGTAGGAGTTTGCCAACCAGGGCTCAGCTGGAGCAGGGTGTACTGGAGTGGAGTATTCTAGGCAGAGGTTGCTCTTGCACCTGCCTGTGGGCAGTCCGAGGTAGTGCGCTCATGGACTCCAGCTCCTTGCAGCTCATCGCAGGACAGTCCTGGTTTCCAGTTAGGAAGGGAAGAGCTACAGCAGGAGAAGTCGAGTGACTGCATTGGGAGTGACCTTTTAAGTGTGTTAAGAAGCTTGGGCTGTACCCCAAGGGCAGCAGAAAGCCGCCAAAGTCCTTTGAACCAAAGATTGACAAAATTTCTGGTGCTTCCCATACCTCTCTCTTTCCCTTACATGGTTCTTTTCCTCCACCCCAGCTCCTGGCTCTGTCCTCAGTCCTCTCTGCCCTCCCTGGGACCCTGCCTGGGCAGTGGCATCCATTCCCACAGCTTCACCTAGGTGCGGATAACATCCCAGATATGTTTCTTCGAGCCTGATCTGTCTCCAACGCTGCATCACACGTGCCTTGTATGCATTACCACCACCGATACTCTGCACACCCTCACATTCAGCACACCCAAAACTGAACTGGCCTGGCTCTTGCTGTTGAACTTATTTAGTTCTCACAACAATCCTATAAGACATGTATTGGCATTATTCCAGCTTAATGGATGTGGAAGCCAGGCCCAGAGAGGTTAAGTCGTTGACTCAAGACCACAGAGCTACTAAGTGGTGAAATCAGGATTTACTCCCTCATCTGCCATTTCTCCTGTGTTTCTGTCTGTGGAAAGCACTGTTCTACCCAGACAACCAGGCACGTAAGAGGCTCTTGCTCAGATCAAGAGCTGAGTGCCATCGAGTCTAATTTCTTTCTCTCTAGTCCCTGTGCCTCTGTCTCTTGCCACTGAGACTGTCTTTGTTGAGGTGTACTCACCCTCTCTACCCAGAGAGAGCACCAGTTGCCTCCTTCACAGCTCATCTTTACCCCTCCAACCCACCCTCCAAAGTTCTAGAAGTGACCTTTTTGAAAGGTCAATCAGTTCTTTTATAGTTACCTAAACCCCCTACCAACTCCCTCTGGGCATGGATGCCAGCCTCCCTCTCCCGCCTGGGTCTCTCGTCCCCCCCCACCCAGTGCCCTGAACTGCGTCCATCCTTGTTCAGCCTGGCTGCACAGCCTCATCAAACTCCCTGTTGCTCCCTTGGTGCATATGCCATTTGGCCTCTCCTCCTTCTCCCTGCTGTGCCTTCCTGCTATCCTCCCTACTGAGGCCTGACATCTTTCTCAAATCTCTGTTAAAGAAAAACCTTTTAGAAACCATTTCTGACCGTCTGTCATCATCAGAGTAATAGTAGCAGGTATTTACAGAGTGTTGACTGCGTACCAGACAGTGTTCTCTAAGAACTCTTTGCATTTACTTATCTAACACAACCACCTTTTCTAAAGTTTAAACAAGGGGAAACTGAGGCACGAGGAGTTTAAGTAATCTGCACAGCGTCATACAGCTAATAAGTGGGAGAGCCAGGGTTCAAACCCAGAGTCCACACTCCTGGCTGCTATAAATTTGTGGCCTTGAACAGTGCTTTACTGGCCTTCATGCACTCTGAGCTCTGGGCATGTCTGCCTTCCACTACTGAAGAGCAAGTCTCAGCAGGATGGGGAAGAGGTTTTATTGGCCTTTGGTACCTCCAAGGCTTAGCATGCATCTGGCATGTGGAGGCAGCGGTCACGTTCTTGCTGACCACGCCTAGCTGCTGCTTGTCAGCTGTTAATCAGTCTTATAAGCACTTAGTGCATAGCACAGGCCTCCTTCTAAAAATGAAGGCTCATGTTGAACTGTTTAGCTTCAAACCTTAAAAATGAATGATGAAAGATAGATTCAAGGTGGAGGAAGCTAAGGGTCACCAGGAGTGCTTTGGACCCTCCAGTAATGACTGCAGGCCCCCCGCAAGATCTTCTGGATTGGCTGTCATCAAGATGAGGATGAGTCTCCACTGGATGGACTGGTAGGACATCTCTCATCCTATGGGATCAGTGAGTCATTGTGTTACTGACTTAAGGAGTTAAAAAGAAAATCTTAGGAGATTTGTGAAGTTCATTAAAATAACCACTACAGTAATTGAACATGTAAAGCTAGGTATACATACTGTGCTCAGGGCTTTGTACATACGGCATATATGTATCATATCCAGTGATCAGATGAGGAAGATGAGGCTCGGGGAGGATAGGTTACTCCCCCAGTTCTGTTTTTGTGGGATAAATTGCTTCCCTGTGTTATCTTCAAATATTTTTTTGCTTGTTCTGAGAGGAAAGAATCTTGGAGTGATTTGCTTGATTTTGCTTTTAAAAGGCATGTGTCTCAAACTTGTTGTAGGTGGAAAGTGAGACCAACGTCCTGCAGGACGGCTCCCTCATTGACCTGTGTGGGGCCACTCTCCTCTGGAGAACAGCAGATGGGCTTTTTCATACTCCAACTCAGAAGCACATAGAAGCCCTCCGGCAGGAGATTAACGCCGCCCGGCCTCAGTGTCCTGTGGGGCTCAACACCCTGGCCTTCCCCAGCATCAACAGGAAAGAGGTGGTGGAGGAGAAGCAGCCCTGGGCATATCTCAGTTGTGGCCACGTGCACGGGTACCACAACTGGGGCCATCGGAGTGACACGGAGGCCAACGAGAGGGAGTGTCCCATGTGCAGGACTGTGGGCCCCTATGTGCCTCTCTGGCTTGGCTGTGAGGCAGGATTTTATGTAGACGCAGGACCGCCAACTCATGCTTTCACTCCCTGTGGACACGTGTGCTCGGAGAAGTCTGCAAAATACTGGTCTCAGATCCCGTTGCCTCATGGAACTCATGCATTTCACGCTGCTTGCCCTTTCTGTGCTACACAGCTGGTTGGGGAGCAAAACTGCATCAAATTAATTTTCCAAGGTCCAATTGACTGACGCCCTTGACAGCCATCTACGACTTTATTAACAGGTTACTGTGAAGATTTTGCCACTAACTCTAGATTTTACCTTTTTGTAATGCTGTTTATCAGAGGAGGGTGACAGGGGCTGGAAATAAAGAGAGGGGACATGGTGATGAAACATGGCAGGAGTGTAACAGATACCAGTGGTGTGTTGCATGCTCAAAACAGCAGCGTCGTCATTGAAGTCTGCTTGATTAAACCATAATATCTTTGTAATAATTGGATTTAAAATGCTATGCTTCTATTTTTAACCTTGGGTTTTTAACCAAGTTTTTTTTTTTTTGTAATCTTGGACAAGACTTTAAATCATATTTTACAGATGTAGAAGAAATTTATTCAAAAGTGTGGGCTCATGAAGTTCACTTCAGTGCAGTGTGGTGTAGGTGTTACGCGAAGGGCGCACAGTGTCTAGAAATACTTGATCGTGGCTCAAACCTGACCAGACAGCAGAGGGGCGGCTCTGTACAGTGTGACTGGTGGACAGATGGCCTTAGGCACAGGTGGTTTTGAAATCTGGGGCTTTTTCTGATTTATTTTTCTGACTTGTTGGGGGAGAGAATATTCATAACTTGTGGGCTTTTTTTTTTTTTAACTTCAGTGGAATTTACTTTAGATATTCATTCATCAAATACATGGGACTTCACAAACAATTTTCCATAACTTTTTAGCCTGTCTTTTGTTATTTCTGCCTAATATGATTTGCCCCGATACTCATCTTGCACGGCCAGAACTGTTTGGTTGATTAAAATACATCAGCTCTTAAAAACTCATTAACTGAGGGTAATTACAGTAGTAGACATGGTCTGGGTACTATACTACCATGTTTATTTGCTGACTGAATTAAGATTTAAGAATGATTAAAAATAAGCTTTTACTTTTTAAAACCACTTGAGGTTTCATAAAGCTTGGGGTTTTTTTTTTTCCTTTGTTAAGAAAGCCAACCAATCACAATGATATAGTCATTGTTGTGCACTCCCTTTTCACCATCTGTCACCTTCCCTTGCAGCTTAAGGAGCCCAGTAAGTTTTGAAAATGTTTGCGAATCAAACTAAATTTAAGTGGGATGATTAGATATACACAACACCAAGTGGTACATCTGCAGAGATAATTCAAAATTCCTGCTTTTGAGAGAGCAAATGAGTGTTGCTGAGGAATAATTAAATGAGAATTTCATAGGAGCTCCACCATTCCTGTTACTTTCATTTCATTTTGATTAATAATTCTTGGATGCTTGGCATCGATCGTATCACTGCTCCTAGAAGGTAAAGATCCTTTAGGACATGAGACTGGTAGAAGCTGGCTGAGATAAAATAAGTATTTATTTAAACTAATGTTCTCTTAATTTGACCATTGCAGATTTGGGTGACTTTTTTTTAACCTTTGTACATATACGTAATTTATATGATTCTAATGTACTATATCCATACTTGAATTGGTTTTTTCGTATTTTGCCTACTGGCAAATATTTTGCCTATTTTCAGTCGTTCTAACCTATTTGAATACGCTTTTCCTTAAAGTGATACGATAATATTACTCTTGATTGCTGCTGCTTAATTTGATGTAATATGTTTAAAGTTCAGCCTCTCAGTTTTAATATAGCTTTATTTTTCAGTGGAGATCATTGTTTAGGATGAGACATTTTTGGTTTTGGTTTTGTTTGGGTAAATTTTAAATGGTGTGAAAATCGATGACAACAGTCCTCTTACAGATAGCTTGCTGTATTCTGTATAGCTTACTCTACCTGCAGACAGAAAATGAAAGAAAAAAATGGACTTGCCTAGAATAATATATTGAATGCCTTTTGATTTAGCCAGAGTCTCTGATGATTAGCTTTCACTGATAGAGTATGTCTTTTCAGCCTGTAATTCTTTGGGCCCCAAAGAATGACAAAGGAGGCACTCGTTCTCTTTTCTTGCTGTATGCCTAGAAAGTGGTTGAAGGATTCTTGATGCCCTAAAACCATCTTGTAAGCTAAATGGTCTTGCATCCAGAAAGGCCAGATTTTACCTACCAAGAAAAAAAGATATTTTTCCAGAGAGTTAGGTATATCATAATTTTCCATTTCAAGTCCTGTTTATAAGTCTAGTCATTCTGCAACGTGACATATCCCCCAAAATGAAGTTACCTTCCAAGTTGGACACGTCCCGTAGTTGGGCATATGTCTAACTAAAAGTTTCTGACTTTTAGTAAATTCAGCTTAAATATAAGTTGAAATTTGGGAAATAATTTCCAAGCTCTTGGAAGGGGTAACAGTGAACCGCCCTCCATGGGCTCCACATCTTTTCCTTTGGCTTCCAAAGTCAGGTCCCGCCCACCCTGCCTAAGGAACTGCAGAGAGGTGGCAAATCAGCAAAAAGGACACCAGGCTCTTCTTGGCCACTTGTAGGAAGATCCCTTTACAATTTTGACTAAGGAGATTTTTTTTTTCACAGTTGAGTTAGTTTGTGAAAATAAAGAACTCTGTAGCTCACCAAGGTGGAGAAACGCAATTCAGAAAAGTAATTTCTCCAAGGTCACTTCTTTTTTTATGTCTTGCCATCACTTTAAAGGACTAGCCCCACTCCCCCATGTGTATACACAAGGAAATTGCAGACCAATTAGTTGTCTTGGCCTGACTCTAATGCCTTTTGCAAGTAGCTTTCCAGAAGTAAAAGTCCCAGTGATGTATTCCCATAGAAATATTTTTCAGTTGTTTATGTCGTTTACTACAAAAAAAAAGATTCAGAGTGGATGGAGTACAACTCTGAGTATTTTTCTAGTCCGGAATTTTTTATTAATAATCGGTGCTGCCGGGTCATGCATGCTGCAACTCTCAACATTTCCCTTATTTGGTTCAGCTTTTAGCAAAAAGGGCTACAGTTCACCCTGCAGAGTATTAAGGTTTCTGGATTTTTTTCTCCCAACTGTGGCCCAAAAGAATTAAAATCTGTTAATATAAATAGAGAACATATTTATCATTCCTCGATAGTTAATTATAGACTTTGGTACCTTTGTGCCTCAGGGAAGCCACGTGATATAACTGGTTATAGAATTTCAGGGTTAGGGTTTAAAGAAAGGAGAAAGCCATTGGAAAAATGATGGGCTCCATTAAGGAGACTAATGAATCTGGATGCAGAAATATGTCAGAAACTGGCATAAACATGATTGTAGTAGAATTTATTTTCCAGTACCAATAGGGAAATTATTTTAAGTTATTACATTTACTGTATTGGGAAACTTGAGGAGAACTCTTTAGTTCATAAAGCTTCAATGTCTTTTTTTTTTTTTTCATGGAAAAACTCAAACCTCTGTTATTTGGGAGCTCAGTATTGTGTGGACACTTACGAGAGTTTTCTGCTTAATTGAAGTGTAATATAGGTTGTAGAATTGTTACCTGCAGTTCTATGGTTTTGTTTCACTTCTTTTCTTTTTTAAAGCCATTCTGTTCTTTGGATGTGCTTGAAAGGGTGTGTGATTACACCATTGTTAATGCTGGGTAAAAACTATCTTCTTGCAGCCTTGCCTCATAACAGTGGAATTTCTGATAGACAAACCACAGGACTTTGATTTTAAGCCAAATCCATCTCCATCCCTTTACTGTCAATCTTCTGTCCCAGTAGTTTAGCCTTTGTGGCTTAGGTTATGATGCGCCTCCTTCTGTGCGACCAATGAGACGACTTCAGCATCTTTTTAAAATAATCTAAGCATCATTGAAGCAGTAACACAAAAAAAAGGTTCAGTATTTTCTTTTTAGTATAACTTACATCCTTTCAAATAAGTCTTTGCCCTCATGAAGAATCCCTAGAGGAAGATAAGGAAAATAAGTATTTTCCAGTTTTGCTTGACAGTTTCTAAACAAACAAAAATAAACTCAATGAAAGGAAAGATGTTTCTTTTTAGCTGAGATGACAGATTGCTTCTCTGTATTAAATAGTCTAGAAGTTAAGGGGATGGTCACATTTACCATGTATTGTGTTATTAGCAGTTAAATTTTATGAATATGTTTGTAAAATTGTTGTTTTATATTTCATGTCAAATTGAAAAGTTTATTTCTTCACTATTGTACCTGTGGAAATACAAGCCATTTTACAGGAAAAAATCTTCAAAAACTATTAAATGGATATCAGCCTGTTTGTGAGCCATTGTCTTCAGATTCTGTGGTTGTCACTGAGTTCATTAGGACATTTAGTAGGTTGATACGAGTAGAACTGATTTTTTTCACTTCTCTAACTTCCAAGTTAATCTCCAGCTGTTGAGTTTATTAATTGTTTTATATTCTGCACAATACATATTTAAACCTTGATTCTGAAAATCCCCTACATTTTTTAATTAAAGAAATTTCCTTGGTGCCTATATTACTATTTCTCGTGACATTACATCACTGTCAAATAAAGTTAACTTCCAGGGGAATTTAACCTGACTTGTAGAATTAATGGATTTTTGTCATGATCATTTCAGCCATATTGCTGCTCTTGTGACAGTCTTCATTCACTTTTAACAACATAATAAGGATTGTGTATAAGCCTTCAAGCCTTCCTTGAAGCCTTAAACTAATATATCTATCATAAGAAAATGTATATATTTATGACAAATTTTGTTCTCATCACATTGATATTCAAAGAGTTTTAGTATTATTGAGAGAAACAGATTTTTCATTTCCAGAAAAAAAATGCACATTTATATAGGCTTTTATTTCAGGGGATAAGTGTTCCATACTTTGTCAAATCTAAGATGCCACGAATTGTGAGATGTGTTATAGAAAATCACAACTGGTTATAATTGTAAGTTACATTCCATTGGGCAAGGAATACACCTCACACAGCATACAAACATTAAATCAAAATGGGTCAAAGAGCTACAACTATAGAACTCTTAGAAGAAAACATAATGTAAACCTTTGAAAACATAATGTAAACCTTTGTAACCTTAGATTTGTCAGTGATTTTTGACATACCAAACGTAAAAACACAAGCAACAAAAGAAAAAAGGCCAGGCACAATGGCTCACGCTTGTAATCCCAGCACTTTGGGAGGCCGAAGCAGGCAGATCACTTGAGGTCAGGAGTTCAAGACCAGCCTGGCCAGCATGGTGAAACCCCGTCTCTGCTAAAAATACAAAAATTGGGCGTGGTGATGGGCGCCTGTAATTCCAGCTGCTTGGGAAGCTGAGGCTGGAGAATCGCTTGAACCTTGGAGGCAGAGGTTGCAGTGAGCCGAGACCGCACCATGCACTCCAGCATGGGCGACGAGCGAAACTCCGTCTCAAGAAAAAAATAGAAAAAATATATAACATTGGGTTTCATCAAAATTAAAGTTTTGTGCATGGAAGGACGCTGTCAAGAGAGTAAAAAGACAACTCACAAAATAGAAAATATTTAGGGATTATATATTTGATAAGGAACTTGGGTCCAAAATATGTAACAGGCTCTTACAACTCATCAAAATGCAACCTCTTTAAAAGACGATCAAAAGTTTATAACTTTTCAGAACATTTTCCAAAGAATGTATTAAATGGCCAGTAAGCACATAAAAACATGGCTCGACAATTAGCCATCAGGGAAGTGCAAATTAAAACCACACAATACCACGTTATACCCACTAGGATGGCTAAAGTCAAAAAGACAATAATGAATGTTGGCATGGATGTTGAAATACACTCATAAATTGTTGGTGGGATTGTAAAATGATGCAGCTGCTTTGGAAAAAATAGTTTGGCATTCCTCAAGAGGTAAAATGTATGTACAGTTACCATGTACTCCAGCAATTCCATTGCTAGGTATATACACAGAATTGAAAACATGTTCACACAAAAATAGGTACATGAACGTTCATAGCAGCATTATTGGTAATAGCCGAAAAGTGGAAATAAATGTCCATCAGCTGAAGAATGGACAGACAAAACATGGTATATCCATACAATGAAATATTATTTGACAATAAAAATGAAGTACGATATTGATACATACAACATAGATGAATCTTGAAAACATGTTAAGTTGAAAAAGCCAACATATTATATGTAACATATTGTATGTAAGAAATAGGCAAATCCACAGAGACACAGAGTAGATTCATGGTTGCCAGGAGTTAAGGAAAGTGGAATAAGGAGTGATTACCAGTAGACATGAGGCTTATCTGGGGGAAGATGAAAATGTTCTAAACAGTGGTGATGGTTATACAACTATGTGAATATGTGAATGGACCAAAACCCACTGAATTATACACTTAAAAGGGTGAGTTTTATAGTGTGTGAATTAACATCTCAATAAAAATTAAAAGAAAACATGCATCCTAAATTCAGAGATGTTAGATTATGAAGAGTTTGTGTCTTAGAAACCACCATGCTATGATCTTTACTTAGTCCTTCAGGTAAAAATATTCAGGATTATCCAGTTTCTTGCTGCCTTGAGATGTTTTCCACAATGTGACAACATAGCTCAATTTCCTTACACTTTTACTTGTCATTAAATAAAGTGAACATCATATAACCAAACACCACCTGTTTAAAAAAAAGAGAACATACACATAAGTCTTCCAAAAAAAAAAAAAAAAAAACCACCAGACAACTCATATTCTAAAGGATCTACCTAAGATTTTTTTTTTCTTTTTTTTGAGACAGTGCATTACTCATGTATTTGTGGTGATGCTAGTATGCTAGTGTACACAAGCCCACTGCACTGTGATATAAAAGTATAGCACATGCAATTAGTACAGTACATATTTGATAATAACTATGTTATTGTACTTTTTATAGTTATTTTAGAATATACTCCTACTGTATAACAGGTTAGCTGTAAAAACAGGAGTTCTTCAGCTCCATCAGGATCTTATGGGCTCACCGTCATATATGCAGTCCATTATTGACTGAGGCATTGTTATGTGGTGCATGACTCTGTCTTTCTGAACTTAAAATAAGAATTTTAAATTGGATGTCGGTAGCAGGAATGTGTCTGAGGCTTGCAAAATGGGGCCGTGCTTCTTATGGCTGCGGAGCTGTAAGCCTGAACAAACTGTTTTCAAGCTGTTGTGCCGCCCAGAACACCCACTGCTAATTATGGGATGTGCATTGGAGTGCCCAAATGGACCATTCTTAAGCATCACTTCCTTCTTTTGTCTTCTAAACAGGTTCTAGTTGAAGAATACCAAGGTTATTCTTGTTAGCTAAAAGAAGTATAATGAGTTCTTTCTTGCCTAATTTCAGGTTTGAACTTAAGCTTACATCAGAATTTCCTGAGGTTTGCTTAAAATGCAGACTCCTTAGCTGCGTCTACAGAGGCTGATGTTGTAATTTTCTAGGTTTCTCTCCATGAATTTTCACTTTGGACAGACAACCTAGATGATGTTACAGGTGATCCATGTTCTATACTTTGATAAATTCTTCTTCGGCTAAATGATTGTATTGACTGTATGCCTCTGCTGTGCAAGTTACTAAATTCCCATTGTGCTCATTGGTTTTGGCACATCCAATGTGGTTTCCTGGGAACTTGAGGCATGTGGCCCCACATGGAGATGGGAATGGATGGCCTAGCCAAACAAGGGCCCTTCCTGCCCCGTCAGTCTAGCTGCGATTTTCTCTTAGGTGAATGGATCTGACTCTCTTAACTCCTTTGCCTCTTTTCTAAACTTGCATTCCCCATCCTTTGCCATTGGTTTTTAGTTCGTGCCTTTAACCATTTCCACTCTACAGGAGAACAACCTCCAGAAATTTTCAAACTGGTTTGAAAGAGTTCAGTGTTAAGGATGAGGTTTTTTTGTACATAGTGCGGGAAGCTTGCTGAATTCTCAAAATTTTCATTAACCTGATAGAAACTTGCTGTGGGTAAGCAAACTGGGTGTCATCAGGGCATATTTCACAGGCTTTGGGTTCCTATCATCTAGTGATGTATTCGTAATAAAACTGGGAAAGGAACTTTTTTTAATTTCAGAGTTTGATTTCTGTATACATTCTGGAAATGTTCTGCTGTTTGGATTCATTGAGTTCAAGTATTTCCTTATCTATAAAATAGAGGTGATGATAGTGTTTCTACCCCTTAGAGATGTAGTCAAATCAACATAATACAGGCACTATGGTTATATAGTAAGTGCTCGCTAAATGATAGTTGCTTATATTATTCCCTTGCGGTAACATTACCCAAAGCGTTTTCTTTAAATTTTGAGTCCCAGAAATTCTCTGCAAAAAAAGTCATATAATCTTATAACTCTGAAAAATAATCTACTGTATCCCAAATTCATTTGACTGCAGACTTTCTTTTTTCTCCCCATATAAGGTATTTTGAATTCTTCGTGAATGCTAAAATTGATAGAATTTAGCTATTGTGGAACTATTGCCATACATTCTCAAAATTTATTTTAAATGAAAACAGATAAGCATGAACCCAATGTTATTGCTATTCATGTGGTTCTAAACCCTAATCTTCACAGAAAAATACTGTTACTCCTTATGCAAAACTCTGTATCACAGCCTCTATGACTTAAAACAGTTTAATATGGTATTACTGATGACCATGGAATAACTTTATTTTATGAAAAGAAAGACATAGCAAATATACTTGTGACTACATATTTGAAAACGCACTATAAGACTATTGACAATTAATGCACCACCCTTTCAGTTGGTAGATGTTTCTCAATTTTAAATATATTTATTTTTATGATATTGAAGCCCTATTCTGTTATTAGAATTAGTTTATTTATTTGGAATAATTCACTTCTTGGATTGGATGGATGCCAAGCTGGATTATTACCCTAGGCTGCTGATGGAAAGCATCCAAAAGTTTTACCAGTTCTTTTGTTAGTTTCTTGTATAGGGTAAGAATAAAAACTCATTTAAATTGCCATAATTTATGCAATGAAACCCAATAAACTAGCCAAATTTCAAGTTCCTGCCTTCCATCAACATTTCCATTAGATGAAAACTCCTTCTTTATCTAAACCAATTGATGGTAGTTAGATCTTTTAATGGATTTGATTCTCTACTTAACATTCATGAGTCTTTAGGATGAAAACTGCTTCAGAAAATGAAGATTTCAATGACTAGTTTAGTCTGAATCATCATGGCTGAAATTAGAAAACACAAAGCCAGTGTGATCAATGGGAAGATCATTGACATAAGTGTCAGTTTCTGTTAATGGTGTGGCCTCTAATTAATTTTGTGATCTTTTGCAAGTTACTTAATCCCTGTCTGTTTTTTACTCTGAGAGATAATAAAATTGGACCAAATCAATGGTTTGCAAATTGTTATATATGTGCACAACACTTTTGAAAAAAAAATCAAATAAAATCTCATGGATTCCTAACATGCAAGTAGAGAAAAGCAATATTGCAGCAATATTTAAGCTTCATAAGCTTAAATGGGTAAAATTGTGTAATGAGAAAAAAAATAATGTCTAGTGTTAGAGGAAATAGTTATAATCTTATATCAGTCTCATCTGTTTTTGTGTGTGTGTGTGTTTGTTGGAGAAAATGATTCATAGCTCACCTGCAATCTTAATACTCTTTAGTCCGAGCAAGAAGCTTGAAAGAGAAGTAATAGAAAATGTTTTTAAAGTTGAATTATTTGCAATACCTAACAAGTATATCCGTTCTCGTTAATACTCATGTCAGGCAAAAATTACCTAATAGACTAAGTGCAAAAATATCTATAGTATGATATCTTGGCACAGCATTTAAGTGGATAGACCTGAGCTGCATTCTTATTACAGGTCTGAATGTTTAGAAAGAAAAGAAAAAATGAGGTTTATGGAGAACTAATGTTGGTAGAGTCTTGTGTACAGCATATTCATTGAGTGCTAGCTCTATTCTCCAGGAGCCTGTTGTCTAAAAGTGGCCTGCTGTACCACCTATTACACATGCAATTTGTAATGCATTAATTTGGAGCTTCTGATAATTCAAACAGGATTAGCTACCTATCAAACCCCCCTTTTTCATCCTAAATTGGTAGAAGATAGCAAAGGAAAATTTAAAATATTTCAAAAAGACTTTTGAATATGGTATAAATATAATTTATGTTAAATATATTTAAAAGCAATTAAATATTTGACTATGTATTACTATATATGTACATGTAATGGTGATGTATGTATTTTCCATTCTTTACTATAAAATGTTAATATGTTAAGGCAGTTTAACTTAATTAATAGTTAAACTATCATATATTTAAATACTCTGGAATACTTACCCTTTGCAAATGGAAGCTGCTCCTTGTCCTTAATAACACTTTCTCTATAAGCTCTCTTATATGACCTCTACTTTGCTTTCTTACGGGATTGACCACGCCTCTATGAAACATACTAATGAATGCCCATGGCATGCCCATGCTCCCACCTAGTAATTTGCTACCTTCTCCTAACCCGCATACTTCTGCTTCTGCCAGTTGAGTTGTATGCTTACCAGGATTCAGTTATAGTTGTTTCCAAACTTATTATATCAGTCATACTGTTAATATTAGGTAATTAAATGTCACATAATCTCATAAATATGAGTATCAAAGAGTTGTTTTGCCTTTGAAAATTAAGCTGAATACTTTGAGAGGACTTTAAGCAAATTGCTTTTAAAAAAAGGTTTCAAGTATGGGAAAGAAAACTGGAAAATATTGGAAAGTGTATGGGCTTTGTGAAGTTTTTGCTCAGATTGTCCCTACTGCCTTTTGGTTCTCACTCCACTTTAAAAAAGCTTAAATTGGAAATGATTCATTGTGAATGCTGTTCATTCAAGAAAGATCATCAAGAAGGATCACTTGACTCTTGTAAACGGACCTATACTCAAAAGGCTTTGGCACACTGTCAAGATATTAGTATACAAATGTGCATTTGTGTTTAAGTTAAAATGAGGTATGAAGGGTAAAATGCAAAATAAGTATATATTTTCTATAAGTTCCCTGCTATAAATTACTTTCAATGAACTGAAAACTACCTTTCTTTCCTTTTTTAAAAAAATTTTTTTGGTTTTGTTTTTTGAGACATGGGCTCCCTCTGTTACCCAGGCTACAGTACAGTGGCGTGATCCTAGCTCACTGCAGCCTCAAACTCCTGAGCTTACATGATCCTCCCACCTCAGCCTCCTGAGTACTTTGGTCTATGAGTGTACACCACCATACCCAGCTAACTTTTTTTTTTTTTAGAGATGGGGTCTCACTATGTTGCCCAGGCTGGTCTTGAACTGCTGGTCCCAAGGGATCCTCACCTTAGCCTCCCAGAGTGCTGGGATTACAGGTGTGAGCCACTGTCCCTGGCCTGAATAACTACCTTTCTAACTACATCAGATAAGAGACTTTCTGCTATAGTTCACATTGGGCTTTTGTGCACCCAACTGCAGATCACAACTGTATTGTGACTGTTTTCCCAAAGTAAGTTTGACATTCAGTTTGCTTTTATTTATTTCCTTCATTAATTCTATAAAAAATATTTATTAAGCCCCCATTGTACTCCAGGCACTGCACCAGCCACTGGAGGAGACTTGTGTGACTGAGGTAGATATAGTCTGTGGCCCTAGTAAATTTGCAGCTTGGGAAGAATACAGATAAGTAAAATGAAGCACCATGCTACAAGAGAACACAGAAGGAATACTGACTTGTATTTGTAGGATGCGAGGCGGCTTCTTTGTTCTTTTTTTGTTGTTCTTTTTGTTTTTGTGGGGTTTTCACAGTTAAAAAAAAATCTTCCTCACTCCTTGGTATGAAACCGAATGAGAATTATCTTTGACAAATGATTGGCTTGCAGCTTATCCCTTAATGAGCAGCTCCTGTATGAAAGCCAGTGTTATACACACAGACACAGACTCACACACCTTGGCACTGTTTCCCAGACTGCCTGTGGCAACCGTGCTTCCAGGAAGCCCAAGTTCTATGAATTAGATATGCACTTAATATCAAATTAAATATTAGAAAACTGTCATCACAGCCATTACCAGGCATGCTGCTGGGACCCCCAAAAGTTTTGATTGAACGCTGCGCATTATCCATTAAAAGGAAAAGTATGGAGGCTCCAGATGTTATTCTTCACCAAAGGGGAGTACACCTTCTTTTGTTAGGCAAGCTGAGAAGGGGATAATCAACTTTCACTGAGCTGAGTGAAATCTAGGCTCCTAAGGCCTCAGCCAAGACCCTGGTTTATTCACCAGGGCCCTTCCCCTTGTGAGTCCTGAACCGTAATTCTTGTTCCCTAAGCATGGTGACCCTGCCAAAAACTTCACTTTCTTTTCAGTCTTTCCACTTAGCCTTTTGCCCTGTTAATCTTTTAGCCTTTTGCTCTCTTAACCTCTTGAAGAGAAAACCAGGGTCAGTTTTCTGCCTCTCACCAGGATCTTGGCCTCGTATATTTTCAACTTTGTCTTTTGAACCCTCCAAGGCTATCTAGAGCTCTGCTGATTTCTCTGCTCCAGTGGCGGATTCTTACTCTACATCTAAACTCTGCAAATGTCCCCGAATAAAAGAAGTTGCAGATCAACAGATCAACAACTCACCCCTCTGTGATTCTACCCTCTTCAAACTGTGGCCTTGATAGTCACCTATGCATCAGCAGTTCTCTTATGTCTTTTAACCGAGTTTTAAATTTAATTTTATTTTATGTGGCCTTTCTAGTTATTTTTGGTGAGAGCATCAGTCTGCTGCCCGACAGCCTATTCAGAGGCAGAAGTCCTAAGCCTGTATTTGAAACCACAGGGCAGGAGCTGTGTTCAAGCATGTAGCTTTTCATAAGTCTAAAGGACTTTATCCAGTTTCCATCTGGGGGCTCTAAAAAGGTCTTCTCTGCTCAGAAAGTTAATGTTCCTCAAGATTTGACAAATGCGTGTCAAAATTCATCTTGTTCCTCCTTTTAACATCAAATGGTGAGATTTTCTTACAAATACATTAAAGCATAACATTTAGTGATTCCATGTGTTAAGCCATTATTTGTTAAATCAGCTTTATTTTAGTACGGCTTATAGACTCACTTGGAGTTGACCAGGATTGATTTTGGCAGGGAGGTACATCCTCTCCCTGCTTTCTGAAGGTGCCATTGTGTGTGGAAATGGAGAGATGGTCTCGGCTTTGGCGGTGCAGGCACCTGGAAAGATGCTCAGTTTCACTCTGAGAAGCTTCGGTCAGTGCTGGTCACCTGTGCATAAAGAGCCAGTGGACTCAACTGTGGGGAATATCAAGGTCCCAAATATCTGACTGTCCAGAAGCATCTTACTGTCCTTAGTGAATACGCAGGAATCAGTCTTTCTCTGAGGCCGTGGCAGGGCACAGATCAATCAGGGAGAATAGTTGGTCCCAGACCAGAGCCCACCTAGAACTGAGGATGTGTAAAGGGTGTCTGACTGGCTTACTCCTTGGCTTAAAGCCACTTTAATCTAGGACGTTGCGGAAGCCAGAGTGTATGTCGATTCCATTAAGGAAAGAAGAGAAATGCTTATGGAAACAGTACCACCTCCATATCCATTGGCCTCCCCTTCCCGACCTCCACCCTGCTGTACCCATCAGTCATCTGAAAGGAAGATCCCACAGAGTTGACAGACTCCTTTAGAGAGAAGATCGTCATATGCTCTCCGTAGGTTACCTGTCTATTTAGAAGCAAACCTCTCGTCACCCGCTGCGGAGCATCTCGATGTTAGAAACCACGCCACTATTTTTAGTGTGTGTCCTTGTGCTTCTGCACGATGAGTCAGGGTTCTCTTTTAAAAAATACTTGGCATTCCTCAGAAGAAAGATAAACACATTTAATGTTCTCAGTTGCTACTATTCTAATCGCAAAGTCAAGAGTTCCTTCTTTTCTTAGCTGCCTTCAGTGCCACAGAACTATCTGGGCCTCTTCCTCTACCCCTCCTTGTGTGATCGCTCCTTTCAAAAGCAACAGCCAAAGCAGATGCAAGGGAGATGCATTGGTGCTCATAAATTCAAGGAGCTGAAATGGCAACAGCTGTGGCAATTTCAGGATTTCAGCAGGTAATCAAGTAAGTGCAAAAGCGGGATTTGACAATTCTACAGGGGACTGGGACAGAGGGCAGCGAGAACTTGAGCTTCAAGGAGAATCTTCACTAGCTATCAACAAGAAATGTAAATGCTGTGACTTTACCCAGTTAAGCACAGCAGATTTTCCTGCTTTCAACTCTAATCCTTGAGCAGCAGGAGTACCCTTTCCCATCTCACAACATTTGACTTTCTCAGATATATTTATTCTATGTTATATACTGCAGTTCACCTATGTATTTTGGGGTTAATTTATCACTGGTTGAATAACATCGTTCAATAGACTTATGAAAAGATGGGCATTTTCAGTTGTGCCAATTTAGGTGAGGCTTATGGACAGTGTTTCTTCCAAAATGTTCCCAAGTCTAAAGGACCATGATTCTCAAATTCTCTGTAAAGTATAACTAGGTCTCTTTCTCACCTTGGAAGAACAGCAGCTAGAGGCCAGCATTCAAGGCATGGAACGGAGAAGGTATATGGTGCCTTGTTCTCTTTTGTTATTAGATGTAATTATGAAATATAAAACTAGGACAAAAGCAAGTTGTAAGTGTTAGCATAGTGGCTACGAGCACAGACTCAAGCCAGTCTGCCTAGGTTCAAATCCCAGCTCTGCCACTTGCGGGCTTTGTGACCTAGGACAAGTTTCTTTACTGTTTTACTGTCCCAGTTTCTGCATCTGTATAACATTGCTAGTAATACCCACTGCAAATGATTTTATGAGAATTAATTTACTCACTGTTTGGGAAGTACTTAGAATAATGCCTAGCAATAGTAAGCACTCAGTAAATGTCTTTTATATAGAGCATGTATCTATCTCTTCAATAACAAGCACCTGTGCAACAGTCAGAACACCACAAAATAGCACTATAAAGACAGTAAAAAATATCCCTTTGTTTTTTTTTAACATGTCTTTGTATTAATTAGAGCTCTGCCAGCTGCAAATTCAGAAATCCAATTTCTGAACTAGCCTAAGGGGACACAAAAGGAACTTATTGCCTCTTGGGATTGGGAAGTTCAGTGTGCCTCTGATTTCAGGAACAGCTGAATCCAAGAGCTCAGACTCTGTCCCCATCACTGCTGCTGTCTCTCTCCCTTTGTCTCTTGACTGTGCTCACATAATTATACCTGCAGTCTTTCACATGACAGGAAAGGTGACCACCACCAGCCCCTTGCTTATACCCAACTAATACCTATATATTAGTTGGTCTTACACTGCTATAAAGACATACCTGAGACTGGGTAATTTATAAAGAAAAGAGGTTTAATTAGCTCACGGTTCTGCAAGCTATACGGCTTCTGCTTATGGGGAGGCCTCAGGAAACTTATAATCATGGCAGGAGGGGAAGGGAAAGTAGGCATGGTCTTCACATGGCCAGAGCAGGAGGAAGGTGGAGGGGAAGTTGCTACCCACTTTCAAACAACCAGATCTCAGGAGAACTCTGTCATGAGATAGCACTAGGGGGATGGTACTAAACCATCAGAAACCACCCCCATGATCCAATCATCTCCCACCAGGCCCCACCTCCAACATCAGGGATTACAATTCAACATGAGATTTGAGTGGGGACACAGAGCCAAACCATATCACCCTCCTAGCCTAGCATCTCCTGCAGAAATGGTCTCCCCTGATGGGAAGAGCTGTGACTGGCTCAGCCTAGAAGCAGTCACTATGGATGGAGGGATATTGTTACCTAGCTGGACCAGGTGCCTACCTCTGTACAGCTTGGGGTGGGGGGTGGGGAGGTTGGAGTGAGGCAAGGTTGGCAACAGCAGTTCCAATCAAACCACACCACAGCTATGGAAATGGGTACCCATGGGAATGAGTGGTCCTGGTATTAGAGGAAAGTGGCACTAGGGGATGATGTTGTGCAGTCCAAAGCAATAGATGCCCATCTGAAGCTAGCTGGGAAAAGGCTTGAGTTCATCAGCAGGAGTGTACATTTCATAAGACATTTCATTTTTGAATGTCTCATTTCATATTTATCCCATTTCGTGGACAAATATCCATTATAAACATATAAACATCAAATTATGTCTGATTTTCTTAAGTCAATGAATAGTAACTGATTATCTTTTGATCTACAATACTCTAAAAAGTAGTTATAATTATGTATAGAGATAGAGTCTTCATCCTTCTGTATAGAGATGGTGTATTAGTTCATTCTTATGCTGCTAATAAAGACACACCCGAGACTGAGTAATTTATAAAGAAAAAAGAGGTTTAATAGACTCACAGTTCCACATGGCTGGAGAGGCCTCACAATCATGGTGGAAGACAAAGGAGGAGCAAGGACACATCTTACATTGCAGCAGACAGGAGAGCGGGTGCAGGGGAACTCCCCTTTATAAAACCATCAAATCTCGTGAGATTTATTCACTATCACGAGAACAGCATGGGAAAGATCTGTCAATGTGATTCAATTACCTCCTACCAGGTCCCTCCCATGACATGTGAGAATTATGGGAGCTACAATTCAAGATGAGATTTGGGTGGGGAGACAGCAAAGCCACATCAGATGGCAAATAAATATGTTTCATCTATTATGCCAACCTATGAAAATTGGGTGTGAATTTCCTAGAACACTCTGTTGAGAGTTTCTGAGGTTGCGTCCTTGCTCAGACAAAATGATACCTGCCATCGATATGGTTTGGGATGTGGTGGTACATATGCCAGGTAGTAACTCCCTGCATACTGCCAGTTTAAGAACGCTTACCCACAAACTGAGGACATATGTGGAGGGATTTTCTGTTAGAGTCACTGTCAGAGCTGAGCTGCCAAACAATGGCAGAACTCATTCAAATTGGCCAGTTAACTGCCCGATGTAGCAGGTTATGCTCCTAACTGAGCAGCCTCACAACACCACACGTGAGTGCTGGGAGGCTGACTCAGCTCTGTCTAGAAAGAAGAAAATGCTGATTTACCTCTTTCCAAGCTGCTTGGATCTGCCTCTTGCAAACAACAAGTAAATAAGGGCAGGAGGTAATTTAAGCTTTTCTTTTTCATTTAGCTTTCTTTTGTAGTTTAATACTTCAACTGAGGTCATATATGTACTGTTTCATCAATTGCTAGGCGTAGTAAGTGTTCATCAATGGTAGCAATTTTCATGATTCTTTTCACAACTTTTTTCCTTATAAAGCATTTATTTTATCACTAAATAAAAAGAATTATATAGCCAAACTTAGTTTAAAGATTTGCTTGGAAAATTTCAGAGATGATACCCCTGTATTAATCATGTTCTTTTTTTTCATATTTTATGATGCTTTGACACTGTGGGGGCTGTGTGGACCTGGGGAGGGACTGCCCCTCCAGGGGTTAGCTAATTTTTAGAGATAGCAGACAACTTGCCTGTGAGCACACCTTTTGTATACAACCCCACCAATCCAAAGCCCATATCCTCAACCACCACCTTTATCTCACTCTAATACACCAAGCCAGTATTTCCACTGCCAAATCACCCAAGGCCGGGCATCAGACAATTAGAGACCACCCCTATGGCCAGAGCCTGCCCACATTATCCAAACTATCCAATTCTAAGCTTGCTCAAACCTGCCTTCCCTGCCTCACCCTTTCTCTCCCATGGAAACCACAGTAAGACTCTAGACCAGGCTTTTCCCTCATTCCTTCTGCTTCCTGACTGACCTGGGTACTTCCCCGGAGGCCTGACATAATATGGCATGCCCCTTCTCTTGGAGCCTGTAAGTAATAAACTCTTCTTTCAAAGACAGTTGTCTCTATATCTGTGATGAAACTGTCTTTGCAAAATTATGACGGTGAGAGAAATCTAACATAACTGACTCCATCTTGCTTCTAACTTCACAAGCTAAGCCTTTGCTCATTCTAAGCTAACTATGGGAGGAATTTTGTTTATAATTTAACTTTAAGACAAAGATGATAGCAGTTCCTTCCTGAAAGTAACCCCCACCTTACTCGGGGACCAAAATCACCTTTTTAAAACTAATGAAAGTCCACAAGGTTACAATTGTGATAGGAACCTGAATTCTGCTAAGATGTAGGTATAAACCCTAACCAGTCATTGTTTTATAACTTGCTTTTTAAAAATTACTTACTACTCAGGAGTGATGTAGCCACAAAATTTATAACTTCACCAATTGCCCCTATGGAGAACATTGCTATTGTAAAACCAAAGACTGGTGTTTGAGATATGTTTCAGATCTTCAATTCTGTATGAACCAACTGGCACCACCCAGACCAGTAACCCACACTCAGGAACTAACTCAGCACAAGACAGGGTCGACCCCCTATGATTTCATCTCCAACCCAGCCAACAAATATTCCCCATTCCCTAGTCCCCTGCTTGCTAAACTAGCCTTGAAAAACCCTAGTCCCCAAATTCTCAGGGAGGCAGATTTGAGAATTATCTCCCATCATGCTATTTGGCTGGCCTGCAATAATTAAATCTTTCCTTGCTGTGAACACTCTTGCTGCCCTCAGTGCATTGGCTTTTCTGGGCAGTGGGCAAGAAGAACCTGCCTGGGCAATTACAATCATACCTGTTTAAGACAAATCCCAGGGCTGGGTGCAGTGGCTTACACCTGTAATACCAAAACTTCGGGAGGCCAAGGAGGAAGGATTGCTTGAGCCCAGGAGGTTGAGGCTGCAAGCGAACCATGTTTATGCCACTGCACTCCAGCCTGGGCAACAGAGTGAGACCCCGTCTCTCAATCAATCAATCAAATCCCAGGTACATTTTAAGATACTCCCATAACCAAAAACGTAGGGCTGAAGAATAATATGCAAATAAAAAAATAGTCTCAAAACTGAAGTGAAAGTAAAAATGTGGAAAGAAGAAAGCCTTTGAATACAATATGTTGGCATAATTTATTATTTCCTCTCTCTAATCGTGTTTGGAAAAGAAGTTATCTAAATCCCAGGCAAATAGATATTGGAACTCTGGAATTTCTATGTAAATAATACCCATTTGCTATAGAGTTCTTTAATGAAGAACTTACTTTTACAAAATTATGGACAATATTAACATTACCAGAAATAATCTCCAATACAATCTTTAGCAATTTAGCAGTTAACTTCATCTCATCAAAACATGTTCAGACTTGGACCTTCTATTTTTGCATTTTCTTATTTTAGTTTCAAGAAAATTCTTAAGTGATTTCTTTTGTTTTTAGTGCCTAATTTTAAAACATCATGCTCTTGGGTGAGACATAACATGTCCATGTATGAAATTAAGCATAGAAAGAAGGGTTAAATTATAATAGCTTTTTGGAGTAAAGAATGAAGAGGGCAAACGTGATGAGGAAAAAGAGACTGTCAGTAATTGCAATGCACACACAAGGGAGAGCAGGCACAGTGAACATTTCAGGGACAAGATGGAAAGTGTACTCTGCACAGAGACTCTATACTGTGAAAAGAGGGAGAATCAATTTATGGGCCAAGAAAGACCTGGACAAAATTATACATTTTGAAGGAAATCACTTGTGCTGAAGCAATGAAAACTTTCTGGAGAGCTATTTGAGGAGGCAGATGTTTAGGTAATATATTGCTGCTTTGCATTTCTATAACACCTTCCATGTAAGAGCTGCAGAGTGTAACACAAACATTAATAAATTAAGCCTCGTGGCACCTCTGCATGATCGATAGACATAACAGCCATTTTTATAGTGTAGGAAAGGCAGCACCCTGCTCAAAAGTGCTGAAGTCATTTACCCAAGGTCATGAAGTGGGGGGGAAATTGGCAAAGTGTTTCAAAATGGAGCGTTGCGTCTCGCCACACTCACACAACCTGCCTCCTTCAATGGGGTCATAGAAGGAAAGAATGGGGTGCCATGTATGCCCTGGTTTCCAATGATTCACTTCAGGAGATATATCTGTAATTTAACTTGAAGATGGTTTGGAAATAGTAAGTCTTAGATCAAAGGCTTAACTCCTTTCTCTCTGGTTTACTCGGGAATTAATTTGTTTGCTAATGCTGGTCTCTCCTGGGATCACACTGGCCTTTAGCTGTAGAGTTTTGTGTTCATGTTACTTAATCTGATTATGCAAAGGACTTAAAATATTTCAAGAATATCAAACAACACAAACATGTCTATGTAGGCATTAATGTAATTATTTTGTTATTTTAGTTTCTAAAAAACTCATAAAATTGCAATTGAAAATAGTGTGCCAACTTTACAAAGGATAATGCCAAGTCCGTAACAGAATCTCTTTATTTATTTTTTTCACTTTGGTCAGACATCACTATATATCTTCCTAAATGCAACTCCTCTCCATTATCAACCTTGGCTTGGTAATAGCCTGTTCCATAGTAACATTGTCTTTTATTCCTCTTTCTCTCTGATAACCACGTATTTTCTCCATTAGAAGAATTGGCAGAGAGAAAACAAAGTAAGGAAATCAAATATAAATTCCCAGTGCTCCTAATATCTCTTGGAAAGAAAATGGACACCTCTGTTAACAAAGTTATGATGATTTCTACCTCGGTACACATTTTCGAACTTCTCAGAGAGGAACCAGCTCACCTGTAAGTCACTCATGTTCTCAATTTCCATTTTTTTTTTCTATAGCAAGAAAAAGAAGACCTTTTTTTTTTTCATTGAAGCAAGGCATAAGGCACTTGTCACTGTTTAACATTCAGCCTCATTTCTTTTCCAGAGCGGTCCTTTGAGAGCATTAGCACTCACACCCCATACAACTAGAACTCATGACACTGGCAAATGGTGTTTCTAGAGTGCTTTGCATTGCCCGACATGTTCTCACCCTGTTTTCTCCCCAATCCTTACAATTCTCCAAATGCAAGTGCAAACTGGGGTGCTGTCAAGCAGCCTGGTGCTTAAAGGGCAGAGCCAGGATGGACCCAGATTCTGGTTTCCACCATGTGCCTGATGGATACCATGCGGATGTGGAGCAGGAAACACTGGGTGCAAATCCCCACCAGGAACTGTTCATCCTGAAAAAAACCTGCTGCACATTGCCCTGGTCACCTCAACGAAAAGTGAGTGCTTATCCTAATGGGGGTGTGTGCACATCTAGAGGACAAGGGCAGTGAATGTTCATCATTTAGGAGAAAATAAACCCACCCCAAATGATTCCAATACAGGCTTCTGGGATTCTGATTTCAGCCTTTTGGTTGAAATCCTCAGAGATAATGTAGCTTTTTTAAAAGCATAGTTTGTCTTAGAGTTAGGATGTAAATAAGCTTTGGTACACAGCTCATTTCTGACACCTGTGGGCAAATCATCAGGGAAAAAGGAGAGGAGGTGAAGAAGAAGTAAACAGAAACACCCCATTGGTCAACCCACAGCCAGAGATGCTGCTGCTACACAGACATTTTGGGTTTGGGCGCTTCTGGGCTTGTATTAGTCCGTTTTCACGTTGCTGATAAAGACATACCCGAGACTGGGAAGAAAAAGAAGTTTAAGGGACTTACAGTTCTACATGGCTGGGAAAGCCTCACAGTCATGGCAGAAGGCAAGGAGGAGCAAGTCACGTCTTACATGGATGGCAGCAGGCAAAGAGAGAGCGAGCTTGTGCAGGGAAACTCCGTCTTATAAAGCCATTGGATCTCTTGAGACTTATTCATTGTCACGAGAACAGCACAGGAAAGACCTACCCCCATGATTCAGTTACCTCCCACCAGGTCGCTCCCACATGTGGGAATTCAAGATGAGATTTGGGTGGGGACACAGCCAAACCATACCAGGGCTCCACAATTTCTTCAGAACTGTCTTGAGTATCAAGGTTGATAAACTCAAAGAAAGAGATGAAGACTTTATGCTAGGAGAAAAACCACCCCCTCACCTGCCCTCCCAAGTGGGAATGAGGTTGCTTCTCAGCATGGGGCTCTGTGGTTTGGAGCCTGGGTCCTAGTCAGCTCTTTCTTGTCTCACTCTGGAGGAATAGCCCAGGGTCCACTAGATAATGTCTCTGCTGCTGGCATCTCATTAGTAAGGCTCTTAGGGAAAAGACAGACTCTTCTTTGGGAATTCCTACTGCAACCTTTGAAGAAGCCATAACAAAAAGAGAGAGAGCATGAAATCAGTCCTTCTAATCTTCCAGGGGATTTGGATTTTGTGATAGAATAGAAAACTATTTCCCAATTACCCAAGCCCCTGTTTGACTGAAAATGGGCAAGATCAAACGGTTTTGCCACAACAGAGGAAGATTTGTGGCTACCAATTCAGCTAAGATTCTCATTTTGCTAAAAAAAAAAAAAAACAAAACACAGTTGAAATTCTATTTTGAACTTGATTTCAACTATTATTTGACAATGTGGGAGTAATTATTTGTTTTCTGTTTGTATTAACATTGCAAACCACAGAAACTAACATAGAATAACTTAGGTTGAAAAAAAGTTACCAGAAGGATTTTATTGCAGAATTAACATGAGAGCTGGAAAAAAAAAAAAAAAAACAGGAGAAAGGGCAAGAACCAGAGGAAATGACACAACAGAGCCATCCACAGCTGGCTTAACCTGCATCTTAGTCCCTCCCTCAAGATGTAGCATCCTAGGCATATGCATTCTCTTAGATCTGCCTCAGTCAGTTTATTCCCCAAATGCCACCCTCAGCTTCATCTTGAGATTCCTCCAGAGTAGAAAGGGTGTTCAGATGCCAGGCAGCCAAGCATCACAAATGTCTACTGCAACACTTCACACTTTCGTCTACCTAAAAAACTTCTGCCATACTCTGAAACTCATTCTCATCAGTCAATATCTTTTTTTCTCTCTCCCTCCCTCACTTGCTCCACCCCCTCTCTCTCTTCCTCTCCCTCTCCCTCCTTTCCTCCCTTTCAGTGCTGTCTTACCCTTCTTTCCCACTTCCCCTCCCTAGCACCCTGATATAGTTTGGATGTGTGTCCCTGCCCAAATCTCATGTTGAATTGTAATCCCCAGTATTGGAGGTGGGGCCTGGTGGGAGGTGATTGGATCATGGGGGTGGGTTTCTTATGAATGGTTTAGCACCATCCCCTTGGTACTGTCCTTGCAATAGAGTGAGTCCTCATGAAATGTGATTGTTTAAACGTGTGTGGCACCTCCCCGCTCCCTCTCTTGCTTCTGCTCTGACCACGTGACATGCCTGCTCCTCCTTCACCTTCTGCCATGATTGTAAGTCTCCTGAGGCTTCCGAGAAGCCAAGCAGATGCCAGCATCATGCTTCCTGTATAGGCTGCAGAACTGGGAGCCAATTAAACCTGTTTTCTTTATAAATTACCCAGTCTCAGGTATTTCTTTATAGCAATGCAAGAACAGCCTAACACCCTCTACCATATCACTCTTATAAAAAACCTTGATAATAGCATTTTTATTATGATAAGATATATATAACCTGCAGTTTATGATTACTGCCTTTTTTAAGTGTAGAATTCAGTGCCATTAAGTACGTTCACAATGTTTTGTAGCCATTAACACTTTCTATAGCAAGCTAATTTCAGTGAAGGCTTTCCTCTGATGAATGTGGTCTGAGGGGATTAGAGGTAATTTTGTAGAAACTAAGATGGAAACTGATCCATTATCAGGGAAGGTGCCTGGCATGAAAAGGCACATTATCATGCCTTGTTGTAGAAGGCAACATATGCCATTTATAGAATAGAACCACTTTTATTACTGCTATGGCTCATCAGCACATAGCTGTTGGTTTGTATTGAAAAGTAGACTGCTCCCAGGTAGAACCCTTTGGTTCAAGCATGGCCAGTTGATTTAGCATTGATATCCCTATCCAGGCCTCATTAGTTGCTTCATAAATAATTCTCCAGTGCAAAGTTAGGAAGTTAAGTAAATTCCTAATAAATGAAATAGAATCCAGTGTAACTCCAGTAAACACTGGAATTGTCTAGATAACTAAAACATTAATTATTTACTTTGTTTGCTAATGTGTTATCTGTATCTACATTCTAAACATATTCATCACGCTTACACATCATCTAAAAAGAGAACCCTTCTCTGGCCCTCACTTTGTCACAACTCTGCCATCACTGACTTTTCATAAGACCCCCAACCACCAGTGTTCCCGGGCAGGGGAAAAGTTGCCTCCACTGAAAATAACATAACTCAGCACCGTTGACAACACCCATGCAATTGATTCTATTATTCCTCATCGTTTGGAATTTTAAAAGCTAAGTGACATAAATCCCTGCCACTAATAATGTCCTCACGATTATTATGGTCGTTCGCATTTCCTGACCATATTAGGCAACTTACCTGCTTAGGAAGTAGATTTTATAATCTATCGGTTTTCATACAAATATTTTAAACAGAGAAACCGGAACAGGTGTGAGAGTGGGGATGACAGTCTTAGAGAACCTGGATTCAATGCCATCTAAATAAGGTGAGAGAGAAAGCAAAGAGTTACAAAAAAGCCTGAAAAGTTTTCATCAATTGTGTCGTTGTTGACAGATGGGTCAAAATCAAAGTTGATGATCAGTCATATGATCTTCAGCAGCCCTGGAAGGGTGTGAGTTCTCGGCATCCCATGCAGGAGCTCTGAATGTACAAGAGGTGCTGAGGAGGGAGCATGCGCCGGTGCGTGAGTATGGTTCATGTCGCCCCTCAGGGTTGGAGGGTGGTAATTGACCTGTGACACTGGGTTGAAGCTGGGCTCTAACCTAAGGATTAAACAGAATCCTGCCCCGGGGGAAGCACCCGCCTTCTGCCATTGAGAAGTAACAATTAGGCTTCTCCTTGGAGCTCACTGTTCGATGATAGTGTCATCTCCCAGCATTCTAGTCCCATTTCCTCCTGTGCTGAGAATCAGCTATAGAGTGGAATTGGCAATTTTAGGGAGCCTTGAAATGTGAATCTTTTTTGTCTTTTTACTGTTTTTCATCCACATGGTGAATAGCTGGTAAACAAACTCACAGAGAGCCTAAGTTACAGATGAACTCAATTTCTGGTGCTGTTATCTCCCCAAATTGCTTGTCTTCTCCTTTCAAGGTTTTCACTCAGAAAGGTACAGAATTACCACTTGATGAGTTACCATGGCAACCCCTATACATTATCTTTTAAATATCCCAGACATGCAGAGTCTAATTTGACTGCAGGGATTTTAATTCATGACTTCTATGTTTTGTATAGTACCATGTTTTTAAAGTTAATGAATTATAAACAGAAAAACATAGTTAAATTGGCTTTGATTAAAAGATAGCTTATTTAGCAATGCTGCTTCCATATATGTTCCTCAAACAACAGAACATTATTTCAACCTATTTCAAATCTATACCACTGAGAGACTGCTGCACACTTCTGCAATAGGCTGTGATCCTGGGAACCTGGGATGGGAACTTCATTATTAGTAGAATCTAGTAGAGTTGGCCTTGCTATGTTGGTGTCTGAGGCTGGCTCTTTCTGGTTGTCTCAGGATGCCATCAGTGATTAGTAAATAATAAATTATACCAAGAAAGAAGCTCGTTTGAATGTTTAGTATGCCTTGCAAGGGAAATTAGGGACAACGAATAGACCTCTTCTATTCTCTTTGCACTTGATTTGCAAAAATATTTGTTTATTAAATGAGTTATTACATGGACAGCAGTTAGAACAGTGCCTGGCACTTTGTAACCAGTCAGTGAGTTTCATCATCATTGTTTGCATTTTTACAATGATTCCCAGTACAAAAGCCTTCAGCATCTTGGGCTCCTCAACACGCTGGGCTTGCATGATCCTCATCACACTGTTTATCTTACTCTTGACTACTGCTGTAAGCCCTGGATTGAACTGTTCCACATGCCCTCTCACCATTATGTTTGGATGATTTTAAAGAGATTTCTGTTTCAAAGAAATGTAGGAAGAAGAATTTCACAGCCTCTTGGGTTGCAATCTTATTTGGTGGTTAAGGTGAATATAACTTAGATTGTGTATATCATTATTAGGGGAATCTTCACTAACCTACAGAAGCAGTAAAGAAGTTGTATCACACTGTCTTGAGCTTCTCAAGTTTATTTCTGGTGCTCTCCAGAGCCACTGGCATCTGTTTCAATGCCCTTCACCCAAAAATGGTTTGGAATGGACACGCACATTATGGACGGTGTAGATGGCATGGTGGGAAGGAAGGGCTTTTTACTGAAAGATCAGGCGATTCTGAGAGGGACATTAGAGTCTGGGAGAAATAAAAGTTGAAACAACCAACAATCCACTTAGCTGTCTTCCTGCAGCATAAATAGGAAGAACCACCTAAACACAGATACCTACGACACCTGTTTTCCTGGGGGCATGTCCCGCCATCCCTCTCTGCTCGCTGGCTCCTAGCACCTCCACCCCTGATGCCTCACAAACAGCCTAGCCCCTTCCCTCAGAAAGCTCTACCCCTCCCCAAAAGAAGAGAAGAGTAACCTGAACATTTTCCTCCACCTTGCAATTTGAGTAATGCCTCAGCTCTTCAACCAATCTTTGCCGATATTTTCCTCTTCTTGAGTGTCGTAATCTCTGGAGGAAGATAATGATGGCTCCAAAGAATTAGATAAACTGGGGCATCCCAGTCTCAGACCATTCTCCACTCCTAAGAGAGCTTGCAACTGACGTAAACCTTAATATTTTTTCTTAGAGTCACTAACCCAATTTCGTCTCAAAGAAAGAATATCTATTCTGTTGTCATGACTTTGGTCTTTTTCTTCTGATAAAACATGCCCCGCCACCTGACCCTTTTCTGCCCCTGAGCCCTGCTGCCTCTTTAGAGAAACACTTAGTTGTCAATGGTTGTTCTCCTTGTTTTCTGTGTGGGATGAGTCTTGCAGTTATGTGCCACTTTTTTCAAGGATTGTGTCGTGTAGGGGGACATGGTGTCGGGGAGGGGTGGTGGAAGGATTCAAGAAGGGATTGCCAATTCCATCATAGGGCTAGAAAGAACAATAATTCTCCTGGTCTCTAGTTGAGAGCAAGGGGAGGTTTGTGGACTCTGTGAGGGAGACAATGGGGCACTCTGCGCATAAAGGACTATGCACACCACATGACAGGTGCTCAACGAATCTTTCCTCTTGAAATTTAACTACCTTCTTGATATTTCATTGCTCCTTAGTTCCTCCAGAAAAGAGAGTAGAAAAAACAAAAGGGAGGATAATATGATTTTTCACTGACTTTTTAAAGCAATGGGATGTTTATTTTATTAAAGACTTTTGATACATACTAATGGCTTTAAGCATGGTAATGAATATAATGCATTTTAAATCTTCCTTACTCTTCTGCCTGCCTTCATCTTGGACAGAATGATTTTTACCCTAATTAGGGAACATGAGGTGATAGAGAAAGCTACAAAGTGTCACTTGCTCATATATAAAGGCTGGATGCATGAGAAGCCCCCCATTTTTTATAAAATGTATTCAGTCTGTGGTCTAATCTATGTCTCAGCAGTTAGCAGAAAGTGTCTCTGATTTGGGCCCTAAGAAAGACACTGGAAAAAATCCCAAACTTCACTCTCCTAGGATCTTGCAACCAAAGCTGACTATTGGTGGCTACACTGTGTACTAATGGGGTTAGTGCTACATGCAAATTATGTGGAAAAATAAAGCAAGATGACTCCACAGATTTTTACCCATAACCACAGCTACATCTGCATGGGACAAGGCAAGCCTGCCATGCCACCCACCCCCATCTCAGGCCTAAGAGTGATGGAGATGTGTTCAGATGAGAGTCTGTGACTCAGCCTGCCATACCTTCCTCTCCAAGTTCTATTCAACATGGAAACCAACTGAGGCCAGGGACTTAGGTGTCAGCTCCCTAGTTCAGTGTCAACTTAGAACCAAGCAGCAAAAAGGGTGGGTAGCTCGACGGAGAGATGGAGTAGCAGATGGAGCTATTTTATTCCTTAATTAACATAACAGCTGTAAGCAATCTCTCCCCACCCCCATAATCTTACCAACAACACTGAGGGGTTCTACCTGTGTTTATTGGCTGTTTGTGCTGTGTGTTTCCAATAATTGACAACATATGTGATTTTGTTATTCTACACTGAGCTTGCTTCGTCTGCATATTCATTAAAAAAGAATTTTTAAAATCTTTGTCAGATGTTCTACATCTGAATCATCTTCTAGTATTAAACCACAGCCAAGAACTTTTATATCTTTTATCACATTAATATAAAGATTCATGGAAATTTGGGGACTTGGTGGTTGAGAATTTTTCTAGTTTCTCCAATTTGTTTACTTTTTAAAGGCAAGCTGTAAATATTGGTGATAACGATGTGCTGAATGGAATTATATTTCTATATCCACTTCAGAAAGATTAGACTAATCCAGGAGCCAGAAATCAGTGCAATTACAAACTATCCAATTCTTGGTTGGAGTTTTGAAGCAAAGTTTTTAAAGAGTAGTTTGTGGTTTAAGTTGCATATTCCCTCTGTAGTTTACTTTGAGCTATTTGAAATGCAGAAGTACATATGTGTAAGATCATCCGTTATATCACACATAATATATAAAATGCAGATAACTGTGTAAGGCAGCTCACCAAATGGTACTTGGCATGCAATAAGCATTAAATGAATATGAATGAATAAACTAAAGAAAACGTGCTGTCCCTAACAGGGTCGTATCTGATTCCTGTGGCCAAGGAAGTGCAAGAGTCTGTGGGAGGTAATACCAAATGTTGCCAAATATGGCCTGGGGAAACAGATCACCAAGATGGACAGTATACTACGATATGTTGAAAATGGTGAAAATATGCTTTATTTACTTGAAAAAAATCTTATAAATCAGCTGAAATCGGCCACAGAAATATTTCTTGTGTGGATTTTAGCTTTTCCTCTACAAACTCTAAGCTGTAGAATCGAGCCACTCCAGTCTCTGTTGGGGATAGTCAGGGAGGCTGACTGGCTGGTGTTGAATTTGGTCCCAAGAGCTTCTTCATCATCCTCCTTCAGCTTGAATATCAGTAAGGCAAAAATAAGCTACATGTAATGTGGGCATCAGGAAGGTGAAAGAGTGGTTTACAATTGCAGACAGCAGTCTCCAGACATTAAAAGATGAGGGAAGGGTGTAGGAATGGTGGACTCCCAAAAAAAAAAAAAAAAAAAAAAAAAAAAAAAAAAAAAATTCTCCCCCTGCAAGGAACCATGTAAGGCAATCAAAAGACATAACAATAACCAACATCCACGCAACTCCTGCCAGGTGCCAAACGCTGGATGACCTCACTATCCTCATGGAAAAGGAGGTGGTAAGTACTGCTCATATCTTCTTCATTTTCCTTTTGAGGGAACCAAGACACAGAACGATAAAGTAACTTGCTTAGGTTACACCATTAGTGAGAGGCACAGCTCGGTTTCAAACCCAAACTGAGCTATTAATATTTCAGTAAAGCACCTTTATATAAATAAGGAGGTAGTTCCTAAGATCTTATCATGGCTGTGCGGCTGCAGATCTCTTCACTACTCCAAGCCCTTTTTTTTTTTTTTTTTTTTTTTTTTTGAGACGGAGTCTCGCTCTGTCGCCCAGGCTGGAGTGCAGTGGCGCGATCTCAGCTCACTGCAAACTCCACCTCCCTGGTTCACGCCATTCTCCTGCCTCAGCCTCCCGAGTAGCTGGGACTAGAGGCGCCCGCCACAATGCCCTGCTAATTTTTTTGTATTTTTAGTAGAGACGGGGTTTCACCGTGTTAGCCAGGATGATCTCGATCTCCTGACTGCGTGATCAGCCTGCCTCAGCCTCCCAAAATGCTGGGATTACAGGCGTGAGCCAGCGCGCCCGGCCCGCTCCAAGTACTTCTACACATAGCATAGGGTTCCCCTACAACTAACCACGCCGGCGACCTTGAGAAAATCCCAGACCCTTGAAAATCCAGGGCAGCCACTCCATGGTCCCTGCTCTCCCTGCATGAATCATTTGCATCTCCAGACCATGTTCCTTTCTGACCCCTAATGTTTGTCAGCCTCTCACCCCTGCGCACACCAGGGTGCCCCTTCCTTCCTGCACTGCCTTCTTCCTTGTTCTTCAGCTGTCAGATTGACTCCTCCTTTAAGAGCCATAAAGTTTGTCATGGCCAGTCCAATGCCAGGGATTATAATGCTGTACACATTCATCCACTCAGTCAACAAACATTTATCAATGTGCTTTCAGCATCAAGTTACAGAAAATCCATCATAAACTGGATTTAGTAACAATGGAATAGTTGGTTCGCATTCCTGGAAGTCACAGCAGGAGACCAGTGTTTAGGTTGCTTAGACTGGAAGCTTTAGTTCTATTTTTCGGCAAATTCTTTTTTTTTTTTAATTTTTATTTTTCTTTGAGACGGAATCTCACTCTGTTGCCCAGGCTGGAGTGCAGTGGCACCATCTCCGCTCACTGCAAGCTCCGCCTCCCGGGTTCACGCCATTCTCCTGCCTCAGCCTCCCGAGTAGCTGGGACTACAGGCGCCCGCCACCAAGCCCAGCTAATTTTTTGTATTTTTAGTAGAGACGGGGTTTCACCGTGATAGCCAGGATGGTCTCGATCTCCTGACCTTGTGATCCACACGTCTCGGCCTCCCAAAGTGCTGGGATTACAGGCGTGAGCCACTGCACCCAGCCGTGCAAATTCTTTTAAAAAGTTGTTTTTTTTTGTCAATGAATTTGTGACTCTACCCTCCTCTGCATGTTGACTTCATCCTCACTTTGTAGAAAGATGGAATAAAGAGAGTCGGTTCTGGAAGCAGAAGTCAGAACTTTCTCAGGAGTCCCTAGCAGCTTCTCATTGGTCTGATTGAGTGGCATGCCTGTCCTGGACCAATCACCAGCAAGTGGGATGAAATTACCCCTGGTGCTATCATTCCCACACTTGGAGCCAGGGTTGTGGTTGGCATATATAAGGGAACTTAATTCCTATGTGAATCTGTGAAATAAAGTAATTCATAGTTTGTAGCTCATAAATGCACAGTATTTCATTCTTACCAAGCAGGGAAATACTGCACACAACTAATTCAACAATTTTTATTTCATTTCTTGATATGTGCACATTCTGCTAACACTCTCTACATTGCTACTCATTGTGATTAAGGAAGGACCTAAGGAAATAAAAGAACCATGGGTTGCCTTATCTTTCCCTTCCATCATTTTCAGAATAAGTGTTTGACTAACACAAAGGTGTAACATGAGTAAGAAAGGCTGTGAAAAGCTTCCTTGATCATTTGTGTTTCTTAGAATACCACTGCCTTCTTTCTGTGTCCAAGCAAGTTATGACTGGAATGGAAAGTATAGCCACCCGGGGCTGTCAGTACCCCTACCTACTCAATTGCAGACATGTTGATACAGAACATGATCATCGAATTCCAGTGAAGCCACAGTGATGGGAGTCCAGCAAGAGTAAAAGCAAGTAGAAGGTAAGTATGTTACGGAGGTAGCAAATGGGATGGCTAAGATAGCAGATGTGCATATTATGTTTATCTTACCTGCTCACTGTGTGCTGTGTTGTCCCAGCAGACTTTACTTGCAAACCAGAAGTTCTAAGATAAAATTATTAAGCATTTCAAGATGGTAATAGCAGAGCATTTCCCCAAGCACAGGACCCTTCTGAGCATGTGGCCCTGTCACCTGTCCATGAAGCCAGCCCTGGATGAGTAATTACCTAGACAAAACTAGGGTTCTGTTAGAAAGGAGGGGATGGAGGTTGAATTCCCAGTCAACCTTGTCCTGCATTGGCATTGACTTCATTTTTTAGATGAGGGATCAGGGGCTCAAAAATGTCTGTCTAGTTGTTGTAAAGCTGATATTCAAACCTAGATCAGTCTATGAAACAAGTACATGTCCACTACACTCTTCCTTTTCTCGTATTGATAACCTGTAACATGGTATATTAGTCTGTTCTGCATTGCTATAAAGAAATACCTGAGATTGGGTAATTTATTTTAAAAAGAGGTTTAATTGGCTCATGGTTCAGCAGGCTGTACAGGAAGCATGATACTGGCATCGGCTCAGCTTCTGGGGAGGCCTTAGGAAACTTAAAATCATGACGAAGGTGAAGGGGGAGGCAGCATGTCACATAGCTGGAGCAGCAAGAGAGAGCAGTGGGGAGGTGCCACACACTTTTAAACTACCAGATCTCACAAGAATTCACTCACCGTCACAAGGACGGCACCAAGGGGGATGGTGCTAAACCATTCATGAGAAACCCACCCCCGAGATCCAGTCACCTTCCACCATGTCCCACCTCCAACACTGGGGATTACAATTCAACGTGAGATTTGGGCAGGGACACAGATCCAAACTATATCACATGGGAATCAGTTTTACGTCTGGATTTGTGTGTTCCAGTGGATTGTCACTAAGTAGAAATCTATGCTCCTGGATCCCTCACAGAAATCAATTGGAATTCTGTGTAAACAAAAATACTTCCTAATGAATTCTAGGGAGAACCATTTATGTGGGTTTACGTATTCAATTTGTTATCACTGCTCCTAATGCTAGGAGGTGTGCGTAAAAGGAAGAAGGATTCCAATATTACATTAAGGGAAGCCGTAAAAGTCCCTTAAAGGGACGCGAGATACCAACGGTTTGAATTGCTTAGTCTCATTTTTGAAACAGGCCCCCTTTTTAAATGTCTGGGCCTTGAAGCTGGAGATTCCGCTTCTGCTTCTCTGGGCTGGTGTTTCACAGGGCACTGTTGTAGAGATGTATTTCAGAGAATGACATTCAGATATTGGGAAGTAAATGATGAATGAGCAGACATTATTTGGGCAATGCAGTTTTCAGACAGAGGCTGCAAGAGAATATATTTTCGGGTGCTTCTGTTGGTATTTAACTTGCAGACTGTATATACAGTAAATCAGGAGGGCCAATAATACAGTACATAGGGAGATGTTTTATGCAGGGTTCTGACAATGTACAACAGCTGCCCTAGCAGAAGGGGTATGGATTTATGGACACGCTTGCAGGTGATGACAGCCAATATGTAGCAAGGTTCTCTATCGATACCTGGAAGTATTTATTTTTTTGGTTCATCCTGAGGTAAAGGAAAAATGAAAGGCAACTATGGATCTTTTGACACCAGATATGCAAGCTGCGTAGCAATTGCATAGCTTTTAAAGGATGGAGAAAGAGCTTAATATAACACACTCGCTCGGAGTCCTTTTTAAGACTCAGTTTCTTGGTGTCAGTACCATCCAGAAAAGGTCTTTTTTTTTTTTTTTTTTGCATCCCTGATGGTTCTCTCATTTTATCTGTGGGGTGGGGCCAACTTATCCCATAGGCACAGCAGGCGCAGCGGCTGAGCCCACACCACTTTCAGGGGGCCACAGAAAATGTTTCAATTTTAGCTTCTTTTAAAATCAGAAGAAAAATGAATATAATAATAACAAATATATAGTGATTGGTCCAGCATAGATTATACTTGTCTTTACACCAATGAAGTCATAAAATATTTTAATTATTTTTTTAAATGCAGGAAGAAGCCCAGAAAAACCAAAGCGCCTAAGGCCCATGAAAGCTGTAATGACTCCTTACCATGAAGGTGAGCCAGGCTTAAAATCTCGCTTTTTCCCATATCCCCAGGCAGGCACCAGAGACTGCCCGTGGCATTGGGCATTTGATGAGGGCGAGCTGTTTCTGGTCTCGAACTCTCTCTGAAGAAACTCAGCTAGGGATTGGGGCCTGTCCATGAACCAGGCTCCCTCAGCCCATCCAGAAGCCACTCCCACAACCTTGACTCGATTTTCTCCCTACCTCACCCCAGAGCTGAGACACTTTCATGACTCCTCTGAGCATCTCTCCAGCTTAGCAGATTCCTAGGGTTGCCGTAACAAATACCACAAACTGGGTGGCTCACACAACTGAAAGCTATTCTCTCCCAGTTCTGGAGGCCAGAAATTCAACTCAAGGCGTCAACAGGGTTGGCTCCTTCTGAGGGCCATGAGGAGGCATCTGTCCCATGTCCTCTCCTAGCTTCTGGTGGCTTGCTGGCAATCAGATATCCCTTGGCTTGTAGATGCATCATCCAGATATTTCATCTTCACATGAAGGCATTCTGTGAGCATGTCTGTGTCCATTTGCCCTTTCTTTTTTTCTTTTTTTGAGACCGAGTCTTGCTCTGTCGTCCAGGCTGGAGTGCAGTGGAGTGATCTCCACCCACTGCAAGCTCCGCTTCCCAGGTTCACACCATTCTCCTGCCTCAGTCTCCCAATGGCTGGGATTACAGGCACCCACCCGGCTAATTTTTTGTATTTTTAGTAGAGACGGGGTTTCACCGTGTTAGCCAGGATTGTCTTGATCTCCTGACCTTGTGATCCGCCCATCTCGGCCTCCCCAAGTGCTGGGATTACAAGCATGAGCCACCGTGCCCGGCCCATTTGCCCTTTTTTATAAGGACACAAGTCATATTGAATTAAAGGCCACTCCACTATGACCTCGTCTTAACCAATTACATCTGCCCTGTTCCCAAATAAGGTCACATTCTGATGTATGGGGAGATAGGGTTGCAACATCTGAATCTTTGGGGGCCAGGGAGGTGTGGGGCAATAGAACTCCTAAAATCAGTTCACGAAGATGCTGTGATCTCAGTGTGGGTTTGGAGTGTGAGCCCCTTCTGCCTGATGTTCCAAAGCAACTCAGCGTGAGTGAGGCCTCTGCACCTCTCTCAGTTCACTCTTCTCCATCCCAAGGGAGGTGTGTGCCCCCTCACTTCCAGGAGTGTAATCAGGGATTCTCGTGCCCAGTGCCAGGTAGGGGGGAAGGGAAAAGAGACAGGGGTCTCCATCACCTCCTGTATAACCTCAACGCCTACTCAGCAGGAAGTGGGTAAAGAGTGGACAGAGGAGTTGAGGTGAAACAGAAGGTCGCCAGATGTGGGAACAGAGGAGGAGGTAGCTGACAGGTAGGACCAGAACCAGCCAGCTTTATCTGATTGTCTCGATGTCAATTTCACACTACTCTTTTCATGAGCAGGGTGGAGGATCCAACCCAGGCCAGGGTCAGGAGCATAGATGCTGAGTCTGAAGAGCGGGTGTGGGTGTCGGGAGGCAGGGGGGTTTGTAGGGCTGGCATGGAGCCCAGGACACATGTGGGAAGCACTGAACAGTTCAGCACAGCAGCTGTAGGCATTAGCCAGTTTAGTTAATCAGCAGTGCAAGCCCCCAAGGCTCAAGTCCTCTTTGTACAAAGATGACAGTAAACAGGAGTGGGCGCAGTGGGAAAAGAATAGACTTGAGAGTTAACCAGACCTAAATTTAAATTCTAATTCTGAGTCCACTTGGCTTTAGGCAAATCACCTTATCTTTCTGGCCCCAAGTTCCCACATCTTTTAAATATAAAATGGGAATAATAATAATAATAATACTTACCTTATAAGGTTGTTGTGAGGGCTAGATGTACTTATATGAAAGAGAGAGTCCTGGCAGGTGGTAGGTGATGAATAAATGGTAGCCAGTAATGGTGGTGAGAGAATCTTGTACTAACTAAATAGTATCACTCACACTATGTGCTTGAAGTCGAAACCAAGGCTTAAACTTCCAGGAGTGGTTCTTTAGTTGTGGGCTTAAAATGTACACACAGGGTCTCACATATTGTCCCTGGGTTAAAATTTTTGTAAAATAAGTGTCATTTTTCTCTCTATGGGACACAGATAGAAGTGGTCAGGATGTTACAGGGAAGTGTATTCTTTCCTATTATCAAAGGGGTGATAATGCCCAGTTATTGTCCTGGCAGTTGGACCTCTGCTCTGCTGTCCTTAAAAGTGAGTGGAGGCCAAGTGCAGTTTCTCACGCCTGTAATCCCAGCACTTTGGGAGACTGAGGTGAGTGGATCACTTGAGGTCAGGAGTTCGAGACCAGCCTGGCTAACATGGTGAAACCCCATCTCTACTAAAAATACAAAAATTAGCCAAGCGTGGTGGCACATGCCTGTAGTCCCAGCTACTTGGGAGACTGAGGCAGGAGAATCGCTTGAATCCGGGAGGTGGAGGTTGCAGTGAGCTAACATCACGCCACTGCACTCCAGCCTGGGTGACAGGGTGAGACTCCGTCTCAGAAAAAAAAAAAGAAGTGAGTGGCAAGAAAATATAGTAATAAGCACTGACATGGCGCTTACCACGTGCCAAATTCTATTCTTTATGTTTATGGATATTACCTTATTCAATCCCCACCATAACCCTATGGAGTGAACGTTATCCTCACTCCATAGGATGAGGATATTATTATCCTCTTTTTTAAACCACTTTTTATGTGCAATATCTACCTTTAAAAATATCTATTAGTAAACAGCTGAATTATAAAAAATCAATTTCACTCCAGCAAACCTCGAGTGCCCAAGGCCGACAACAAATGACTCAGCGAGTAAAATAAAGGTAGAACAAAGCAACAAGGACAAGTAAGACTTTAAGTGATTATTATTACCTCATTTTTACAGATGCTAAAGGTTAAGATGCAAGAACACGAGTGTCAAGTTCTGGTTCCAGACTACATGCTCGTGGCCACTACACTCTGCTGCTGCCTCATATTCTATATGCCTTGTACACTGTAACTCCACTGAAGTGCTGGTGGTGGTGGCGTGTGTGTGTGAGAGGGAGAGAGAGAACTGGGGCATCGGGAGGCCCCTAGCCCTCACACCTACCAGCCCAGCCACTGTGCAGAATGCAGGGATGAGTTGTTTCATTTCAGGTGTTCACTCTGCTTTTTGCAGAACATATTGTCCCTTGAAGGATATTAATACAGGAAATGAATAAAGAGTGGCTTCAAAACAAATTTGAGACCAGGACAGCTTCCATCTTATGTGTTTCAGATAAATAAGCCCTTACAGTAATCAACTCTTCAGGGCCAGACCTCTCTCCCTGGAATATGAAGTGCTCCAGCACACTGTAAACAACAGTGATGTGACTCATTTCCTGAACTGTGTCGTGGCCATCTGCTCAAATATCTGCCTTCCTTTTCCTGTATTCTAATGATACAGCAACTCTATGGACAATTATGTAGCCATTAAAAATGGCAATTTAAATTTTCAAAGTTAAAATGCATAACAATGTGGGGAAAATGCCTATAATACAATGTTAAGTGAAACAATTGCACACAAGAGGTGCATGTATGTAAAATGTGTATGCACGAGGCCAAGGCCTAGAAGGACATGGAAAAGGAAGCTTGTTTTCAAAAACTGGAGACTTCTTTTTTAAAGTTTCACATATACTTTTAAAATTAGAAATAAAGCAAGACGCTTCGTTGTGCAATTTCACTGCCATCAACTACAAACATAATGTTTACATACCGACCCAGTTTTTTTGGAGCTGGGAGGATCTCTAAGATTGATAAAAAATAGTTATTAAAATGGCAGATTTTTCTGGATATGGGAAAACTTATCATAAGAGAAGTATGTCGTTTCCTTATCCTGTTTGAAATTTTTTAATGGTTGGAGAACTTGTGAGGAAGGAGATTAAGAATGAAACAGTAATCTTTTCTTTAAAATGTTATCTCACACCAGATACAGAGAATAAATGAGCAGTTTCCAATCCTTTTTAGGAAGGAGGCAGGACATAAATAAACAAAATATGGACTACATGAAATATAACTTAAGCAATCTCCCTAGATACATTTTTCAATAAACCTAAAATCTATTAGGTATTTTTGTAGTTCTTCATTTCCTTTACTCACTTAAAGTCTTACTTGTCCTTGTTGCCTTGTTCTGCCTTTATTTTACTCACTGAGTCATCTGTTGTCAGCTTTGGGTACTTGAGGCTTGCTGGAGTGAAAAGAATTTTTTATAATTCAGCTCTGTTTACTAATACATCTTTTTTAAGGTAGATATTGCACGTAAAAAGTGTTTTTTTTTTTTTAAAATCAGCCAATGCCCTTGTGAAGCTACTTCATTTGCTCTGTTGGTCCAGGTCAGCTAAGTTTCCCACACATCTTTAGTATTGATGCATCAAAGGACTTAGTGAAATTAATCAACTGCATTTTAGAATGAAGGCTTCATTCCACAGGATGTGTGGGCCGTTAACAAAAGTGAATTTTTCCCAACTCAAAACGGTATAGAAAGGAAAATGTAAATGAAATGACTTGGAGTAAGTTCAGTATAAGGCTAATTTTTCTTAAGGGTAAGCTTGTGGTTTAGGTTAGAACTCATCAAGTTAATTGTCTTCTGATCCTTGAAAGTCAAATCCAGACATCTTCTTGATGATTCCTGTTACCAAAGTCTCTGGTACAAGTGATGTTTCCTGAGCCTTCTTAAAGACTCTGATGCTAAGGAGGTCCTTCG
Organism: Homo sapiens; assembly: GCF_000001405.40. Classification (NCBI taxonomy): domain Eukaryota; kingdom Metazoa; phylum Chordata; class Mammalia; order Primates; family Hominidae; genus Homo; species Homo sapiens. The sequence continues at coordinate 56,335,212 of NC_000014.9, forward strand.
GGAACCCAGTGCTAATAACGTATGATACTGGAATAAAAAAGCAATGGAGTAAATGAACTTGCTGAGAAGGACCCCAGTGAACCATTGTTCCTGAATATAAAAACTAATTCCTGAAGATTGTGGCCAAAAAGTAGGTCCCAGTGGAAAAGAAGGAGAATCAGAGTTTGGAAATGTGATGAAATTTCCATTGGCATAGCAGAGAGTAGATCTTGTCACTAGTTGACATGTGCTGCTGCCAAGGTGTGGCCCTTGGGAGAGTACAGCTAATGGCCTCAGCGTCACCTGGAGGTCTGTTACAAATGCAGATAGACCACGAAAGGATTTTTGTCTCTTCGTTCACTTCCATCACCCTAGTGCCTTTAACAATGTCTGCACATAATTGCTGGACGAATGAATTTCTTGAGCCCAATCCCAAATCATTGAACTAAAATCTCTGGGGGCAGGTCCCAAGAATCTGTATTTTAACAGGATCCCCAGTTGGTCCTCAGGCATAGTTTAGTGTGAGAACCATTGCCCTCCTGTACATGGATACTGGCCAGTGTAGTACAGTGTTGATTCCCCTGAAAGCACCAAACTCTAGAAACCTGAAAATGAAGGAACAGCCGCACCTTGGTTTCTACTATGATTATGATGATGATTCTCTGGTATTGCATAAAACGTTTACACCCAATATATCCAGGGGTTAGGTTAGGCAGTTACACTTATTCCCATTTCACAGTAGAAAAACTTGGACATATGCAAGGTCAGATAATTAACAAAAAAAGAATCAAAACCTACCCCACTAGACAAAGTTTAGGAGATGATGTGCTAAGCCTGAACTGGACAACGTGACATAATTAGCAAAGAGTGAAGGACAGCACTCCACTTGGGTCTATTATTGTTATGACCAAGGTCATTTTAAAGTATCAGAGCCACTCTCCAGGCGAGTTATAGGAAGAGGCCACAAAGAACCCGAAGAGATGGCGTCTTTCAACCACCTCTGTTACTCTGCCAGTGATCTGAGAACAAAAGGCCCTCTTGGGCTAAAAAGAACAAGTTACGGAGTCAGAAGCGGGTATTAGGGAAGGGAAAGTGAGCCAATCCCTGGGGCTCACCAGGAACAATTAATTTGTTTAGTTCTAACTAACCCATGGGTTTACCTTGAATGAAAGTTAGCATTATATTGAACTTACTCCGAGTCATTTTATTTACATTTTCCTTTCTATATCATTTCGAATTGGGAAAAATTAGATTTTGTTAATTTTAGCTCCTTGGGCAAAAGGCACCGCATTCATTCCCAGCATTATCATTCCCAACACTTCGCATAGTATTAGATCACTTTCCTATAATCACTTCATTCTCTTTTATGAGACTTGAGGTTTAATTGGAGGTTCCAATAAGAGACTTTATGTGTTTAATGGATTTTGGTATAATAATCAGAGTCTGAAATGCTAGTCAGAAGGCCAGTTGACTTCTAATGAGGCTGCACTTGGGAGAAAAGGGTTTTAAAGATACTACAAGTCTATGCTGTAGAAGTAGACATGCAAATGTTTAGGGAAAGATGTAAAGTGTCTTGTTACTTCTAAATCACAGGCATGTGTACTCCAAAACCTATTGTTAGACTGGGTTAACTGGTGAAAAACATTCAAATTGATGAGTGGGCAGTTCAACTTTTGAGAGGGACTCAGTGAAAATAGTAACGGGACACTCGGATGCATTCTCCTGTTGGCCACTTCTGGAGGCTTCAGGGATTGGGCTCACCCTCCTTTCGCTGGTAACCCCTCGTGACCCCTCGGCCTGGGCTTCTCTTCCTCCTGCACGCTCCCCTGCAGAGTGGAACACAGACTTTCCAGCCCTCCTAACTGCAACCCTTCCTTACCGTCTCCAAAACATGCACCTGCTCACTTCTTTTTAATTATTACTTAAGGAATTTTTCAACTGGACACGCTAAGGAAAATGGGATTACAAAATAAACAAGAAATGAGGAAATTGAATATTATGGGAAATCTTATATTTATAGCTATATCAAAGCAATTTCCCTAGGAAATTTTATGGTATATTGCTGGCTAGGCATTTTCTTACTTTCCCATTACTCGTGGGAATATTTTAAACAGAAGACAAGCACTCTTACCATGGAGCTATATTAAACTTAATATATTTAAATACTACATATTGCATATCTCAAATATTACGTGTTTTGCCTACACATGGAAACTAATTTTTAAGTGGCCTCACCCACAACCAAGGACTCTCTGCCCTTCCCAAGGTGGAAATGTGAGAGATGGATCTTCCCTGCTTCTCCCTCCAGGCCACAAGCTTTTTTTTGTTTGTTTTTGTTTTGTTTCGTTTTGTTTTGTTTTTTGAGGCAGAGCCTTGCTCTGTTGCCCAGGCTGGAGTGCAGTGGCACAATCTCGGCTCACTGCAACCTCCACCTCCCGGGTTCAAGTGATTCTCCCGCCTCAAGCTCCTAAGTAGCTGGGATTACAGGTACGTGCCACCACACCCGGCTAATTTTTGTAGTTTTAGTAGAGACAGGGTTTCACCGTGTTGGTCAGGCTGGTCTTGAGCTCCTAACCTCATGATCTACCCGCCTCAGCCTCCCAAAGTGCTGGAATTAGAGGCGTGAGCCACTGCGCCTGGCCCACGAGCTTTTGACCCTGGAACTGCATGGATAGTCTTTGCCTTTCACCAAAGTGTAAGTGATGCTAACCACACTCGGTGATCAGTGGTTCTCAAATTGGAATGTGCATGACAGACAGCTAAGGCACACAGTAGGAATTTAGATTCTTGGTCACCAATCCTACAAATGGATTCAGCAGGCCTGAGAGGGGCTCAGGAACCTGAATCTGCATTTGTGCCCACCTCCTAACTCCTGGGTGATTCTAAGGACTACTCTTGAACTCTAGATCCTGCCTGGAGAAGCAGGGTGCCCTGCCCTATCTGCATTGGACACTTGGGGCCACAGCTGCTGCCCTGTGAGGTATGAATTAGTCTCTGGGTTACTCCCTGGGGCCCCATTTATTCCATAACTGCTTGAATTCTCTGAAGTCAAGCTTTGAGCTTAAGGTTGAAGAATTCTTCCCTAAGTATAATCTCCAAAGCTTCCTCTCCATGAGCTGCAGGACATCCTGTATTAATTGGGAACATTAATTAAGCTCCTTTACTTATCCTGGAAGGTCTCTATTGTTTCAATAAGTTGTTCAATTTGCCAGCCACATTAGCTCATAATTTCAGGATATGGACTCAGTTTCTTCTTAATCTGTTGCTCTAGTGGTTCCCGAACTTAGATGGGGACAAGAATTACTGCAGAGCTTATTAAACAAAGGGTGCCAAGCTCACCCAAGGCTTACACAGCCAAAATCTCTGGTGTCTGTGCTAGAGATTTTGGGATTCTGTGTTTGACAAGCCCTACTGGGGTTCAGATACCAAACATTTAGAATTGTTGCATAATCCAGTTATTCTCAAATGTCAGGATGTATCAGGATCACCAAGGGGACTTGTTTAACAACATCACTGGGCCCTACCTCTCAGGTGTCTGGTTCGGCAGATTTGGTTGGCGTCTGAGAGTTGACATTTCTATCAAGTTCCCAAGTGACATCGTTATTTGTGGACCAGGGCCTACACGTAGAGAACCACTGACTAAGCTAGTATCTGGGCCCAGGCTGCACTTACAGCCATGTGTCACCATCAAACCAAACATATGGTGGCTTTAAAGCAGCTTCTTATCAAAACAAACACTTCCACTGAGCCCCACTAAATTCCTGCTTTTAGGCTGGGAGGGCCTTTTGTTCTCAGATCACTGGCAGAGTAGCAGAGGTGGATGAAACATGCTATCTCTCCAGGTTCTTTGTGGTCTCTCCCCATAACTCACCTGGAGAGTGGCCCTGACACTGCAAAATGACCTTGGCCATAGCAATAGTAGACCCAAGTGGAGTGCTGTCCCTCACTCTTCACTAGTTATATCACGTTGTTCAGTTCTGGCGTAGCACATCGGGCAGTTCTTGCTCCTGCCTTTTGATCACGCACAAACACTTCCCCAAGACTGAACCCCTCCTCAAATTTCATTTCTCCCCACCTCAATAGAACTCGTAAAGCACTATTTGGTAATGTCGGTTTTCCAGGCTGTTTCTGGAAAGATGGAGAAGAGAATATATCAAACGCTGCACTACACAACACTTCATCAAAATCTCCACCTTAGTTGTCTCCTTCTCTCTTGTCCTCCCTGCCTCCCACCAGTTTTTCTCTTGATCTCTTTCCTCCTCTGATTATGTAGAATAATTTAGGTGTCCTCCCCCCTTCCAATTTGCATCCACCCACCTGAATCAATTTAACACCCCCATCTTCCTTCAGCAACTAGGGGATCTTCTTTGGGATCCTTCCTCCTTAGACATTAGGAGAGGATTGTAAAAATATATCCTTTCCCATCCCCACTCCACCTTGACACCAACTCCAACAGTGGGAGCAAAGAGGTTCTCTTTAGGGGAGAATATTTGCCTTTATGGAGCATGTGATCCACCCCTCTGTGATCCCCTTCTTTCTCCAAGCAAAATGAGACAGGCACAGCTGGGAGATAGAAATCTCCCTTCTATGTGGGGCTTATGAGGTTGACATGCATCCCCATCTTTCCTGTAGGAGAATGCACTTGCCCATGCAATATGGATACTTGGAGCCTTTGGGTCAGGGCAGGGGAGTGAGAGAGAGAGAGGTGGGGAGGTGGAGGGTTCACTTAGAGTGGAGTCTTCAAATGCTTTGAGAGGCTTAGAGCCACCCAAAGCTATGTCTCCCTCATCACCCTCGGGTTCACACTACCCCCGTACATAGACCCTCTCCTCAGCCACCCTCACTGGGGTTCTTGGCATGGCAGCCTGCCCCCCATGTTGAGTTATCCCAACAGCCACAAAGTGTTTAGAGCTTCTTCTGAGTCTCCTGCAGCAGCACAGAGTTTCATGACACAGCATGGAATGACTCAGCAAAGTCAAATGAGGGCAGAGAAGACAATCAGAGGGAATTACAACACTTTGAGTAGAATGATGAGAAAAGGCCCTTATTAAAGAGCACGCACGAAGTTCAGACTGCCAAACACTGTAGTGCCATCTGCCGGCTGAGGGCCCTCTTGCATAGGCCCCCATTCTTGAAGCTATTCTCCACGCCCCGAGCCATGGCCAGGATCTCTGAGACCACTGGAGATACTTTCGCTGTCTGTGTGACCTAGATTTCAAAAGAGGTCGTTCTATGAGTCTGTCATGCTCTAATGGAACCTCTCTCTGTCCTTGAGGAACTTGGATGATCTAAAACTCAGAGGGATCTAAAACTGTTGAAAGGCATTGAAGGTGTTGAAATGAAAGAAAGAAAATATACTAAACCTAGCAGCTAAAATATGTCCTTTGGATGTTTTGTATGTGCCTAAAATTCTTCAAGATACCATAAAATGGTCACCAACTACACTATTAATGTCATTGTGTAAATGATCATTGTCCTTCTCATGCCCCTAATTGTTAAAGACCACCAGCTGCAATCCAGCTCCTTGGTGGACAGGCATAACCGCGGACTTTGGATTACATCCCCTCTATTTCTTCTGCCCTATATTTATAGACATAAGTGATCCTTAAATTTGCTAATGAAGATGGATCCTAGTTTCAGTGAGATCAACGTTGCTGGCTGATTATTTATCAATACATTTTAACCAGGAATTGCTTCCAGAATCATAAAGGCAGCAGAAATCCAGGCATGTATTTGGAATTTGTCTTTAAATTCTAATACCTTTGTCTAAAGACTTTACTGCTACATCCATTTCTCTACTAGATGAGCAAAATACTTTTCCCTGGACACTAAGGTTAACTTCTGCTTTTTCATCTCCTAGAAGTGTTAGCCATTTGGACCTTTGTTTAACAGCTTCTTTGAAGCGTTATGCTCTGACAGCTTGCCTGATGGATGGAGCTGTCAGCATATCCCCAGTCCAGAGATGAGGAGGACATTACCTCACCTACCCACTCTATAAATCAGATGAATAAAAATTAGTACCAAGCTAGGCCCAGGGATCCTTTCTCATTTTAGTACTCTTTGTAGATTATAATCTTCAGAATGTGCTTCAGGAAAAAAAAAAAAAAGAAAAAGACTTTAATGTTGCTTTGCTCTAAAGAATTAGCATTGATTTACTCTACAAAATAACTGCTCATGGCTAAGATATTTGAAAAAATTAGTACTATGTGCACAAACCTGTCCTCTGTGACCTGCAATCATAACTTTAGGGGTTGGAGGTCTGATCTGAAGTGCAGAGAGGGAGATATTAGCAGAAATGTCAATACCCAAGGGGGACTGGGCAGAGTGGGCAGGGCAGAGATGAGATGCCAAAGTGAGGCAACCAGAGGCACTCAGGAGAGGTATCAAGGAGAAAAGAAAGCCTTTCCTCACCCATCAGAGACAATTACTTCTGTGGTTTCCAGGACGTTTCTTTACAGATCTACCTACATCTTTACATGTCGGTTTTCCCTGGTAGCCCCTGAACCCCTTGACGTTAGGAACTGAGACTCATTCATCTTTGTGTCCCCAGGTTCCCAGCCCTAGGTCCCATGGCCGGCATTCAGTGTAAGATCTATGAGTGAATGAATGGGATCAGGTACTTTAGCAAAATAACTAGGGTAACTCTGGATGAGAAGAGAACGACATAGTCTGGCAGAGGTATGTAGAAAAAAAATACCCAGAGTATGAATATGTAAAAAGGAATTGTGGGAAGTAAACGGCAGCAATAAACATGTGATCTCATACTTCATTCTTAGCTGAGAAAACAGAATTCTTACGCTGCAGACACATGATGCTGTGTTATAGACCTCAAGTTCTTCACTGGGGAAGAAATCAGCAGTTAGACTGTGTGTTTTCCTAGGTCACCACTTTGCCCTGCTCCAAGTTGACACAGAACTGGTATTCGCTCCCATTTCCCTGATGACCGTTGTGTCTCCCTTGGGACTTGGGGTAGTTTTAAATCAACCATGGAGTGGTTTCCAGTTCTGGCCCCACCGTGTTCATGTTACTGAAGTTTCAGGGTTTCAGCTTTCACCATCTGTAAAATTTAAATGGCAACACTATGCCTTGGCTGCTAAGCAGGACTAGAATAAAAAGTAAGATGTTGTCAGGAAAGCCTGTAAGGCGTTTGCATGGCACAGGGGTAAAAATAGCCAAAAGGCAGATAAATGCAGTCAAATATTTTGTCATTTGCTTTGCCTTAAAATTTTCACTACTCTTCATGAAAATGAAAAGATGTCCTTTTGCAGGGTGACAGCTGCTGTTGGTTGCAGGAAGCTGCTGTCTGCTACTGATAAACAAATGACAACTTCCCCTGAATGGGTCCATATATTGCCGGAAGCAGATTTATGATTAAATTTTTGCTGGCCTTTTTTTTTTTTTGACCACGGAAAAAGATTTGGCTGGAGTGAGTATATTTCCCTCTTGACCAAATCCTTTGGTGTTTTGAAAACTTTCCAAGTGAGAAAATGAACCCTTTTACCCAGCTTGAGTCAGATGCTCAAAACACAAGATAAAAATAGCTTCTTGGGAAGCTGTCACACTGCTTTGCTCTGCCCCCAGGATGGTTAACCCATTCACAGGGCCTTCAGCGCAGTGAGTGAGCTCCCCCGGCTTTTGTTAGAGATGGTCCTTCTCACTTTTCATTTAGGATGTCCTTGTTACGACCCATGTGAAGTCACCTGTGATTATGAACAGGAAACTTGAGGGTGAGCCAAATGTCAAAGAGCTCTTTCCAAACCATCTGCACTGAGGTGCTTTCCTTGTGGAAGGGATCAGTTTTTGGGCTTAACTCTTCCTATTTCTAATAGTAGTTTATGGTTTGACTTCTCTCTCCTAGACAATTTAATAAATCTGATTAATCATTATGTCAATTTTAATAAGAAAAATGGCATGGTTGATATTAAAAGTTAACAGTCAATGAATATATTTCAGGCACCTTATATGCATATATAAACATCATTCTATTTAGTCCTCATACAGGATTCATGAAATAGATGCTATCGGCAGTCTCTCCATTTTACAGATGGGGGAAGTGAGACTTGCCCAAAATCTCGTAGCTCAAAAACGACAGGCAAGAGATTAAACTCAGAGCTGTCTGTCCAGAGTCGGAGCGCTTAGCCAGTGTGTCCTGCCAAGCGAGTGATGCTGGGCATGGCATCCTCTGGCCCATCAGTACTGCAATTCCAGATTCCAGTCTCCCGGAGCAGAACCCTTCAGGTTTTTTTTGTTGTTGTTTTTTTTAAGACAAGGTCTCACTCTGTCACCCAGGCTGGAGTGCAGTGACACAATCTCAGCTCACTGCAACCTCTGCCTCCTGGGTTCAAGTAACTCTCCTACCTCAGCCCCCCAAGTAGCTGGGACTATAGGCACGTGCCACCATGCCCAGCTAACCTTTGTATTTTTAGTAGAGATGGGGTTTTGCTATGTTGGCCAGGCTGGTCTCAAACGCCTGACCTCAAGTGATCCACCCGCCTCAGCCTCCCAAAGTGCTGGGATTCCAGGTGTAAGCCACCGTGCCCGGCCCAGGTCTGAATTTCAAACAGATGATTCAAGGCTGGGGCTTGAATGAATGCCAAGGCCTTAACTGCAGGTTGCAATAAGTATGAGGTTCAGGTGGCCAACAGTCTAGCACCCAGTGGCAAGACTCATTACTGCCTTGAGGAATAACAGTCATTAAGACAAATGTAGGCCTGGGAGTCAGCATTGCTGGGTTGGCGTTAATCTTGTTTGTTTGGAAATCTGTAATGCATTTTGGATACCCATACAACATCTCTGGGGCTTAATTTCTTTTTGAAGTTGAGAACTGGGGGTAAATGAGGATTAATCATGTAACTTAATGGTCAGGAAATTTACAATCCAGTAAAGGAATTAAAGTGCCCGAATCTTGTTATGAGCCACAGGGTCATAATGAACTGGGATGCAGGGTAATTTTTCTCAGGTATCTCCCAGTCTTATCTCTGCAAGAAGTCTACTTATCTCTGCAGAAGTCTACTTCTGGGGGTGTTCAGAAAGGCAAGGAGCCTTTTACATGTCAGGCCATCCAAGATTGAAGGCATGAGCTGCTTCACTTGGATGCAGGTGAATGGGTGTATGTGTGAAGGGGGCCTTTCCTCCAATTTGAGAAACAAGAGGTCAAGTGAACAGGACCTGGTGATTGGGGCTTCCACTGGGAAAGCAGCAAAAGTGCCGTTATCAGCCCTTGGCGAGTCATTGTTTCCGCCCTTCAGGGTCCTAGGAATAAAAGCTCACATCACTGGGTTCATCTCAACTGACTTATTTAAAAATAAAAATTGAAAAACATGTGTTTATCTGGTTATTATAGAAGTAATAGCATTACAAAATGAATTCACAAGGGACTGAAGTTTACAATATGAAAAACAAGGCTTCCTCCACCTTGTTCTATCCCTGGGCCCGCTAGTGCTGCTGCCCAGGGCAGTTACTTAAAGACTCGATCTTTACCTCACCTCTGCCCAGCCCTGAGCTCCCTCTTTAATATTCCAGATTCTGGTTCTTCCAGTGGTTTCCTCCATGTCTGCAAATATTAAGTGTATGCTGCTGGTATGGTTTGGCTGTGTATCCCCACCCAAATCTCATCTGGAATTGTAATACCCACATGTTGAGGAAGGGACCTGTAATCCCCATGTGTCAAGGGAGAGAGGTGATTGGACCACGGGGGCAGTTTCCCCCATGCTCTTCTTTTGATAGTGAGTTCTCACGAGATCTGATGGTTTTATAAGCGTCTGGCATTTCCCCTGCTTGCAGTTCTCTCTCCTGATACCATGTGGAGAAGATCCTTACTTCCTCTTCACCTTCCACCATGATTGTGAGTTTCCTGAGGCCTTCCCAGCCATGCGGAACCGTGAGTCAATTAAACATCTTTCCTTTATAAATTACACAGCCTTGGGTATTTCTTTACAGCAGTGTGAAAATGGACTAATACAGCTGCTGACTCTTCCTCCTATGACAGATGAGTTCTTAGTTCACTTACATTACTCCCTTTCTTTCTCACAACACAGTTACATTGCTCTTGTAAAGTCCTCTCTATGTTACTTTTTTCACTACAAATAATATGACTAAACTTCTTATTTTTAATCCTATTAGTGATAGGTAAATTATCTTGTCTCCTCGCTTTATAATATGAAGATAGAGTGCAGTTGCAATATGTGTGCACTTAGCTCATACGTATTAGCTAACTTCATCTGGCCAGAAAAGAAGAAAGTGGGTATGAGGAAGAAGTGAGAGAGAAAACGGGGGCAGGAGGAAGACAGGCCGAGGGGGTGTGGGGGAGGCAGAACTCTTAAATAGTGTGAATGATGATTTCAGCTGCACCTGCATTTTGCCCAATAAGTGAGCTGGGATGGGAGGTATGATCAGTGCTCATTTGGTCTCATTCACCACCACCACCCTGCCTCATATTTGTGAGTATCTCCCTCAAATTAGTACAGGTTGAGCATCCCTAATCTGAAAATCCAAAATCCAAAATGCTTCAAAAATCCAAAACTTTTTGAAAATGCTTATCAGTAGCATATAAATTCAGAGTCAGAGATGATGGTGATGCTAAATACCAGATTTTCCACATGGGTGGCTGAGATAGTGACACCTTTGCTTTCTGATGGTTCAACGTACACAAACGTTGTTTCATACACAAAATTATTTAAAGTATTATATAAAATTAAATGTAAGCTATGTGTATAAGGGGTGTGTGTGTGTGTGTGTGTGTGTGTGTGTGTGTATGTGTGTTTAGACTTGGGTCCCATCCCCAAGATATCTTCATTATGTATATAATATATGCAAATATTCCAAATTCCAAAAAAAAAATAAAAAATCTGAAACTCAAGTGTTCCCAGGCTTTTTGGATAAGGGACACTCGACCAGTATCACCTGAAAACTTAAGCAAATTCTTGGGCCCCACCCCGGACCCACTGAACCAGAAACTCTGGGGTGAGACCAGCAATCCGATTGAACAAGCCCTCCAGGTGATTCTGATGCAAGCTTAAGTCTGAGAACAACTGTTCTGAATTAAGTGTAATTCTAATGTTTATAGAAAAGTTATTTTTCATGCAATATAACCCCGAAACCCAAGCTGATTATGTCCACTGATTACTGATTTCATTTGGTAGGGAGGAAACAGTAATCTTGGTAACACTTTTTGTTCTGAAGCCATAGTTGTCTTTCACACTTTCTCCATAGGTTCATTTTTAAAAAATGAAAACGAGTTAAAAGTATTTACAGTTGGCCGGGCGTGGTGGTGCACACCTGTAATCCCAGCACTTTGGGAGGCTGAGGCGGGCGGATCACAAGGTCAGGAGATCGAGACCATCCTGGCTAACGTGGTGAAACCCTGTCACTACTAAAAATACAAAAAATTAGCCCGATGTGGTGGCAGGCGCCTGTGGTCCCAGCTACTTGGGAGGCTGAGGCTGGAGAATGGCGTGAACCCAGGAGGTGGAGCTGGCAGTGAGCCGAGATTGTGCCACTACACTCCAGCCTGGGCGACAGAGCAAGACTCAGTCTCAAAAAAGAAAAAAAAAATGATTTACAGTTTATGTTATATAAATTTTTCCATTAGAGCCAAGAAGAAATGATTACATTTTTTTCTCTCTGACTCCAATGTCATGACTTAAAAGGAAAGTTGATTTAAAAATAAAATTGATTTTTCTTTCTTACAGTTTACCAGTTGGTCACCATCCATCATGTCATAGCAACCTTTGCTTCGTAATTGAACCATACCTTTCTTATAGGTGGCTATTGTCTTGTTCGGGAGTTTCCTATTACCTTCTTTTTCAGTTGCTGGAAAAAGAATAATATTCACTCATCATTGTATTTCTGTTATCTTCCAGCTTCTTCTTCTTTGGGCTCTCTCTTGCTTGGAATCAATTTTATTTTTTCTGAAGCTCACTGACTTCCAGGTTACTTTCATTTGGGCCATAATTCGTATCACCTTTAATGTATCCTAAAACCTTTAAATGCTTTTTCTTTTTTTTTTTTTTTTCCTTATCATCCCTATTCCTCTATTCTGTGCCCTTTTCACAGTATAAGGGACTTCCAATTTCTTTGTAATCGTATATAGTTCACGGAATCCCTTCCTCCCCCCAATGCTAGTCCTCTCCCTCTAGAACATTACCTGTTCTGGCTGCTCCCCAAAGCCACCTGCCCAGCTCTTTCTTATCCTGGAACTTCTCTGAGCTACTTTCCTGAATTGAAGCCACTGTTTTCTGGATCCTATATCTACCTTTTTCTTGCTTTACATCCTTGTGTACTGGAGCATATCCTTAAATAACTCCCTAAAAAAAAATGATGATACAAGAGAGGTATAGGAGGGTGAGTTTTCTGTATCTTTACATGTCTGAAAATATCTTTGTTCTGTCCTCAGGGTGAACTAAGAGTTTGACTATGTATAGCATTATAGATTAAAAGCAAGATAAATTTATCTCAGACTTCTGAAGGAATTGCTCCATTGTCTATTAGTATTTAATGTTGCTGAAACTTACTTTTTCCATATTCTGTCCCACTACCCTTTAAGTTTAGGGTCTAGGCCAGGCCTAGTGGCTCACCCCTGTAATCCCAGCACTTTGAGAGGCCAAGGTGGGTGGATCACTTGAGGTCAGGAGTTCGAGACCAGCCTGGCCAATGTGGTGAAACCCCATCTCTACTAAAAATACAAAAAAATAGCTAGGCATGGTGGCACATGCTTGTAGTCCCAGCTACTCAGGAGGCTGAGGTGGGAGAATTGCCTGAACCTGGAGGTGGAGGTTGCAGTGAGCCAAGATAGTGCTATTGCACTCCAGCCTAGGTGACAGAGTGAGACTCTGTCTAAAATAATTTTTTTTCAAAAAGTTCAGGGTCTAGTTACTCTCCTTAATTTTTAAAATATTGCAGTGATGTATTTCAGTGATCTCCCTCCTTCTCCCAGCCTTGACTGACCTCCACTTATCTGGCCTGATATTGAGTAGGTTATTTTTGAAGATTTTGGTCTCTTTATTAGTTTCCTATTGCTGCTATAACAACCTCAAATTTAATGGCTTAAGATAACACACATTTATTATCCTGCAGCTGTGGAAGTGAGAAGTCCAAAATGAGTCAACAGTGCTCCGTGTCTTCTTAAGGCTTTTTGGAAGAATCCATTTCATTGCTGTTTCTGGCTTCTAAAGGCTGCCTGCATTTCTCAGCTTGTGGCCCTTTCCTCCACCTTCAAAGCCAGCAGCATAGCCTCTTCAAGTCTCTCTCTTACCGACTCTGTTATCACATTGCCTTTTTTCTCTGACCTTTCTACTTCCTTCTTATAGAGACCCTTGTGATTAGATTACTGGATAATCCAGGGTAATATCCCCATCTCAAGATCCTTGCTTAATCTTCTAAATCCCTTTACCATGTAAGGTAAATTATAGGGGTAAGGATGTGAACTTTTTTGGGGAGCCATTATTCTGTCTAGCACAGTCAGTCTTTGGCCTCCTAAATTCATATCCAACCCACATGAAAAATACATACACCCCATCCTAATATCTTCAAAATTCTCAACCCATTACAGCATCAACTAAAAGTCTAAAATCAAGTCTCATCAGCCTAAAAGCCCCTCAATTTCATCTAAGTCATCTAAATCAGGTATGAGTGAGACTCTGAGCATGACCCTTCTTGTGGCGAAGTTCATCTCCATCTGTGAACCTGTAAAACTCAAGAAACAAGTTATCTCTTCCCAAAATTAGTAGTGGGACAAGTATAGAATAACAGTTATAGACATTCTCATTTAAAAGGGAGAAAGGGGAAGGAAGAAATTACCTGTCCAAGCAATTTCAAAATCCAACAGGGCAAACTCCATTAGGTTTTAAGGCCTGCACATAATCCTATGGGGCTCCAGGTTCCACTTTCTGGACCCTCAGCTCCACCTTCTGAGTCATTCTTCCTTTTTCATAAAAGGGTAGTAGAGTTTGCAGCTGAGTAGTTTAATCATCCTGTTCCCTGCCTGTAGAATCCTGAGAATCTGACAACCTTCTTGCATTTCATCCTCTTTCTGCCCCCTTTCAGTGTAATCTGGTAGTGTTTCAGCTAGTATAAAATTCTCAAAAACCTTCAACTCAGGGAAATTTTTTTGCCTTAGTTTTTAAATAATTATCACTCCTAATTTTTTTCTGTTGCATCATTCTTAAACTCTCATTAATAGTGTTGAAGTTCCTAGATTAACATCATGTTTTCATGTTTTCCCTCATATTTTATATTTCTTTGTATATTTACTATGTTCTGGGTGATATCCTTCTAAACTTTCTAATACACTGTTTTATTTTAGTAAGATATTCTTAATTTCTAAGAATATTTCTTATTCTATCATTGCTCCTTTTTCATAGCAGCATGTTCTTGTTTTATGGAGGCAGAATTCTCTCAACACTAAGAAGCGTACTAACTTGAATTTTCAAACTTTTTTCTGTATCTGATAGGATCTCTTTTCTTCAGAATAAATGTTCTGCCTTTTACAAATCTTAATATTTCCTGTTAATCCATGTTCTTGGTTTTCCTCAAATGTCTAATAATCTTTGTTAACTGTTCACATTTATGTGCGAAGGGCAATGTTAGGATATAGGGATCCTCTCTTTATCTGTTCTCTGGCTTCTCACGCAAGTCACTGGGCTGACTCTGGCTTCCATGGAAGTGAAGAGATTGTGTCAATGTATGGCCTTCTTTTAGGGGGCATAAGTAGAGAACACCTCCACAATTGCCAGGATAAAGCATATTTACTCTTGTGTTAGTGGTGTGGGAAGTTCTTCACTGTACTTCCCTCTAGGTAGTGCTTCCTTTCTTTTTCTTTCTCTGGAGTTCCCTCAAGATCTGCTCTGCTCCTTTCAGTGATCCCTTTCCAAGCAGAACTCCCATTCTATTTACTATTCCTTCCTGCAGGTCTTTATTTTGGCCAGGTGGGGAGGAGGAGGAGGAGGACAGATGCCAAGAAGTAGAAAGAACATTCCCTGACTTGGCTCTCCTAGTTCAGAGACTGCCAGGAGAATAACTCTCTTCCCTGCCAAGGCTTCTTTCTGTAAATATCCCAAATCTCTTCTCTGCAGCTCCAGTTTATCTATCTACCCGATTCCTGATTTCTTTCTCCTCAGGAAATTCATCAAAAATCTCTGAGTTGCTAATGGCATGTGTCTTAGTTTGTCTGGGCTACTGTAACAGAATACCATGGATGGGGTAATTTATAAACAGAAATTTATTTCTCACAGTTCTGGATCCTGAGAAGTCCAAGGCACAAGCAGACTCAATGTGTGGTGAATAGATGTTTATCAAAGATGCTGCCCTCTGTGTCTTCCCATAGTGGAAGGAGGCAGAAAGGGTGAACAGCTCCCTCATGCCTGTTTTATAAGGTGACCAATGCCATTCATGAGGGGTCTGCCCTCATGACTTAATCACCTCCTAAAGGCCCCAACTCTTAATACTGTCACATTGGGGATTAAGTTTCAACCTATGAATTTTGGGGAGACACATTCAGACCGTGGCAGCACACTGTTTTTAATACTACCACAGCTTTTCTTTTCTGTTAAATTTTGCTACCTCTTTGATAGAATTTTGTGAAAGCAAGCAGTAACTCTATATGCTCAATTTTCCATCTTGAATTGGGAGATGTCACCTAAACTCTTAATGATCTTGGGGCTTTTAACATCTTAGATTGGGGGGAACATAGTTACACTTCTGACTTCAGAATCTTAGAAATATTTCCTACTTGAGACCTGACTATATGTAACTACTTATCAGGATAGGACCTTTTAGCCTGCTTCAATTGGAATAAGTATTTTTTTCTCCCTTTTATTTATTTCTTCTTTATTTTTTGAGATAGGGTCTCACTCCATCGCCTAGGCTGGAGTGCAGTGGTGTGATCATCATCACTCACTGCTGTAGCCTCTACTCCTGGGCTCAGGTGATTTTCCCATCTCAGCCTCCCAAGTAGCTGGGACTACAGGTGTGCGTTACCACATCGAGCTAATTTTTTATTTTGTGTAGAGATGGGGTTTCACCATATTGCCCAGGTTGGTCTCGAACTCTTGCGCTCAAGCAATCCACCTACCTTGGCCACCCAAAGTGCTAGGATTACAGGTATGAGCTGCCATGCCCAGCCTTCTCCCTTTTCTTTTCTGCTTTAGGTAGATGGAAGGTAAATACTTCCTCTTGCCCTGGGAATGTTTGAAGATGAAGCCCTCTTTGCCCTCAAAGAAAAAAAAATCATTTTTTGTTTGTTTGTTTGCTTAACTGCTAAGAATTTATAAGAGATACATTTTGCCGGGTAATGGTATGTGGAGAGATAAAGATGGGATAAAACTTGGAATTGAGAAAAGCCTGGGGAAGATTGGGAGCAAAGGGAAAATGAGATGGCCTTGATACAGGGCCTTAGACATATAGGAATTAATGTTGAAAAAGTTGTTCAAGGAGGGAGAGATCCGGCTGCCCGAGGAGAACTGTGTGAGTAAGTTGCATTTAATGCACGAGGGATGCCATAGTTTCAGTAACATAACAACTATGTAAATAACCATATAAATATTGAGTGCTTACTATATTCCAGACACTGTGCTAAGTGTTTTACCCAAATAATCTCATATAATCCTTACAGCGAGTCAAGGAGGTAGGTGTCATGTGTGATATTGTCTGTTGCCATCTAGTATTCAGTCACATCTCTTTCCGTGCACATTCCTACATTGCTGGTGTTGGAAATCTGTTATAAAAACTAGATTCCCTTAAAGCTGGAGTTCTGGATGCTACCTGTAAGAGGCAATGGCCCAAGATTTGGAAGATAAAAGTGAGGTCGTGGCTACATCCTTGCTAGCAAGTAAGGTCAGAGGAATGTGAGTGTTTGCTACAGAGAATTCCACAATACGGTGTTAGTCACCAGCTTTGTGGGAAGAAGAGGTAGCTGTGGCTGCAGCAACAGCAGCTTCAGGGCCTATGGAATTCAGTAATGACGATATGCCATTGAAGTATATGGCCTATTGGTGGCTCCCCTGACTTGCACTACTCCAGTCTTTCCAACAAGTTTTTAAACACCACTTCCCTGTATTAAATCCCTTTCTGCTTAAAATACCTAGAATGCTTATTTAGCCTTAAACTTACGTGTACTATTACCACCTCCAATTTATAGATGAAGCAAATAAGGCTCAAAGAGAATAAGTACCATGCCAAAAATGAACCAACTATTTAGTGGTGGAGCTGGATTTGAATCTAGGTTTATTAGATTTTAAGTCCAGTGCACTTAACCACTATGCTTTATTGTCTCTTGTTCTCCATCTAAAGTTGGCTCATGCAAATGTAGACTGGTTAGCCTTTAATATACAAGGGTACTTGTAAGACTGGTCCACCAGCCTTACCTATGTTTTTAGGATAAGTGGGTCAGGACTATGGCAACTGGGGTTGAACTTTTGCCTTGAGCTCATTAACCAAGGCACTCTGAATGAGATAACACTAATCCCTCAAACAATTCTACCAGTTCTAATTTTCTGTAAATTTTTACAGCAAATTCAGTTAACTTTTTGTGATTCCCAGAACAGGTAACTGGGAGCCTGCAAATTGTTTTCAAAATGAAAATAATGGGAATATTCCTGATCCTGAAAACAGAAAACTTTACTATTTCCTACTCCTGTAACCCACCACCACTGATACTTTATTAAAATGTGAATAAAAGCAGAGTATCTCAGAAGCAAACCAACGATGCAGAAGATATATTTTGAGAATTTTTGTTTTTCCATCTCAGGAACAGTTTGTTGTCATAAAGATATTTGTCATTTTAAGAGAAAGAACTTCTGAATAGTGGCAATTATACATTTGTTTGGCTCAAATAATAACAGCAGCTAGGTTATTCATCATAATTAAAAGGGATTTTAGTCTCATCAAATCAGCTCAGCTTCCTCCTGTGATTTCCCAGCCTTGTGGAGAGTGCTGTGAGGATGTGCTAATGGACATTTCATTTTAGATGGAAATGCTCTGTTCCTGCAGTAATGCTCTCATGATTCTCTATGCATTTAGGCTGCTGAATCCTCAGAAAAGCCTAGGATTACGTAGCTTGTGCTCTTAAGCCACACGTCCATTGCTCTATGCACATACTGAAATCACAGACATTTCACTTCAAATTGCAAGGAGCAAGGTAAGCCTATTGTAATTGGGAAAAGCACTAAACTCTGATATTACAGAAATCACTAGTGGGTATTATGGAGAGGACCTGAAGAGTTCTGGTTGTTATCTCCAAGCACTTACTATTTATCTAATCTGAATAAGCTGAGGTTACCCAAGATCTAAATGAAAGAGGCTGGGGCTGGGGACATTATATGGTGTCATATTAGGGACCTGTGTTGATTCATGCAAAAAGGAAGGGAGAGATTGAGGGGGTGAGGTTCATACAGGTGAGAGAGTTAGAACAATACACTTTAACCAGGCATTTCATAAAAATCACAGGTCTAACCTAACTGTAACCAAGTGTTGCTCCAATTGGGCTGAAAAAAAAAATTCTCTTTAATCAGAAAATCATTTGTGAGTATTAAATGCTCATAGTACTGCCAGGAATTTGTATGTAAAGGAACTGTACATATAGTCTTTGTAACCTTCCACTTTCCAGGGGTCCAGTATATACAGTAAATTTATTCAAATAGGATCTGAGGGGGATATTAAATTTGTTATTTTTGCTTTAAAAGAGTAATTTGTAATCAGAGCTTGGGGTCTCAGCATAATGATGGTACAGAGGTTCATTCTGAATTTAAGAAAAGCAAGATTCAGTTTTTCATGGCACTAAATTCTTTTTCCCTAAAAGGAGTTAATGGAAGCCTCAACTCAAGTACACTGCAAGGATACATTTTTTATCTTGTATTTCTGAACCATCATTTTTTTAGCAGCCTCATTCACTTATGTGAAACATAACTAAGAATCTGAAAGGCAACAGAAAACACCTCTTAGCAGCAAAATACTGTTCACAAAGCCCAGGTACTAAAGGTCATGCTCTTTACCTACAAAAGAATCTTTTGGTGTTCAGCAGAGCCTCTTTACTCTTATTTTGCCCGCAAATCAATGAGCTTGATTATCTGGTAATAAAACAGATTGGGAGCAGCAGTTAGAAGGGATGACCAAGTAGCTACTGCAGAGGCAAGCTGAAACAAAGGGAGTAGAAAGAAAAACGGTAAAATGTAGAAATAAGAATTCATATAATTTTTATGTGCCACAATGTATTCTACTTTTTAAACGAATTGATTTAGGGAGTATAAGTGAAATTTCGTTACATGGATGTATTACATAGGGGTGTTTATTCTGTTTCTGATTTTTTAACTGTTGATAAATGTAAAAGCTATTCTGAAGCTCATGAGCCATGCAAAATCAGGCAGTAGTTGGTCGTGACTTGTAGAGGGGCAGGCCATCTTTTTCTAACCCCTAGTCTAAAGCAAAAAATATTAGCAACGAATTGTATATTTGTAGCATATACACATTTTTTAAATATTGATAAATGAATTGTGGTATATCCATAAGATGAAATACTGCTGAACAATAGAAAAAATAAGCTATTGATTTCATGAAACAACAGCAAAAAAGGATTCAAAGAACAGTCAGCTGAGGTCACTTCATGGATTGGAAAATAGTCAACACCTTAAATACCTTCAATGAACTCCAAAGGTGTATATATTACACCCTTGTATTACCATGTTCATAATGACAAGCCTCAGGTCAAGGAAGTGTTTGATATTCTTCTTTTAAGATGCAGAGAAGAGAGAAGCACATTTCAGAAAGGTTACCATCCAGAAAAGCGAAACCTAAAACCGATAATTGTAAAGGTCAAATTTTGATTAATTTGGAATTCCTCATGTATCCAGATGAATTTATTTCGCATGAGTGTCCAATAGTCAATGTTTTACTTTATAAGATTTTACCTGGGGGAGAGAAAAATTAAAAGGATTATTTATTCATGGCTACAAGGTATATACATATATATATACATATATATACATATATACATATATATACATATATACATATATATACATATATATACATATATACATATATATACATATATATACATATATACATATATATACATATATACACATATATACATATATACATATATATACATATATACATATATATACATATATACACATATATATACATATATATACATACACACACATACATACATACACGTATATATATGTGTATATATATATACACATAAACAAATAGCAAGTGTTGTCAATGTATATATGTGCATATAGAAATATTATCATACTGTTTAAAGTGAGTACATGAGTATGTTTAAGTGAACATGCCAAAGCTTCCTGCAATCAGAAGGTTTCTAAAAAGTGTATGAAGGTTTAAGAATAAGATACTGATGTCTGATTAGACTTTCAGTTTTGCCATTGCTTGATGATTTATGCTGTTTGTCATAGCTTCCTCGTATTCATTAGAAAATTGTGTTTTCCTCACATCCTGTGTCTACGCTTCTTTAAATGTTCGAGACACAAGGTTTAGAAAATCAAGTGGATAGTTTCTGAAGCTTATCTTAACAATGAATATCTTAGACTTAAGGATCTGGGACTACGATATAGAGCAATCATTATAATAATAATAGCTAATGTTTAACAACTTGGCCATTTACAAAGCACTTTCAGCTTTGTGTTTCTTTTGGTTGGTACAGTCTTGATTTTTAAAAATATTTATAACAGGTAACTCTTCCTTTTTAAATGCCATTTTTTATTGAATACTGGCTTATGTATCCTGTGGCAGAATCTCACAATCTCTATTTGTCTGAGTCCACACAATGTCATTTAACATATTCCTCTATCCCCCATAAGTTTGTAAACTAATATTTGCATCTGAAGACTTGATTAGATTCAGATTTAAGTTTTTAAAAGGTTACCTCATGGCAGGGCTATGAAATTTCCATTGAATCCCTTTAGAAGGCTCATAATATCTGGCTGTCTTTCCATTAATGCCTTTAAGGTGGATTAGTCAAATCAGGTTGTCAAGTTGATCCATCCTTTATAAAATTCCCCATCACAATTTTACCTAATGCTTTGAGCAGTCACTGATCATTGCCTAGAATAGACCCCTTGTTTTACCGGGTGTTCCAAAGTGTGAATTTTCTAATTCCACTATTCTTTATGCATTTATTAGCTAGAATTCCATAAGAAGAACTTACCCTTGTCAACTAGTTAGACATCCTAAAATACATTCAATACAGAAAAGACAGGATAAATGTCTATCCCATGCTTTTAACCACTGTGCTATCCTGGAAAGATAATGCTTTCTCACAAGCATGATCTGATAGGGTGGGGCTGGCATCAAAAGGGTCTAGCTAGTGAAGGTTCTCATCCTTAGGTCTCAGGAGACTATGCAGATTGAAGCAGGATTTCTGTTGGGAGATGGAAAGAGGAGATCAGGGCAAGCTACAGGGAGAGGAGTCTGGCAAAGTTTCTGCCCCAGCCCATGAGGCTGCCACAGACACAGAACTGGAGTGTGATGGGGAAATAGGACAGAGGCCCTGGAATATGGAACAGGCACACTGGGTGAGGTTAAAAGCGGGAGGAGTTAAGAACATCACTGGAAATGAAAGGGTCTAGGGTCTCCACCCAAGCAAGAGGAAGCTGAGCCAAAGTGTAGCTGGGCTCCTTAAAGGGGGCGGGGAATGAATACTAGACAATGTGGGACTGAGCCCTGGAGGGAGTGTTCTGAAAAGTGTTCGTGAAGGGCTGGGTTTGTATGACTGAAGAATCGTGCTGTACCACTGGGTCCGGAGCTGCTATGCCTTAGCTGGTTTGGCACCAGCCACCTCCTCATGAACCCCAACTGGAAACTCCACTTCCATGACCGAACAAAAAGGACCAGATTTCCAAAGGGACACAGCTAGAGGAAATGGAGCCAATACTAACTTTATATGGCCAATGCATTCATCACTGGTTCAAACCGGTACCCAGTCAGTGAATCCGCCACCCTGATTTTGCCCATGTATGACCCTACTCCCAGCGCAATCACATAAATGCCCCCAAAACGTTGAGTTGGAGTATTTCTGGTTCTAGAGCTGTGTTATCTAGGCCAGAACAGCTAAGAGATGTAAATGCAGACTCTCCAGGGCCTCTGCCCATCCTCTCAGCACCTGACTCCTCTCACTTGGGGCTCCAGAGACCCATCCCTGCTATTATATTCAGGAATTGACTGTAAAAACCAAACCACTCTGACCGATTAAAATTTCTTGTCTTCCTGCTGCATTACTTACAAGAGAACCAAGAACTATTTTTAGATTTAAAAAACAGCAGTTTGCTGGTGCTTGCCATCCCATTTGTAACAGATTTCCAGAGATTAACACTTGCTAGGTTTTTGGCCACGTTTAATCACAAAAGTAATTCTCCATTCCATCAATACGCTCAGCTCGAGGGATAAAAATAGCACTGCAATCTGGTTGGGTGCCTCTCAGCCGTGGGGCTCTGCTTCCCCAGTTGCTGTTTTAATGTTGTTATGGAATTGCTGACCCGCTTTAAGGATATGTGTGTGCAAGGCAGCACATGAGGGTGGCCCGTATCTGATGTGCTGTTAGGCTCAGTGAGGCCCTCCGCATGCTAGAAAAGCGGTCTCTCCACCGAGCAAATGAAGAGTGTAATTGTGTCTGATTATCTGGCCAGATTTTATAAGTGAGAAACTATATAGTACAATTGTAGCTACTTGAGAGGCTGAGGCAGGAGAATCGCTTGAACCCGTGAGGCAGAGGTTGTGGTGAGCCAAGATCACGCCACTGTACTCCAGCGTGGGTGACAGAGCAAGACTCGGTCTCAAAAAAAAAAATTACTTTAGATAAGAAGTATTAATACTTCAGTAGGTGAAAATTACTCCATGACAGCCATCCTGGCTGTGGCTCCTCTTTTCCTGTAGGGTGTCCACTAACCAACCGCTAAAGAAGGGAAGAAACTCCAGTAGGAATTGCATGTCAGCTTCTGCCTTGATTTGCTTTTGTTTCTCTGTATAACTCCAGTTGTGTAGATCTGCCAATATGGAGCTCTTGTGGCTCACAGGAAATAAATGTCACTAAATGCCACTACAATCAGTTTACATTGGTCATCCTGTAAAGTTTTCTTTCTGGTCTCTAGAAATTACTGATATTCTTGGATCTCCACATACCTGTGGTGGATTTTCAAGGCGTGAAGAAGGTACCCCCAGCTGCCTCCAGAGAGAAGGCATGGGGCTTCACCTCTCTGTTTGGAGAGCTTTCAATCCTCTGTGCTGCTTCTGCAGTATGTTAAATGATGTCTCATTCATTGCTCATCATGTGTTATTCTGTGGGTGAACGTCTTGGTGGCAGAACTTCTGAATCTATCAGACACAGTCTTCCTTTCTCTGATAACAGCCACCCCAAGAAGACATACAGGTCCCCTATGCTCACAACTAAGGTAAAAAATAACACACACAGAAGCATTCTGGCCACTCCAAATGTAAGTAAATTTGAAAACCCTGGAAGAGTTATTGACTTTCCTCCTGACAGAGTCCTCCATAGCGCTTCCTGCCTCCTTGTCCTTCCAGGCCCTTTTTTCTGCCATATTCTTCATCAAGCTTAATAACTTAGGAAACACCAATCCCTCTTCTTGGGACCCTTTTCTTCTTGGGAAATGGATTTTCTTAACTGATCAATTATATGATGTCTTACATTGATGGACATGATTTTTCATAACATCATGTATTTTAGAATTAGGGAGGAAAAAACAAAGAATATCTAGTCCAGCATTTATCCAAAGTATAATCTGAAACACACTGAGCAGAGAGATGTTATAGAAAAAGCGTCCCACAGTCAAGCAAGTCTGGAGAACATTAACCGAAATTCCCAAGTCACATTGGCTAAATTTCAAAGGCTTCTCTCAGACCCCCTTGCGGTAACAGGCTAGTCTAAATATGTTAAACCCATTGTTTTCAAATTTTTACTTAGGATAACTTTTCTAGATAATGTTTATTACGTTTCTATAGAACATAATTCAGAAATGTCAATCCTATCTATTTTCTCCATTTTACAAATGAGAAAACGGGCTCGGAGATTCAAATAACTAAGATTAGTTTGTCAGTATTTGGAACCTGATAAAGTCTTACAAAGTTAGACTTATGACCCCATTAAGCTATAACCCATGTGGTCCAGTCTCAGAGCCAAGGCACCCTGGAGTCCTGATAAGTAAGCAGCGTCAAGGAAGGGGCCCCAGGTGGAGATTGTCAGCAACTGTTCTGAGAGATGGCTAACCACAAACAACCTACTGACACATCCTGCTCCTGCACATAGCCCCAGCAGCAACACCCTGTAAAATTTCCCTCCAGCCCCTGCCTCTTGGCAGACAGTCCCTTCTCTGCCATGCTGCCTGTTGCTTCCTTGCAGCATAGTTTCTCTCTAAGTAAACCTGCTTTCTTTTTTATTATTATTATACTTTAAGTTCTGGGATACATATGCAGAATGTGCAGCTTTGTTACACATAGGTATACATGTGCCATGGTTGTGTGCTGCACCCATAAACCTGTCACCTACATTAGGTATTTCTCCTAATGCTATCGCTCCCCTAGCCCCCCAGCCCCTGACAGGCCCCGGTGTGTGATGTTCTCCTCCCTGTGTCCATGTGTTCTCATTGTTCAATTCCCACTTATGAGCGAGAACATGTGGTGTTTGGTTTTCTGCTCCTGTGTTAGTTTGCTGAGAATTATGGTTTCCAGCTTCATCCATGTCCTTGCAAAGGACATGAACTAATCATTTTTTATGGCTGCATATTATTCCATGGTGTATATGTGCCACATTTTCTTTATCCAGTCTATCACTGATGGGCATTTGGGTTGGTTCCAAGTCTTTGTTATTGTGAATAGTGCTGCAATAAACATACATGTGCATGTGTCTTTATAGTAGAATGATTTATACTCCTTTGGGTATATAACCAATAAATGGATTGCTGGGCCAAATGGTATTGCTGGTTCTAGATCCTTGAGGAATCGCCACTGTCCTCCACAAAGGTTGAACTAATTTACACTCCCACCAACAGTGTAAAAGCATTCCTATTTCTCCACATCCTCTCTAGCATCTGTTGTTTCCTGACTTTTTAATGATCGCCATTCTAACTGGTGTGTGATGGTATCTCATTGTGGTTTTGATGTGCATTTCTCTAGTGACCAGAGATGATGAGCTTTTTTTCATACATTAGTTGGCCACATAAATGTCTTCTTTTGAGAAGTGTCTGTTCATATCCTTTGTCCACTTTTTGATGGGGTTGTTTTTTCTTGTAAATTTAAGTTCCTTGTAGATTCTGGATATTAACCCTTTGTCAGATGGATAGATTGTAAAATTTTTCGCCCATTCTGTAGGTTGCCTGTTCACTCTGATGATAGTTTCTTGTGCTATGCAAAAGCTCTTTAGTTTAATTACATCCCATTTGTCAATTTTGGCTTTTGTTGCCATTGCTTTTGGTGTTTTAGTCATGAAGTCTTTGCCCATGCATATGTCCTGAATGGTATTGCCTAGGTTTTCTTCTAGGGTTTTTATGGCTGTAGGTCTTACGTTTAAGTATTTAATCCATCTTTAGTTAATTTTTGTAAAAGGTGTAAAGAGGGGGTCTAGTTTCAGTTTTCTGCATATGGCTAGCCAGTTTTCCCAACACCATTTATTAAATAGGGAGTCCTTTCCCATTACTTGTTTTCATCAGGTTTGTAAAAGATCAAATAGTTGCAGATGTGTGGCATTATTTCTGAGGCCTCTGTTCTGTTCCATTGGTCTATATATCTGTTTTGGTACCAGTACTATGCTGTTTTGGTTACTGTAGCCTTGTAGTATAGTTTGAAGTCAGGTAGCATGATGCTTCCAGTTTTGTTCTTTTTGCTTAGGATTATCTTGGCTAGCTGGGCTCTTTCTTTGGTTCCATATGAAATTTAAGGTAGTTTTTTCTAATTCTGTGAAGAAAGTCAAAGGTAGCTTGATGGGGATAGCATTGAATCTATAAATTACTTTCAGCAGTATGGCCATTTTCATGATATTGCGTCTTTCTGTCCATGAGCATGGAATGTTTTTCCATTTGTTTGTGTCCTCTCTTATTTCCTTGAGCAGTGGTTCGTAGTTCTCCTTGAAGAGGTGGTCCTTTATATCCCTTGTTAGTTGTATTCCTAGGTATTTTATTCTCTTTGTAGCAATTGTGAATGGGAGTTCACTCATGATTTGGCTCTCTGTCTATTATTGGTGTATAGGAATGCTTGTGATTTTTGCACATTGGTTTTGTATCCTGAGACTTTGCTGAAGTTGCTTGTCAGCTCAAGGAGATTTTGGGCTGAGACAATGGGGTTTTCTAAATATGCAATCATATTATCTGCAAACAGAGACAATTTGACTTCCCCTCTTCCTATTTGAATACCCTTTATTTCTTTATCTTGCCTGATTTCCCTGGCCAGAACTTCCAATACTGTGTTGAATAGGACTGGTGAGAAAGGGCATCCTTGTCTTGTGCTGGTTTTCAAAAGGAATGCTTCCAGCTTTTGCTCATTCAGTATGATATTGGCTGTGGGTTTGTCATAAGTAGCTCTTATTGTTTTGAGATAAGTTCCATCAATACCTAGCTTATTGAGTGTTTTTAGCATGAAGGGGTGTTGAATTTTATTGAAGGCCTTTTCTGCATCTATTGAGATAATCATGTGGTTTTTGTCATTGGTTCTGTTTATGTGATGGATTACGTTTATTGATTTTGTGTATGTTGAACCAGCTTTTCATCCCAGGAATGAAGTTGACTTGATCATGGTGGATAAGCTTTTTTATGTGCTGCTGGATTTGGTTTGCCAGCACTGTATTGAGAATTTTCGCATCAATGTTCATCAAGGATATTGGCCTAAAATTTTCTGTTTTTGTTTTGTCTCTGCCAGGTTTTGGTATCAGAATGATGCTGGCCTCATAAAATGAGTTGGGGAGGAGTCCCTCTTTTTCTCTTGTTTGGAATAGTTTCAGAAGGAATGGTACCAGCTCCTCTTTGTACCTCTGGTAGAATTTGTCTGTGAATCCGTCTTGTCCTGGGCTTTTTTTGGTTGGCAGGCTATTAATTTCTGCCTCAATTTCAGAACTTGTTATTGGTCTATTCAGGGATTCAACTGGTTTAGTCTTGGGAGGGTGTGTGTTTCCAGGAATTTATCAATTTCTTCTAGATGTTTTAGTATATTTTCATAGAGGTGTTTATAGTATTCTCTGATGGTAGTTTGTATTTCTGTGGGATCAGTGGTGATATCCCCTTTATCATTTTTTATTGTGTCTATTTGATTCTTCTCTCTTTCCTTCATTATTAGTCTTGCTAGAGGTCTATCTATTTTGTTAATCTTTCCAAAAAACAGCTCCTGGATTCACTGACTTTTTGTAGGATTTCTCATGTCTCTATCTACTTCAGTTCTGCTCTGATCTTACTTATTTCTTGTTTTCTGCTAGTTTTGAATTTGTTTGCCCTTGCTTCTCTAGTTCTTTTAATTGTGATGTTGGGGTGTTGATTTTAGATCTTTCCCGTTTTCTCCTGTGGGCATTTAGTGCTATAAATTTCCCTCTAAAAACATGCTTCAGCTGTGTCCCAGAGATTCTGGTATGTTGTGTCTTTGTTCTCATTGGTTTCAAAGAACTATTTATTTCTGCCTTAATTTCATTATTTACCCAGTAGTCATTGAAGAGCAGGTTGTTCAGTTTCCATGTAATTGTGTGGTTTTGGGTGAGTTTCTTAATCCTGAATTCTAATTTGATTGCACCGTGGTCTGAGAGACTGTTTGTTATGATTTCCGTTTTTTTTTTTTTTTTTGCATTTTCTGATGAGTGTTTTACTTCCAATTATGTGATCAATTTTAGAATAAGTGTGATGTGGTGCTGAGAAGAATGTGTATTCTCTTGATTTGGGGTGGAGAGTTCTGCAGATGTCTATTAGGTCCACTTGGTCCAGAGCTAAGTTTAAGTCCTGAATATCCTTGTTAATTTTCTGTCTTGTTGATCTAATATTGACAGTGGGGTGTTAGTCTCCCACTATTATTGTGTTGGAGTCTAAGTCTCTTTGTAGGTCTCTAAGAACTTGCTTTATGAATCTGGGTGCTCCTGTATTGGGTGCATATATACTTAGGATAGTTAGCTCTTCTTGTTGAATTGATCCCTTTACCATTATGTAATGCTCTTCTTTGTCTTTTTGGATCTTTGTTGGTTTAAAGCCTGTTTTATCAGAGACTAGGGTTGCAACCCCCCCCTTTTTTTTTGTTTTTTTGCTTGGTAAATATTTCTCCATCCCTTTATTTTGAGCCCATGTGTGTCTTTGCATGTGAGATGGGTTTCCTGAATACAGCACACTGATGGGTTTTGACTCTTTATGCAATTTGCCAGTGTGTGTCTTTTAACTGGGGCATTGAGTCCATTTACATTTAAGTTAATATTATTATGTGTGGATTTGATCCTGTCATTATGATGCTAGCTGGTTATTTTGCCCATTAGTTGATGCAGTTTCTTCATAGTGTTGATGGTCTTTACAATTTGGTGTGTTTTTGCAGTGGCTGGTACCGGTTTTCCCTTTCCATATTTAGTGCTTCATTCAGGAGCTCTTGTAAGGCAGACTTGGTTGTGACAAAAATCTCTCAGCATTTGCTTTTCTGTAAAGGATTTTATGTCTCCTTTTTTGAAGCTTAGTGTGGCTGGATATGAAATTCTGGGTTGAAAATTCTTTAAGAATGTTGAATATTGGCCCCCACTCTGTCCTGGATTGTAGCATTTCTGAAGAGAGATCCACTGTTAGTCTGATGGGATTCCCTTTTTGGGTAATCCGACCTTCCCATCTGGCTGCCCTTAACATTTTTTCCCTCATTTCTACCTTGTTGAATCTGATGATTATGTGTCTTGGGGTTGCTCTTCTTGAGGAATATCTTTGTGGTGTTCTCTGTATTTCCTGAATTTGAATGTTGGCCTGTCTTGCTAGGTTGGGGAAGTTCTCCTGGATAATATCCTAAAGAGTGTTTTCCAACTTGGTTCCATTGTCCTCGTCACTTTCCGGTACACCAATCAAACATAGATTTGGTCTTTTCACAGAGTCCCATATTTCATCGAGGCTTTGTTCCTTTTCATTCTTTTTTCTCTAATCTTGTCTTCATTCTTTATTTCATTAAGTTGATCTTCAATCTCTGATATCCTTTCTTCCACTTGATTGATTCAGCTATTGATACTTGTGTATGCTTCACGACATTCTTGTGCTGTGTTTTTGAGCTCCATCAGGTCATTTATGTTCTTCTCTAAACTGGTTATTCTAGTTTGCAATTCCTCTAACCTTTTTTCAAGGTTCTTAGCTTCCTTGCATTGTGTTAGAACATGCTCCTTTAGCTCGGAGGAGTTATTACCCACCTTCTGAAGCCCACTCCTTTCAATTCATCAAACTCATTCTCCGTCCAGTTTTGTTCCTTTGCTGGCAAGGAGTTGTGATCCTTTGGAGGAGAAGAGGCATTCTGGTTTTTGGAATTTTCAGCCTTTTGTGCTGGTTTTTCCTCATCTTCCTGGGTTTGTCTACCTTTGCCCTTTGGTGTTGGTGACCTTCAGATGGGGTTTTTGTGTGGACATCCTTTTTGTTGATGTTGATGCTATTCCCTTCTGTTTGTTAATTTTCCTCTAACACTCAAGCCCCTCTGCTGAAAAACCTGCTTTCTTTAACTCACTACTATCTTGGTAAATTCTTTTACTGCCCACAACGCTGGCCCCAGTCAGTTGCAACCTATGACAGGCACATTTAAGGAAGCCCTGCCCAAGAAAAATTTGTATTGTTTCCTTGAATCTCTTAAAGGAAATCAAAG
Organism: Homo sapiens; assembly: GCF_000001405.40. Lineage (NCBI taxonomy): Eukaryota > Metazoa > Chordata > Mammalia > Primates > Hominidae > Homo > Homo sapiens. The sequence goes on from NC_000014.9 coordinate 56,364,996, forward strand.
AGGATTGAAGCAACAACCTTAAGTACCCTTTCCTCACTTTCCATCTGTCGGTTACCCAAGGCCTTACCGGAAAAACTGAAACCAAAACATTACCTTTATCTCAGCCCATGAAGCTTTCACTGTCTCCCCTCTTGTTCAGCTCTTCACTTACGTGTAGTCCCTACACATCTTTCCAGAGGCTCTTACAATGCTCCTTCTGTCTCTCTAATCTATTTCTGATACAACATCTATTTTTTGATCCAACATCAAAAGTGCCAGAAGAACTTGTCTGGCAGAGATAAACTCTCCTCAAGGGAGGGAATGGAGAGAGGAAAATTGAAATGGCAATGGCAGGCATCTTTTAGAAAGATCAGAGAAGATGGGAAGTCAAGGACCACTCTCATCATAATAAATTGTATCTTATCACACATTTGTTTCTTAGTGAAGCATCCACTATGAGAAGGGAATGAAACAATTCCCCTGATTCTTCATTCCTTGGTTTATTTTTTTGTGTTGCATCAATAATTATTTTTCTTTTGAAGATGTATTCATATTCGTTTGTATCCACCATTAAATTTATTTCATAATTTAAAGTATTCACCTATTTTATTTCTCTTCACTGACAATGTACAGTTGAAGCGTAGGTTCAAGGTATTTCTAATGTTTATTTTATGTTTTCCAAAACTCTGCCATCTGATAAAAGAAAAACTTCAGCAGAATTAAATTTAAAGGAGTTTAATTGAGCAATGAATGATTTGTGAATCGGGCAGCCCCCAGAATCACAGTAGATTCACAGACTCCTGCACAGCCATGTGGTGGAAGAGAGTTGTAGACAAAAAAGGGAAGTGACATACAGAAATTTGGAAGTGAGGTACAGAACAGCTGGATTGGTCACAGCTCAGTGTATGCCTTATTTGAACACAGTTGGAACACTCAGCAGTGTATGACTGGTTGAAGTACAGCTGCTGGGATTGGCCAAGACTTAGCTATTGTTACAGATGCATACCACTAAGTTAGGTTCTCAATTTTGTCTGCTTATTTAGCCAGGTTACAGTTCATCCACAAGGACTCAAATATAGAAGTACAGAGTCCTTCTCAGGCCATATTTAGTTTGCTTTAACACATCTAATATGAAAGAAAAGTATTCTGTTGAAAGCAGTCCTCAATTTCCCCAGATAAACACTTCCTGAGACCAGGCACAGTGCTCTGTAGACATTTTGAATGAGTGATCTTTGTTAACTCCTTCTGTTCAGACCTCATTGTTTGCTTATTTGGCCATTCAGTATGTATTTGGGAAAATCATGCTTGTTGTGGAATTTCATGTTTCTTCAGATGAGGGATAACTTCTAACCTTTGAACCTCTTGAAATTTGAAACCTGGAAAGCAGCATCTCAAATCATGAACTTGAAACAAACCCAAGATATTCTTATGGAGCACCTGGGTGGGAAGGGAAGGAAACAAGAGGGGCTGAAAAGTAACAATGAGGTATTTATAAAACAAAGAGAGATACAGAAAAGTCTGCTGTTTCTCACTGGAGGCCTTCCTTACTCTCCTTCTGAGACCTGACTTGCCTAAGTATAGTAAGAGGAAAATTTGAAATTGCTTCAAATTATTTATTTTATTTTAGGAATATAGGTTGTTGCCTAAAGGTATCTTAGAAATAATTTCTCCTTTATGGGTGAGTAAGGTGTTTATTCCAGGTAGGAGTGTAGAATAAAAAACGCTTAAGTGATTTCACACTTTTTTTTAAATTTAAGATTCTACTTGCAGACGTGGTAACTAAATGTAATGTGGTATCCTGGAAGGAATCTTAGACTAGAAAAAGGACATTAGATGAAAACTACAGACATTTGAAGCAAGTGTGGACTTTAGTTATTAATAATGTATCAATATTGGCTCATTAGTTTATTTTATGCTAATAATGTAAGATATTAACAATGGGTGAAACTGGGTGTGAGGTATAGGGGAACTCCCTGTACTACCTTAACAACTTTTCTATAAACCTAATATTAAAGTTAAAAGTTGATTTTAAACAATCCTCCTGTAGCAGATTGGGATTTGCAGGCAGCTCTTTGGAACTAGTAAGAGGTCAACACATGACTGTTAAGAGTCATGTCCCAAAAGCTCCCCATTCCTGATGTAAAGAGAAGTCCAGATCTGAACTCTATGAAGCAAACCCTTGCCTGTATAGGGTTATTAGAGGACAAGAAGTGACACGGTGCTCAGTGCTCTCCTGAAACAAGGCCTGAAAACATCAGGAAGAATTGTGTGTAGATTCCTCAGGTTCCAAATCATTTTGATAAGGAGCTGAGGCTGGCTCACCTGGTCCCTGCTTCTCTGCCTCCCAACCTTCCTCCCTTCTTTGTTATGTATCTTTTAACCCTGTATGTTGTCAAGGCAGCTGTCCCTGCTCCTTTACAACAGATCCCACAGGGATAGAAATAATGAGGGGACCCCTCTGGTCTGTACCCTTTGAGGAATGGCCCTGGCTCTCAGATTCCATACCTGGTACTTCCATTTACCTCCCAGCCAACGGCTCATCAGGAGTGGCAGTCATTTTATGGTAATATACCATTCTGAGGTGGAAATGTCAAAGGTGTCACTGCTTCTGACAACTTACATAGGCAAAAGTTGACAGAATACTTATTCAGCTCAGGCCCTGAATGCACTGTGCACTGCAATCTTCTGTTACCAAAGCTCATTTACCCACACATTTCTATTTCAGGGCTACCTCAGGGAGACAAAAACTGTAAGGACAAAGACGACAACTTCTGGATGACAGCAGCCAATTTCAGTCTTCTCTGGAACATTATCTGTGCTGAGTACTAGCACTAGGCTATTTGCATGTGGTTTTAAAGGTCTTCTTTCAGAGCACTGGGCTTTTAAATTAGCTGGATTTTCCCAACCTCTGCATAGCTGGCATATGATAGGAGGGTTAGAGAACGCAGTTCTGAATCTTTTTGATTAATTCCTACCTTTTCCCACCACTCCTGCTGTATCCCTGTGATGTGACTACCTAGTGACTTTTTTGTTTTATATTTCAGCTTTCTTCTTTTTTTTTTCTTCAGCTTTTCAGTTCAGGGGTATATGTGCAGGATATGCAGGCTTGTTACATAGCTAAACATGTGCCACGGTGGTTTGCTGCACAGATAATCCCATCACCTAGGTATTAAGCCCAGCATCCATTAGCTATTTCCCTGATGCTCTCCCTCCTGCCAGCAACAGGACTCAAGTGTGTGTTGTTCCCTCTCATGTATCCATGTCTTCTCATCATTCAGTGCCCACTTATAAGTGAGAACATGCCATGTTTGGTTTTCTGTTCCTATTAGTTTGTGAGGATAATGGCTTCCAACTCCATCCATGTCCCTGAAAAAGACATGATCTTGTTCCTTTTTATGGCTGCATAATATTCCATGGTGTATATGTACCACATTTTCTTTATCCAGTCTATCATTGATGGGCATTTGAGTTGATTCCATGTCCTTGCTATCATGAATAGCGCTTTAATGAACATACACATGCCTGTATCTTTATAATAGAATGACTTGTATTCCTTTGGATATATACTCAATGATGGGATTGCTGGGTCAAATGGTGTTTCTACCTCTAGGTCTTTGAGGAATTGCCACACTGTCTTCCACAATGGTTGAACTAATTTTAATTCCCACCATCAGTGTAAAAGTGTTTCTTTTTCTCCACAACCTCCCCAGCATCTGTTGTTTCTTGACTTTTAATGCCATTCTGACTGGCATGAGATGGTATCTCATTATGGTTTTGATTTGCGTTTCTCTAATGATCAGTGATGTTGAGCTTTTTTTCATATGTTTGTCAGCCTCATGTATGTCTTCTTTTGAGAAGTGTCTGTTCATGTCCTTTGCCCACTTTTTAATGGGGTTGTTTGTTTTTTTCTTGTAAATTTAAGTTCCCTGTAGACTCTGGATATTAGCCCTTTGTCAGATGGATAGATTGCAAAAATTTTCTCCCATTCTGTAGGTTGTCTGTTCACTCTGATGATAGTTTCTTTTGCTGTGCAGAAGCACTTTAGTTTAATTAGACTTCATTTGTCAATTTTTGCTTTCATTGCAGTTGCTTTTGGCATTTTTATCATGAAATATTTGCCCATGCCTATGTCCTGAATGGTATTGCCTAGATTTTCTTCTATGGTTTTTATAGTTTTGGGTTTTACATTTAAGTCTTTAATCTATCTTGAGTTAATGATTGTATGTGGTGTAAAGAAGGGGTCCAGTTTCAATTTTCTACATTTGGCTAGACAGTTCTCCCAGCATCACTTATTACATAGGGAATATTTTCCCCATTGCTTGTTTTTATCAGATTTGTTGGAGATCAGATGGTTGTAGTAGGTGTGTGGTCTTATTTCTGAGTTATTTATTCTCTTCCATTGGTCTGTGTATGTTGTTGTACCAGTACCATGCTGTTTTGGTTACTCTAGCCTTGTAGTAGTTTGAAGTCAGGTAGCAAGATGCTTCCAGCTTTGTTCTTTTTGCTTAGGATTGTCTTGGCTATTCAGGCTTTTCTTGGTTCCATATGAATTTCTAAATATTTTTTTTTCTAATTCTGTGAAGACTGTCAGGGTTAATTTAATGCGAAAGCATTGAATCTATAAGTTACTTTGGGCAGTATGGCCATTTTCACAATACTGATTCTTCCTATCTGTGAGCATGGAATGTTTTTCCATTTGTTTATGTCCTCTCTGATTTCTTTGAGCAGTGGTTTGTAGTTCTGCTTGAAGAAGTCTTTCACTTCCCTTGTGATCTGTATTCCTAGGTATTTTATTATTATTGTAACAATTGTGAATGGGAATTCATTCATGATTTGGCCCTCTGCTCACCTATTGTTGGTGTATAGGAATGTTAGTGATTTTTGCATAATGATTTTGTATCCTGAGATGTTGCTGAAGTTGATTATCAGATTAAGAAGCTTTTGGGCTGAGACAATGCGGTTTTTTAGATATAGGATCATATTATCTGCAAAAAGTCTCACTTCCTTTCTTCCTATTTGAATACTCTTTATTTCTTTCTCTTGCCTGATTGGCCTGGCCAGAACTTCTAATACTATGTTGAATAGGAGTGATGAAAATAGGGTATCCTTGTCTTGTGCTGATTTTTCAAGGGGAAATGCTCCCAGTGGGTTTGTCATAAATGGCTCTTATTATTTTGAGGTATATTCCTTCTATACCTAATTTATTGAGAGTTTTTAACATGAAGTGATGTTGAATTTTATTGAAGGTCTTTTCTGTATCTATTGAGATAATTATGCATTTTTTGTCTTTAGTTCTATTTATGTGATAAATCAAATTTACTGATTTGCACATGTTGAACCAACCTTGCATCCTGGAGGTGAGGCCAACTTGATTGTGGTGGATAAGCTTTTTGATGTGCTGCTGGATTCAGTTTGCCAGTATTTTATTGAGAAGTTTTATATCCATGTTCATCCAGGGATATTGACCTGAATTTTTGGTTTTTTTTGTTATATCTCTTCCAGGTTTTTGTATCAGGATGATGCTGGCCTCATAGAATGAGTTAGGGAAGAGTCTCTCCTTTCCAATTTTTTGGAATAGTTTTAGTAGAAATGGTACCAGCTCTTCTTTGTATCTTTGGTAGAATTCTGCTATGAATCTGTCTGGTTCTGGGCCTTTTTATTGTTTTGTTTTGTTTTGTTTTTTGCTTGGCAAACTATTTATTACTGCCTCAATTTCAGAATTCATTATTGGTCTATTCAGGGATTCAATTTCTTCCTGGTTCCATCTCAGGAGGGTGTATGTGTCCAGGAATTTATCCTTTTCTTCTAGTTTATGTGCATACAGGTATTTATACTATTATCTGATGGTTGTTTGTATTTCTGTGGAGTCAGTGGTGATATCCCTCTTATCATTTCTGATTGTGTTTGATTCTTGTCTCTTTTCTCCTTCATTAGTCTAGCTAGCAATCTATTTTATTAATTTTTTCAAAAAAAAAAACCAGCTCCTGGATTCATTTTTTAAAGGGTTTTTCATGTCTTTATCTCCTTCAGTTCAGCTCTGATCTTGGTTATTTCTTGTATTTTGCTAGCTTTGGAGTCTGTTTGCTCTTGTTTCTCTGTTTCTTTTAGGTGAGATGTTAGGTTGTTAACTTGATCTTTCTAGCTTTTTGATGTGGGCATTTAGTTCTGTAAATTTTCCTCTTAACACTGTTTTAGCTATGTCCCAGCGATTCTGGTATATTGTCTCTTTGTTCTCATTAGTTTCAAGTAACTTCTTGATTTCTGCCTTAATTTTATTATTTACCCAAGGGTCATTCAGATGCCAGTTGTTCAATTTCCATGTAGTTGTGTGGTTTTGAGTGAATTTCTTAATCTTGAGTTCTAATTTGATTGCACTGTATTCTGGGAGCCTGTTATTAATTCAGTTCTTTTGCATTTGCTGAGAAGTGTTTTACTTCCAATTATGTGATCAATTTTTGAGTAAGTGTCATGTGATGATGAGAAGAAAGTATATTCTATTGTTTTTGCGTGGAGAGTTCTGTAGATATCTATCAGGTCCACTTAATCCAGAGCTGAGTTCAAGTCCTGAATATCTTTGTTAATTTTCTGTCTCAATGATCTGTCTAATATTGTCAATGGGGTGTTAAAGTCTCCCATTATTATTGTGTGGGAGTCTGAGTCTCTTTGTAGGTCTCTAAGAACTTGCTTTATGAATCTGGGTGCTCCTGTCTTGGGTGCATATATATTTAGGATAGTTAAGTCTTCTTATTTAATTGAACTCTTTACCATTATGTAAAGTCTTTCTTTGTCTTTTTTGCTCTTTGCTGGTTTAAACTCTGTTTTTTCAGAAACTAGAATGGCAACCTCTGCTTTTTCTGTTTTCCATTTGCTTGATAAATTTTTCTCCGTCTCCTTATTTTGAGCCTATATGTGTCTTTGCACATGAGATGGGTCTCTTGAAGACAGCATACTAATGGGTCCTGGCTCTTTATCCAGCTTGCCATTCTGTGTCTTTTAATTGGGTCATTTAGCCCGTTTACATTTACGGTTAGTATTTTTATGTGTGAATTTGATCCTGTCATCATGATGCTATCTGGTTATTTTGCAGACTTGTTTATTCAGTTGCTTTATAGTGTCACTGGTCTGTGTACCTCAGTGTGTTTTTGTAGTGGCTGGTAATGGTTTTTCCTTTGCATATTTAGTGCTTCCTTCAGGAGCTCTTGCAAGGCAGGCCTGGTGGTGATGAGTTCCTGCAGCATTTGCTTGTCTGAAAATGATCTTATTTCTCCTTTGCTTTTAAAGCTTAGCTTGGCCAGATATGAAATTCTGGGTTGGAAGTTATTTTCTTTAAGAATGTTGAGGCCGGGCATGGTGGCTCATGCCTGTAATCTCAGCACTTTGGGAGGTGGGGGTGGCAGTGGGGAGGATCACCTGAGGTCAGAAGTTCGAGACCAGCCTAGCCAACATGGTGAAACCCTGTCTCTACTAAAAATACACAAATTAGCTGGGAGTGGCAGTGTGCACCTGTAGTCCCAGCTACTGAAGAGGCTGAGGCACGAGAATTGTTTGAACCCAGGAGGCAAAAGTTGCACTGAGCTGAGATCATGCCACTGCACTCTAGCTCAGGTGACAGAGTGAGGCTCTGTCTAAAAAAATAAAAATGTTGAATATTGGCCCCCAATCTCTTCTGGCTTCGTAGGGTTTCTGCTGAGATGTGCACTGTTAGTTTGATGGCTTCCCTTTGTAGATGACCTGACCTTTCTCTCTAGCTGCCCTTAATGTTTATTCTTTTATTTTGACTTTGGAAAATCTGATGATTATGTGTCTTGGGGTGGATCTTCTTCTCATGGAGTATCTTACTGGTATTCTCTGCATTTCCGGAATTTGAATGTTGGTTTGTCTTGCTAGGTTGGGGAAGTTCCCCTGGATGGTATCCTAAAGTATGTTTTCAACTTGTTCCATTCTCCCTGTCTGTTTCAGGTATTCTAATCAGTCATAGGTTCAATCTTTTTACACAATTCCCTATTTCTCAGAGGCTTTGGTCATTCCTCTTTACTCTCTTTTCTCTATTTTTGTCTGCCTCTCTTATTTCAGAAAGATAGTCTTCAAGATCTGAGATTCTTTCCCTCATTTGGTCCATTCTGCTATTGACATTTGTGATTGCATTGTGAAGTTCTTGTATTGTGTTTTTCAGCTTCAACAGGTCAGTTATGTTCCTCTCTAAACTGGCTATTCTGGTTATCACCTCCTGTATTGTTTTATCGTGGTCCTTAGCTTCTTTGCACTGGGTTATAACATGCTCCTTTAGCTCAGAGTAGTTCATTATTACTCGCTTTCTGAAGCCTACGTCTGTCAATTCAGCTATCTCAGCCTCAGCCCAATTTTGTGTCTTTGCTGGAGAGATATTACAGTAATTTGGAGGAGAAAAGGCACTCTGGTTTTTTGAGTTCTCAGCATTTTTGAGTTGATTCTTTCTCATCTTTGTGGGCTTATCTACCTTTGATCTTTGAGGTTGCTGACCTTTGAATGGGGTTTTTATGGGGTCTTTTTTGTTGATGTTGTTGTTGTTTTCTGTTTGATTTTCTTTTAACAGTCAGGCCACACTTCCATAGGGCTGTTGTGGTTTGCTGTGGTCTGTTCCAGATCCTAATTGCCTTGGTTTTTCCCATACCTAAAGGTATCACTAGTGAAGACTGCAAAACAGCAAAGATGGTAGCCTGCTCCTTCCTCTGAAAGCTTCATCTCTGGGGGTTACTGACTTGCTGCCAGTCCAAACACTCTTATAAGAGGTGTCTGAAGACCACTGTTGGGAGGTCTCACCCAGTTAGGAGAAATGGGATCGGGGACCTGCCTAAAGAGGCAATTCAGCTGCTTTTTGGTAGAGCAAATGTGCCACACTGGGGGGACCCTTCTTCATCAAGACTGTTTGTCTTCTCCAGAGCCAATGGGCTGGTATGACTGAGTTGACCAAACTATAGAGGTGGCAGCCGCCCCTCCCCCAGAGAGCTCCATCTTAGGGAGAGATCAGAGTTCTGTCTGTAGAACCCTTGCTGGAGTGGCTGAAGCCCACACATGGAGGTCCTGCCTTGTGAGGAGGAATGGATCAGGGTTCCACTTAAAGAAACAGTCTGGCCACAATCTGGCAAGGCATCTGTGCTGCACTGTGGGGTGCCCTTCTTCTTCCAGACCATTTTTATTCTCTAGAGCCCACAGACTGCAATGACTGCGGCTACCAAACCACAGAGATGGTGGCCACCCCTTCCCCCAGGATATCAGTCCCATCTCAGGCAGACTCCAGCCTGTTGCCATTGGCTGGCTGGAATTCCAAGTCAGTGGGTCTTAACTTGTGAGGTGCCATGGAAGTAGGGCCTGCAGAATGATGCTGCTTGGCTCTCTGGATTCAGCCCCCTTCCTAAGTATATCTACATATGGATCTCCCACCTTGCTGAGGAACCTGGGGCCAGAGTATATAAAACTCCTGGGTCTCTGTGTGTGCCTGAGCAGCTGCTCTGCTGAGACTCCACAACTCTGTATTGGACCCAAGGCCCTGGTGGAGTGGGCTCATAAGGGGATCTCCTGATCCACAGGTTGTGAATATCCATGGGAGAAGCATGATTTCCCAGACAGGGTTGCACAATCACTCACTGCTTCCCTTGGCTGGGGGTGAAGGTTCCTTTGGCTCCATGCCACTCCTGGGTGGGCCATCACCCCACCCTGCTTTTCTTCATTCTCTGTGGGTAGAATTATTTGCCTTGTCAGTCCCAATGTGAGAACCTGGATATTTCAGTTGAAGGTGCTGAATTCACTCACTCCTTTCATTCCTCTCCTGAGTGCCACAGACCGTAGCTGATTCTAATTGGTCATCTTGGCCCCTCCTACTATGTAGTGACTTTTGATCTTTTAGCCTTGTTTTCTGCTCCTGGCCCTAAATGTGCCCCCTTGGATCTGAAGGTGGATCTGGTCTCATACCTTCTCCTTTGGCAAGTTCCTCAAACCTGGTTTGCCTTTCTTCTTGGTTCTTTCTGTTCCAGCTCTTCTGGTTACCATTTTGCCTCAGCAAGCCCCTAGCCCTAGGTCTCCTCCTAGCAATGACCTTCACCAGCCAAGAGAAAGCTCCTTTCAAGGGCAAGAATAAGGGAGGACCCCCTAGAGTTTGGAGCCAGAAGTTATCTTGCTTGCCTAAGCACCAAATAATTTTTCCTTGGGCTTTCAGTAGGGAGCCCTAGAACTGTCGGGCTGCTTCTTATGATGTCTGGGATGATGACTGGGGAAGGCTATGAAGATAAAGGATTTCAAGCAAAGGAGTTAGGTTACCAGGGTGGCATGTTGCCTGCTCAGGGCTGACTGGGAAGCTTGCACAGACAAAGCATGTAAAAATGTCCAAGCGGATGATTTGGCCACACGAAAATTTCATCTCTTCCCGTATTTAATGTATTGCTAGGTATGAAATATCAAGCATAGTAAATAAACCTGAAAATATTAAATGAAAGATTAAATCAGTTTTTAAAAACCTCAGCATTAAAAATGTATACTTTGCAAAGTATGTATTGTTTCTTGCAAAAGAAACAGTCCTCTGTATGATTCTTATCTCCAGTGATTTTTGTTGAAGACATTGCTGATTTGTTATTTTAATGGGCTTTCCAAAATTAGCTGTGATATTCATTATTTTTGCATGGTTGTTTTATTCTTCCATTTCTCATATAAACAAGGGATCCAGGGGACCTGTGGATGTTAATTATTCCATAACCCTAGCACCGTGACAGCAGGGCTTTCACCTCCTGTTTGGAAATGGTAGCAAAAATACAAGGCTGAGGCCTGAATGAGGATTCTCTTGGTCACAGTATAAATATGAAAACATAATATGTCTGTATTTAAATTCTGCAACAACAGATTGTCTTCAGCCAATGTGCACACTGGGTTCTTAATAGCAGAGGTAGCACTGAAGTGAAAAACCACAGAAGCAGATGTCCAGAGGATCATCATTCCTTTTACTTTCTCCTTAATTCAATATTTTTTTCACTTATTAGTTGCAAGTATACCTTTATCTTGGGCCTGTGAATTTTATGCTACGAAATAATGTGTGATTTCCAATGTATTGACCCCCCACCCCCTTCTTTCACAGATGTATCCATCACTACCTTTATTCCTGCCATCATAATATGTACCCGCCCCTCTTGATCAGGCAGGCCCTGGTAGAAGAAATTTCTGATTAGCATGTGAATTAGGCTGGGCTTCAACATCTAAATAAGCACCTGAGTCCTGAGAGAGGGTCTTGACGAATTGGTGTGGATCGTCCTTGACTAGCAGGCCTGTGTACTGAATGAAGCACTTGGAATCAGCTGAAAGGGCATCAGAGAGTCACTTCTGAGTTCTCAGTAGTCACTCCAGTCACGTATCTTTCCTTCTTCTCACTTTCCTATCTGTTTGCCCCACCCCTGGCCCCTCTAATTTCCCATTGTCCTTATTCAATTGCACTTCACTAAATATTTGTGAATGTTTATACTTCCTAAACAAGACATATTCATGTAGCTGAACTTGAGGATATTTTATTCATATCCATCAGCTGCAGAGAAGGGAGAAGAGAACCAAGGGGAAAGAAAGAAGTTTGCTCCTCAACTGTGAGACTGTGTTCCAAACAGCCAGAGAGGCCTAGACTCAAATCCTTGTTCTGCCATTTGATATCTGAGTGCCTCTGGAAACCTACTGAACATCTTTTAGCCTTAGTTGCCTTATTTGCAAACCAGGCATAAAAATACCTACATTTCAGGGTTGTTGTCAAGGTTAGAGACAGTGTATAAGTTCCCAGCTCACGGTAGATGTTGAGAAGATAGTTGCTATTAATATTTTACATAGCGTTTTATATATATAATTTTACATCTTGCTTTTCTTGCTTAGCACTATAATATGAGCATTTTGCCACATTCTGAAAAACTCTTTGTAAACCTCATTTTAAAATGCTAGAGAAGCCACGTGCAGTGGCACACGGCTGTAGTTCCAGCTGCACGGGAGGATCACATAAGCCTAGGGGTTCAAGTCCAGCCTGGGCAACATAGTGAAACCCTGTCTCTAAAAAAATATATTAAAAATAACATACCAAAGAGTAGTTAATCAAACAGATGTACTGTAATTATGTAACTTATTATTAGATCCTTAAGTCCTTCCTTCCTTCTTCTTTTCCTTCCTTTCCTTCCTTCCTTCCTTTTCTTTCCCTCCCTCTATCTCTTCCTTCTTTCTTTGTCTTTACCTCCATTCTTCCCTCTTTCTTCCTGCCTTCTTTCTTTCCCCCTCTCTTTCTCCTTCCTTCCTTCCTTCCTTCTTTCCCTTATAAAGGTGCTACAATGAACTCCTCTAAGCACAAAGCTTTATCTACATTTAGGTTCACCTTCCATGGGCTTTATTTCTGGAAGTCAAATTACTTTGTCAATGTGTATGGATGCTTTTAAGTATCCTAGTATATAGTGCCAGATTACTTTCCAGAATGTCTACCAGCTGCATGTGGCCCATTTTACTATATCCTTGGCAGCCAGAGCAGACACCACAGGTTACCTACCCAAGAGTCACTATTTCCCCCTTTTCCCTGTTACTAGTGGCTTAATTTCTTCAGATGTCCATGCTTCCTCTGAGAATAAATCCTTATCAGCCTAAGCCAAATTTGCTAATCTCATTTCTCTCACTAGAGATTGGTTTAGAGATGGGCACGTGACCGAGCTGGGGCTAATGAGATGAACTGTGACGTTTACTAGGTAAATGTTTTTCATTCTTAAAAATAGACCAGAACAGTCTCCTTCTGTGTGTAGAACATTGTTATGTATGCACATACACCTTGAACTATGACAGCCTGAGAATAAAACCAGTGGAGGATAAGAGACTGATAATGCTGTCGAACCCTAAACCAACTCAGGAGCTGTCCTTCCTTGGGACTTCTTTGTATGTGAAATAATATATTATACATACTGTTTTAGAAGTTTGCTTTGGGTGTTGATATTGCAGCTGAAGCATTCTAACTGGAACACTAGCGTTGTAATTATTAAAGATCTTTCTCAAATTAATTCAAACACACACACACACACACACACCTTAATTTTGATTCAACCTGCTGTTCTTTAATTACGATGAGAGCACGTGCTTATTCATATCTTTGTTAATAATTTGCATTGTCTTTTCATAAACTATCTGAAAAGATTTTTGAAAGATCAGTGGTCCACAGAAGAGGATCATTTGCAGACTAGACTGAGCAGATGAATGTGGCATTGAGGGCACAGTTAAGGTCACGTTGGAACTAAGCCTCCAGATGTCCAAAAACTCCTGTTGCTTGTCATGCAAATACTCCTCCAACTTGCAAAATGTCTTCAGCCCAGGGAAATCAGCTTCTGTCCAAAATATGGTAATGATGGAAGTCAGTCTTTCAGGACTCTTTGCTTATAAAAAGCTAGACCCTGGATGGCATTCTCTCAACAAGGAGACAAGAGGTCTGGCGGGCAAAAGAAAAGTAAGACTGAAAATGAAGGAAGGGTTGAGCAAGAACAAATACCTGCTGAGGACCTGCTGCCCAGAACACATAATGCGTTTCTCTCTGCTTTTTCCTGGCATTCCCAGTTTCAAGTCACTGTGGTCCTCCCATCCCTTGCCCAGTTAAGCTTATCTATGTTTCCGTTCTAGCATAAGAATGTTTTCATTAGATTTTCCAAATAGAGAAATGTTTTTCAATTACTCTGGTTTTGAAATAAACTTTGAACACAGGCATTGCAGCAAAAGTCTCTGATTCATTTCCTAGAAAAGGGAACATATGAAAATGAATCACCCTCCCTTTTTATTAGCACATCAGAGAGGCACAGAGTACTGAGTCATCAGTATTAAGGTAATGTATAATGGTCAGATAATTAGAAATTTAAATGGCTTGGGTTTAATAGGAGGTTTTCAATATTATGAATAGTCAGTGAATTCAAGCCCGACTGAGAAATGCCCCAGATGAAGTCTTGCCGATGGGTGTATGTATAATACATGGGTAAGGTTGTTTTATAAGAGACTTATTGACTTTATGGTCAAAGCTCTAGTACCTTCCATCAAAGTCTTGTTCTAAACCATTGTAAATTAACAGATCAATAGTTAATGGTACTGCCAGCCAAGTTTAAAGCCAAATAACTCAGATTCCAAGACAACTCGATTTTACTCATTTGTGATTCAGAGGCACTTTGGTAGACAAATTGATGTTTGTTTAGTCAATTTGTATATCCAGGGTCTTCAGCCTGAACCTACTTTCATTAAGCCCACAAAGACCATCTGCAGAGTGGGGCTGACTAATCTGAAGCTTGCTTCATTTTTGTTTGTGTCAAGACCTTTTATTGTAGAGATCCTTCACTAGGGGCATCTTGTATGATTAAATCTGATCGTCTGTGGTAAGATCTTTAAGATCCTGACTAAATAAAAAGTGGGCTTCATTACAAAGTTGGGAGTGAGAGAACATGAGAATGTGTGTGAGAGAAAAAAAGTACATTTTTAAAAGAAATATGAAACAGTTCGAGGGTGGGAGAGTGTGTGTTGTGAGGTGTACATGCCATGTGGCCTGTGGATGTATTGGTGGGTGAGGAGTGTTTATGCCGCTTTCCATTGCCTGTTAGCTGTGCCCACCACTTGGGGATTTAAAAAATAGTATTTCTCTAGCTTTAATGTGAACTCTGTTGGGAGGAAAGAACATAGAGGAAAAAAAATAGATCATGTGTGTTTCTGGCTGCCTGCTCTTTACATGCAAAATTATAAAATAAATAGGATCCCAAAATAGTACTGTCTCTGCTCCCAAAGAGATCTTCCACTCCGCTCTGAATTATAAAATCCTCTGTTAAAAAAGGACTAGATAATGAATTAGGCTCACGTGGGAAAAATATAGGAGCAGGAGGCAAGACTAATTTAATGGAGGGCTCAGGCTCAGCAGAGCTTGTTGATGTTTGTTGGAGGAGAGTAATATCTCAGTTCTCAGTCCTGGTGGGAATGGTGCTGTTCTGGGGATGCAGACCCCAAACTGTGGTCATGAGCTTTTCTTTCCTTCCCAAAAAAGCTCTGGGTGAACAATACCAAAGAGCCTTCCCATTTAGTCACAAAACCACTTAATTGTTTAAGACAGATAATATTTCTTCAACCCTGACATGCCCAGCTGTCTGGTAGAAGAGAGCTATCAAAGCTTTGGCTAAGAAGGCCTGAGGTTTCATCATCTCCTCCTCTCCCTTCCAGCCCCAAGCCACATGATTTTTCATTTGGCATCCAATCACCAAAACCAGTACAGCACTTGTATCAGACCCAGATTCCTGGGTCGAGATTCTAATCCTGAATCAGAATCTCTGCAAGTAGAGCCCAGGAATGAGCCTTTTTGACTTGGGCCCCAGTAATTCTTATGCTCGTCCATGTTTTTATGCTAAAAGTTTAAGAGCCACTATCATAGTTTCTTTCTTTTGAGCTTCTTTTTTTTTCCTTTCCATTTCTAGCTAAGATCACCTTTGCCTCCTCCTCCTCCTCTTCTTCTTCTCCTTTCTTCTTTCTTCTTTAATCCCTATCAAAAGAAGAGCATTTTGATGAGATTCTAGAAGACTTTATTGTTCTGGTGGCAGGTTGGCTCTGGTTGGTCATTTGACTGTGACTCAGTTTGGGTCTTGCCTAATCCAGGTTGGATATCCCTGAGAGAGCCACACTAATCACTTTAACGTTGGTAGTGGGCTACATGTACTCTTTACTCTGTTCTTCAAAAGACATTTCATTGGACCAGGGGAAGAAATGGTGTCAGAAGACAAAATAACTCCCCTATACTAATCCAGCCTCTGCTTTTAATATAACTGTGAAAATGTCCTCAATGACTTTAATATTATTAATAATTTCTTTTATTATATAGTCTGTATAGCCCTTAACCTGAAGAATAATGAACTTAATGTATAGCAAATTCTTAATTATTCACTTTGTGGATTTTTCTAATGTAATTTTTTTATTCCAAGGTCAAAGTCTCCAGTGCTCAGAACCCTGCCAAACTGCTATCTCCCAAATAGTTTAAGCTAAACATAACTGGAAAGGTGTATCTGCTACATAAGTATGGATTCTAGATTTTGCTATAATTTGGTTTCAAATCTATGGTTTTCAATTAAGGGCTATTGATTATTATTATTATTCACATGTGTTAAGAGGAAAGAGCCAGCTTTTTTTACACATATTTGTTGTTGTTCCCCCCTTTTGTAAAGATAACTTATGGTGATTAGAGAATAGTTCTTAATTCATAAATTATTGAAGCTACAATAAAGAGTTTTCATTTTCATGAAGATGTCTTCTCAAAGCTTACCCAATGCTGTAGAGGAAGCTCTTTAAGAGAAGGGAAAAGTCAGATTTAAAGGTCCCCACCCTATCAACTGGGAAGACACAGCTCCTTGGCCAGGATCTCTCTTGATCTCCTTATTTCTGTTCCAGCTTCATTTCTGGATAGCCTGACATTTGTCAAGGCTGTAGACTGGAAGACACTCTCCAACATTTTGTTCTGCTCTTTCCCCAATCCCATCTCCACCCTCCAGTACTCCCAGAGAGATCCGCACACCTCAGAGCAGGATTTGAAGGCCAAGCCAACTGATAGCTGACACTTCCACCAAGGTCGGACAACCAAGGTTTCCCAACTCTGACTTAACCCTGTAGGCTCCAATGGGACTTAACCCAGGCTTCTGTTTGACCATCTCACACTGTGTATTATTAGCTATATTTGAAGCCCGACTTTTCCTTTTTAATTGTGGGTACATAGTAAGTGTATATATTTATGGAGTACCTGAGATATTTTGATACAGGCATTCAATGCATAATCACATCAGGGTAAACGGGGTATCCATCACCTCAAGCATTTATCCTTTCTTTGTGTTACAAACAATCCAATTATACTCTTTTAGTTACTTTTAAATGTATAATAAGTTATTGTTGACCATAATCACGATGTTGTGCTATCAAATACTAGGCCTTATTTATTCTAACTATATTTTTGTACCCATCAACCATCTCCTCTTTTCCTTCCTCCTCATATCCTTCCCAGACTCTGGTGACCATTATTGTACTCTCTCTCTCTCTCCAAGAGAGTAGAATGAGTTCAATTGTTTTAATTTTTAGCCCTCACAAATAAGTGAGAATATGCGGTTTGTCTTTTCAGTGACTGGCATATTCCACCTAGCATAATGGCCTCCAGTTCCATCCATGTTGCTGCAAATGACAGGATGTCATTAGTTTTTATGGCTGAATAGCACTCCATTGTGCATATGTTCCACATTTTCTTTATCCATTCATCTGTTTATGGACACAGGTTGCTTCCAAATCTTGGCTATTGTGAAAAGTACTGCAATAAACATGGGAGTGCAGATATCTCTTCAATATACTGTTTTCCCTTCTTTTGGATGTATATCTAGCAGTGGAATTGCTAGGTTATATGGTATCTCTAGTTTTAGTGTTTTGAGCAACCTCCAAACTGTTCTCCAGTGGTTGTACTTATTTACATTACTGACAGTGTACAAGTGTTCCCTTTTTTTCACCTCCTCACTGGCATTCATTATTGCCTGTCTTTTGCATAAAAGGCATTTTAACTGGGGTGGCATGATTTCTCATTGTTTTTGATTTGCATTTCTCTGACGATAAATGATGTTGAGCACCTTTTCATATACCTGTTTGCCATTTGTATGCCTTCTTCTGAGAAATTTCTGTTCAGATCTTTAGTCCATTTCCTAATCATATTATTAGATGGTTTCTTATTGAGTATTTTGAGCTCCTTATATATTCTGGTTATTAATCCCTTGCTGGATGGGTAGTTTTCAAATATTTTCTCTCATTCTGTAGGTTATCTCTTCACTTTGTTAATTGTTTCCTTCACTGTGTGGAAGCTTTTTAACATAAGGTGATCTCATTCATCCATTTTTGCTTTGGCTGCCTTTGCTTGTGGGATATTACTCAAGAAATCTTTGCCCAGTTCAATGTACTAGAGAGTTTCACCAATGTTTTCTTGTAGTAGTTTTATATTTTGAGGTCTTAGATTTAAGTCTTTAATCCATTTTAGTTTGATTTTTGTATATGACAAGAGATAGGGGACTAGTTCCATTCTTCTGCATATGGATATCCAGTTTTCCCAGCATCATTTATTGAAGAGACCATCCCTTCTCCAGCATATGTTCTTGGCACTTTTGTTGAAAATGATTTCACTATAAATGTATAAATTTATTTCTGAGTTATCTATTTTGTTCCATGGTCTATATATCTGTTTTTATGCCAGTACCATGCTGTTTTGGTAACTGTAGCTCTGTAGTATAATTTGAAGTTAGATAATGTGATTCCTCCAGTTTTGTTCTGTTTGCTCAGGATAGCTTTGGTGATTCTGGGTCTTTTGTGGTTCCATATAAATTTTAGGATTACTTTTTCTATTTCTGTGAAGAATGTCATTGGTAATTTGATAGGGATTGCATTGAATCTATAGATTGCTTTGGGTAGCATGGACATTTTTACAATATTAATTTTTCCAAACCATGAACATGAAATATCTTTTATTTTTTGTGTCCTCTTCAATCTATCATATCAATGATTTATAGTTTTCATTATAGAGATCTTTCACTGCTTAAATTTATTCCTAGGTATTTTATTTTATTTGTAGCTATTGTAATTAGGATTACATTCTTGATTTCTTTTTTAGCTTGTTAGCTGTTGGCACATAGAAATGCTACTGACTTTGTATCCTGCAACTTCACTGAATTTGTTAATCAGTTCTAATAGTTTTTTGGTGGAATCTTTAGGTTTTCCTAAATACAAGATCATATTATCGGCAAACAAGGTTAATTTGACTTCTTCCTTTCCAATTTGGAGGATCTTTATTTCTTTTTCTTTTCTGATTGCTCTAGCTAGGACTTCAGTACTATGTTGAATTGCAGTGGTGAAAGTGGGCATCCTTGTCATCTTCCAGATCTTAGAAGAAAGGTTTTTAGTTTTGCCTCCTTTAGTATGATACTAGCTGTGGGTGTGTCACATTTTATTCTTTTTTCTGTTTTTCTGTTTTATTCTGTTGGGGTATTTTCCTCCTATACCCAGTTTTTTGACTGTTTTTATCATGAAGAAATACTAATTTTATCAAATGTTTTTTCAGCATCAACTGAAATGATCGTATGGCTTTTGTCTTTCATTTTGTTGATACAATGTATCACATTGGTTGATTTGCATATGTTGAACCGTTCTTGCATTCATGGGATAAATCTCACTTGGTCATGGTGAATAATTTTTTTAATGTGTTGTTAAATTCAGTTTCCTGTTGAATTCAGTTTCCTAGTACTTGCTGAATTCAGTTTCCTAGTACTTTGTTGAGAACTTTTACATCAATGTTCATGGGGAATATTGGCTAGTAGTTTTCTTTCTTTCCTTTTTTTTGGTGTACTTTCTTTGGTTTTGATATTAGAGTAATATTGGCCTCACAGAATGAATTTGGAAGTATTCCCTACTCTTCTATTTTTTGAAATAGTTTGAATACAATTGATATTAGTTCTTCTTTAAATGTTTGTTAAAACTGAGCAGTGAAGCCATCAGGTCCTAGGATTTGCTTTGCTAAGAGATTTTTTTTATGGCTTCAGTCTCATTATTTGTTTTTGGTCTGTTCAGATTTTAGGTTTCTTCATAGTTCAATCTAGGTAGGCTGCAGGTTTCTAGGAATTTATTTACTTTATTTAGGATTTCTCATTTATTGACATATAGTTGCTCATAATAGTCTCTAATGATCCTTTCAATTTCTGTGTTTTGGTTTTAATATCTCCTTTTTCATCTGATTTTATTTATTTAGGTCTTTTTTCTTTCTTTCTTACAGTGGCCAAAGGTTTGTTGATTTTCTTTATCTTTTCAAAAAACCAACGTTTTGTTTCATTGATTGATATGATTTGGTTGTGTTTCCACCCAAATCTCAGCTTGAATTGTAACTCTCATAATCCCCATGTGTCATGGGAGGGACCCAGTGGGAGGTAATTGAATCATGGGGGCTGTTCCCCCCATCCTGTTCTTGTGATAGTGAGTTCTCATGAGATCTGATGGTTTTATAAGCATCTGGTGATTCCCCTGCTGGTACCCCTCTGTCTCCTGCTACCATGTGAAGAAGGACGTGTTTGCTTCCCCTTCCACCATGAATGTAAGTTTCCTGAGGCCTTCCCAGCCATGCAGAACTGTGAGTCAGTTAAACCTCTTTTTTCTTTTGAAATCACCCAGTCTCGGGTATGTCTTTACAGCAATGCGAGAATGGACTAATACATTAATCTTCTGTATTGTTTTCTTCATTTCAATTTTACTTACTTCTGCTCTAATCTTTGTTTCTTCCCTTCTACTAATGTTGGGTTTGGTTTGTTCTTGCTTTCCTAGTACTTTAAGTTATATCATTAGGTTATTTGAAGTTTTTCTTCTTTTTTAATATAGGTGCTTATTGCTATAAACTTTCCTCTTAGTACTGTTTTCAGTGTATCCCATAGGTTTTGATATGTTGTGTCTTTATTTTCACTTGTTTCAAGAAGATTTTCCATTTCTTAATTTCTTCATTGACCCAACGGTCATTCAGGAACATATTATTTAATTTCCATGTGTTCGTATAGTTTCAAAAATTCCTCATATTATTGATTTCTAGATTTATTCCACTGTGGTCGGAGAACATCCTTAATGTTATTTTTATTTTATTGGCTGTTTTAAGGTTTGTTTTGTGACCTAATATATGGTCTATCTTTGAGAAGGGTCTATGTGCTGAGGAAAAGAATGTGTATTCTATAGCTATTGGATGAAATGTTCTGAAAATATCTATTAGGTCTATTTGTTCTATAGAGCAGATTAAGTCCAATATTTGTTGATTTTGTGTCTGGATAATCTGTCCAATGTTGAAAGTGGAGTGTTGAAGTTTCCAGCTATTATTGTATTGGGGTTTGTCTCTTTCTTTAGCTCTAACAGTATTTGCTTTGTATATCTGAGTGCTCCAGTGTTTGATGCATATATATTTATAATTGTGATATTCTGTTGCTGAATTGACCCCTTTATCATTATATAATTACCTTCTTTGTCTCTTTTTATAGTTTTTGTTTTGAAATCTATTTAGTCTGATATAGCTTCTCCTGTTGTTGTTGTTTTTTTTTTCTTTTTTTGGTTTCCATTGGCATGAAATATTTTTTTCCATCCTTTTGTTTTCTGTTGACATGTGTCTTTATGGGTGAAGTGTATTTCTTGTAGGCAGCAGATCATTGGGTCTTGTTTTTTTATCCATTCAGCCACTCTCTGTCTTTTGATTGGAGAGTTTAGTCCATTTACATTCAATGTTATTATTACCTAAGCACTTATTTCTCCCACTTTGCTTTTATTTTCTAGTTGTTTTGTGGTCTTCTTTTCCTTTTTTTTTCCTTCCCTTCTGCCTTCCTTTAGTGAGGGTGATTTCCTCTGGTGGTATGTTTTAAATTCTTGCTTTCTATATTTTGTGTATCTGTTGTATTTATTTTATTTGATGCTTGGGAATAATATTGTATAATCCATTGTTTTATACTGACAACACTGATTACATAAACAAACAAACTTACAAACAAGCAAAGAAAACACTAACAAAAACTTGACACTTTAACTGCATCCTGCCACTTTTTAACTTTTTGTTGTTTCTGTTTATATCTTTATTATACTGTCTATGTTTTGAAAGGTTGTTATAGTCATTATTTTTGATAGGTTCATGTTTTTGTCTTTCTACTTAAGATATGAGTAGTTTACACATCAAAATTACAGTGTTATAATCTGTGTTTGTCTATGTACTTACTATTACTAGTGAGTTTTGTAGCTTCAGATGACTTCTTATTGCTCATTAATAGCCTTTTCTTTCAGGTTGAAGAACTCCCTTTAGCATTTATTGTAGGACAGGTCTGGAGCTGATGAAATCCCTCAGCTTTTGTTTGTCTGGGAAAGTCTTTATTTCTCCTTCATGCCTGAAAGATATTTTCACTGGATATACCATTCTAGGGTAAAAGTTTTTTTCCTTCAGCACCTTAAATATGCCATTCCACTCTCTCCTTGTGTGTAAGGTTTCCACTGATAAGTCTACTGACAGATGTACTGGAGTTCCTTTGTATGTGATTTGTTTCTTTTCTCTTGCTAAAAGTAGCAAGATTCCTTCTTCATCCTTGACCTTTGGGAGTTTGATTATTAAATGTCTTGATATAGTCTTTTGGGGATTAAATCTGCTTGGTGTTCTATAACCTTCTTGTACTTGAATATTGATATCTTTCTCTAGTATTGGAAAGTTCTCTGTTATTATTTCTTTGAATACAGTTTCCATACTCTCTCTCTCTCTACCTCCTCTTCAAGGCCAATAACTCTTAGATTTGTCCTTTTGAGGCTATTTTCTAGATCTTCTGGCATGCTTTATTCTTTTTTATTCTGTTTTCTTTTGTCTCCTCTGACCATGTATTTTCAAATAACTTATCTTCAAGCTTACTAATTCTTCTGCCTGATCAAGTCTGCTATTAAGGGACTCTGATGCTTTTTTCAGTACATCAATTGCATTTTTGAGCTTCATAATTTCTTCTTGATTGTTTTTATTACATAAATCTCTTTGTTATATTTATCTAATAGAACTCTGAATTCCTTCTCTGTATTATCTTGAATTTCATTGAGCATCCTCAAAACAGCTACTTTGGATTCCATATCTTAAAAGTCACGTATCTCTGTCTATCAGAGATTGACCTCCTGATGCCTTATTTAGTTTATTTGATTAGGTTATGTTTTCCTGGATGGTCTTGATGCTTGTGGATATTTATCCACATCTAGGAATTGAAGAATTAGGTATTTATTGTAGTCTTTGCAGACATGTTCATGCCTGTCCTTCTGGGGAAGGCTTTCCAAGTATTCAAAGAGACTTGGGTGTTATGATCTAAGTTTTTGGTCACTAGAGCCATATCTGGATTAGGGATTATCCCAAGCCCAACAATGCTGTGGCTCTTGCAGACTCATAGAGGTACTACTGCCTTGGTGGCCTTGGGTAAGATCTGAGAGAAATCCCTGGGTTACCAGGCAGAGATACTTTTCTCTTACTTTCCCCCAAATGAATGGAATCTCTTTCTCTACGCTGAGCTGCCTGGAGCTGGGGGAGGGGTGATGCAAACACCATCACTGGGATTGCACTGGGTCAGACCTGTAACCAGCACAGCACTGTGTCTCATCTAAGGCCCTTGGTGACCACTGCCTGGCTACAGCCTATGTTCATTCAAGGTCCAAGGGCTCTACAACCAGCAGGTGGTGAATCCAGCTAGGCTTCTGTTCTTCCCTTAGGATGGCAAGATCCCCCCCAGCCCTAGGAGGGTCCAGAGATGCCATCCCAGAACCAAGGCCTGGAGTTGGGAACTTTCAGAAGCTACCTTGTGCTCTATTTTGCTACAGCTGAGCTGGCACCCAAGCTACAAAACAAAGTGTTTCCCAGTCTTCTCTTCCTTTTCCTCAAGCAGAGGAGTTTTTCCTTGTGGCCACTACTGGCTAGGCATGTGGTAAGTACTGCCTGGCTACCACTGATATTCACTCAAATCCCAAGGGCTCTTCAGTCAACTTGTGGTAAATGCTGCCAGGCCTAGATCTCTCTTTCAGGGCAGTGGGCTCCCCTCTTGCCCAGGATGTGTCCAGAAATGTCATCCAGGAGCTAGGGCCTGGAATGGGGTCCTCATGACTCTGCCTGGTGCTCTGTTCTACTGTGGCTGGGCTGGTATCCAAGTTGTAAGACAAAGTCCTCTTTACTTTCCCCTCTTGTATCCTCAAGTATAGGGAAGGAGTTGTGAGCTGTACTGCCTGGGGTTGGGGAAGGGGTTATGCAAGCACTCTGTTAGCCCTCCCAGCTGGTGTCTCACTAGGTTGTGTGCACCCCAAGTCCAGTGGCTCTGAGCCCAGCATAGCACCAGGACTTGCCCAGGAATTGCAGTCCTCGTGGCCTAGAGTGCCTTTCAAGTTTATTTAGGATCCTAGAGTACTTTAACCTATGGTGGTGGAGCTTGCCAGAGTTCAGTTTCTGTCTGCTGGGATGGACAATTCCCCTCTGGCTAGGGCTCATCTAAATGTTCCCTCTGTGGGTGCTGGCTGAATTTTTCCTTGTTTTGTTTTCCACTGTGATAGGGCAGAAGTGAGATCCAATGCAAAGTCCCACAATCGCTGCGTAGTCCCTCCCCAAGTGCACAGATTTTCTCTCCATGCCACATGGCCACTGCTGGAGGATGGGTGGGGGGGTGACATAAGTGATTCAAGACTGTCTTTCTTACCCCCTTCTGTATCTCTTTTCTTAATATGATGTTAAATCCAGGTACTACGATTACTCCCCTAATTTTTGGTTCTTATGAAGGTGCTTTTTTGTGTGGATAGTTGTTGAATTTGGTGTTCCTGTTGCGGAGACCATCGCTGGAGGGTTCTATTCGGCCGTCTTGCTCCATCTCCTGAAGCCTGACTTTTTTGAGCATGCCCTAACAGTATGTCCATATTTGTTTAAATTGTTATGACATCTAAATAGTTTTCAACTGAGGTCAAATATTTTTAAGGATAAGCTGGTCTGTAATGACTAGAGTGGCCACATAGTTCATCACTCAAATCTGAACAGTATCAAAGGTGAAAAGAGGCACTAACTGGGTATGATGCTGGGGCCACAGATGTCAGACCGAACAATAATTTCTCCAACAAAGCAAATGAGAATCTCCTGCAAAAGTCCTGGAATCATGTCCTTTGATTTGCCTTTGGAGAGGAAAGACAAAGCAGAGTAGAGAAAGAAAAATGGAGAGGCAGGAAGAAAAAGAGAAAGGAGAAGAGGCAAAGTGAGAGGAGACAAGAAAAGGGCTGGACTCATTTTAGCATGATATCTGATTGATGAAGTCCTAGTTTCTAAAATACAACAACTGGGGCCCTCCAAGAAGACTAAGAACGGAGAATGAACCAAAGAATCGAAGGTGAGGTCTCCTGAGCTGACCCCACTGTTAATCCAGCTGCTAAGTCCACATTGTTTGATTTTTTCCTAGTGTACATTGTGGGCTGTAGCTGACCTTGGCAGGGATCACGATACTGGGGAAACACAGTAGTGTTTATGTGGCTAGAATATATGTATAGTTTTTCACCCCTCTTGTAACCCTTGATCCTTCTGTCTATGTAGGCATCACTACCTAAGGAAAGGAATAACTGGGAAGAAAGCAAATAACACAAAATGAGTCAATTAATTAGCTTTTTAGTTTTTAAAGTCTTGGCCTCAGGAGAACAGAACTGGAGTGTTTACAATAGATGTGGGAGAAGTGATGAATAATAAAAAAGAAGCTTCCTGAATCCACATGGCTCTCCCTCCTTTAGGCCAAAGTGTGCCCCAAGCTCCCTTCATCAACCAACCAGGAAAACAGAGAAAGCTTGTTCTTCCTCTGAAAACAGAAGAAAGGAGAGCTTAGATCAAGCTTGTTCAACCCGCAGCCTGCAGGTCACATGCAGCCCAAGATGGGTTTGAATGTCACCCAACACAAATTCATAAATTTTCTTAAAACTTTATGAGATTTTTTTGCAATTGTTTTAGCTCATCAGCTATTGTTAGTGTTAGTGTATTGTATGTGTGGCCCAAAACAATTTGCTTTCTTCCAATGCAGCTAAAGGAAGCCAAAAGATTGAACACCCCTGTCGTAGATGGTAATGAGTCCTGGATGAAAAAGCCTGCACCCAGCTCTCTTCCTGGTAGGTACCAGGGAGAATGTTCCACAACAGGAACTCCAGATATGTTTCGGGATTGTAGTACAGAAGAAACCTGTGTTCACCTTCTCTGGTAGACTCGAGAAAGGAGGCAAGACCCCCAAGTAAGGATGGCTGTCTACTCTGCCCTGGTAGATAAGTTTGAAAATGTCTCAGAGTAGACCTGTGAATGGTGAGGTTGGGGTACTGGGACAGTAGAATTATACTTGTGTACCCAAGGGTACCAAGGAAGTGACACATGGCTGTGGATGGTCCCACCAAGTTTTCTGTGGTCTCAGAATGGCATGGAGACATCAAGGTATTGCAACTCAAAACCAGATCCAGAGTTACTATGGTATGGTCTGACAAAGGGATGACTTGGCAATGACCAGCAGGTGTCCCTGTCCCATCTAAGTAGCTATGCTAGTGAAGAGTGCAGCCAACTTAGATGAGATGCCCTACATTCCTAACCTTCATTCAGTAGCACTGTGTAATCCTCAAACTGAGATGCAATCACAGGGGAAAGGCAGGTATCCGGAAATGACTGAAATTAAATTTCTATTGCCTGGAAGAAAAGGGGGTCATTGTAAGTATTAACTCTTTCCACACCTGGGTTTGTGAACTGAGATTTGTATATACCACATATAGAAACGTGTATACCTGCACCTCATCCTATGCCCTTACACCTCCAAGTCTAGGCAGAATGCCCCATCAGGGCAGCAAGTACCTCTAATTTTCCCTAGTGCTTTTAAACATTGTACCAATTCTGTGAATTAGTCCCTTTGTGTTGATTTTATAGTCACGACTGCCATGAAGAATTTCTCTCTCAAGTCTTTCATTATTTGTGTGTTTTATGCACCATTTCCCTCTAGAAAACAGCCATCTGCTCAGAAATCAGTATAATTGCATCACCTCCATGTTCCTTTCACTGGAGGCTTGACCTTAGATGATGTGGACTTCTAATATCTAAATGTTCTTATCCAATGAGCCATGACTCAACACAATTGGAGCGAACGTTTTAATAAGATTACCTGGAGTAGGGTGGGGGTACATCTCTCTTGGTTAGCACAACTAGAATGTGCGAAACAAAAAACAAAAAGGAGGCTCTACTGCCCTTCAAGAGAACTCTGCTGCCTTTCATGCTCTTAGAAGTCTGAACTCAGACATTCAAGTAACCTCATTCAGTATAAGTTTGATAGATGAGCACTAAGTTAGCTTCATGATTTTACAGCAGGTAAGACTTCTTTTTTTTGAGACTGAGTCTCACTCTATTGCCTAGGCTGGAGTGCAATGGCACGATCTTGGCTCCCTGCAACATCCACCTCCTGGGTTCAAGCCATTCTCCTGCCTCAGCCTCCCGAGTAGCTGGGATTACAGGCATGTGCCACCATGCTGGGCTAATTTTTGTATTTTTAGTAGAGATGGGGTTTCACCATGTTGGCCAGGCTGGTCTCGAACTCCTGACCTCACGTGGTCCACTCGCCTCAGCCTCCCAAAGTACTGGGATTATAGTCATGAGCCACTGCACCCGGCCTAGGTGAGACTTTTAAAACCCAAGCTACTTTGGGAGGCTGAGGCGAGCGGATCACGAAGTCAGGAGATCGAGACCATCCTGGCTAACACAGTGAAACCCCGTCTCTACTAAAAATACAAAAAGTTAGCCAGGTGTGGTAGTGGGCACCTGTAGTCCCAGCTACTCAGGAGGCTGAGGCAGGAGAATGGCATGAACCCGGGATGCGGAGCTTGCAGTGAGCCGAGATCACGCCACTGCATTCCAGCCTGGGTGACAGAGCAAGACTCCATCTTAAAAACAAACAAACAAACAAACAAAACCCAAGCTAACAAGTGTGTTAAAACATGTCAGTTTTTTCTATATTTTTTTGTAACTTTACAAACTTGGTGTATTTAGGTTCCCTCCCCCACTTTCTCCACAGATACTCTAAGTTGCAGGGAAGGCTGAAGCTTCTAGCAATGGGAAGGAGGAGGTGGCCTTCAGTATGGACTGGCATTCACTGAGATATTGCTTGCACCATCTGCTCTTTGGACATCACACCTTTAGCCCAGTGTCTTTGTTTCCTCTTTGGTATCAGATTAGCATGTCCATGTACTCTGTGTATCCCTCATCCCAACCAAAAGCTCCTTCAGATCCACTGGGGCCCTTTATATCACTCCCTTGATATATCCAGAAGTAAGGCAAACTTCCCTTCTGTGTGTGTGCAGGAGAGTTAGACAAATGTGAAAGCCCTCTTTGGCCCCATCGTCTCCCCTGTTTTGTTGCTGCACCGTGCTGTCTGGACTGTCTTTAAGAGAACCAGCCAGGTGAGTACTGTATTCTTAAAAATCTATTGTCTTACTGTAAAGCTACAGTAATCAAGGCAGTGTGGCATCTGGTGAAAAAAACAGACAAAGAGACAAATGAAACAGAATAGAGAGTCCAGAAACGGACCTGCATGATTGGTCACCTGATTTTTGGCAAAGTAACAAAGGCAATTCAATGGAGAAAATGTGGTGCTTTTTTGTTTTGTTTTGTTTGTTTTTTCAACAAATGTTGCTAGAACAACTGGAACATCTACATGCAAAAATAAAAATAAAAATAAAATTTAAAAAAGACCCATCTAGATAAAGCCCTTACACTCTTCACAAAAATTAACTAAAAATGGATCACAGACTTACATATAAAACACAAAACAATAAAATTCCTACAAGATACCATAAAAGAAAACCTAATTGACCTTGGGTATGGAGATGACTTTTAAGATACAAAACTACAGGCATGACACATGAAAGAAATAATTGATAAGCTGGGCTTCATTAAAATTAAAAACTTCTCCTCTGTGAAGGACAATGTCAAGGGAATGAGAAGACAAGCTACAGACTGGGAGAAAATATTTGCAAAAGAGACGTCTGATAAAGGACTATTATCCAAAATATACTAAAAACCCTTCAAGCTCAGCAAACAACCCAATTAAGAATAAGAAAACAAACAACCCAACTAAAAATGGGCAAGGCTTGGCACTGTGGCTCATGCCTGTCATCCCAGCACTTTGGGAGGCCAAGACAGGTGGATCAGTTGAGGTCAGGAGTTCAAGACCAGCCTGGCCAACATGGTGAAACCCTGTCTCTATTAAAAATACATAAATTAGCCAGGCATGGTGGGATGCACCTGTAGTCCCAGCTACTTGGGAGGCTGAGGCAGGAGAACCGCTCAAATCTAGGAGGCAGAGGTTGCAGTGAGCTGAGATAGCACCACTGCACTCCAGCCTGGGTGACAGAGTGAGACTCCATCTCAAAAAAAAAAAAAAAAAAAAAAAAAAAAGGGCAAAAGACCTAAACAGAGATCTCACCAAAAAAGGTATACATATGGCAAATAAGCATATGAAAAGATGTTCTACATCATATCTCATCAGAGAAATACAAATTAAAACAACATTGAGATATGACTGCAAACCTATTAAAATGGCCAAAATGCAAAACACTGACAACACCAAATGCTGGTGAGACAAGACAACAGAAACTCCCATTTATTGCTGGTGGAATTGCAAACTGGTACAGCCAATTTGGAAGACAGTTTGGTATTTTCTTACAAAACTAAACATAGCCGTACCGTATGATCTGACAATTATACTTATTAGTATTTACCCAAACGAATTGAAAAATTATGTCCACACAAAAATCCGCACACAGATGTTTATAGTAGCTTTACTTATAATTGTTAAAACTTAAAAGCAACCAAAACGTCCTTAAGTAGGTGAATGGATAAACTGTAGTATATCTAGACAATGGAATATTATTTACCTCTAGAAGGAAATGAGCTATCAAGCCATGAAATGACATAGAGGAATTTAAATGCATATTGCTAAATGAGAGAAGTCAATCTGAGCAGGCCACATACTGTATGATTCTAATTACAGTATATGACATTCTAGAAAAGACAAAACTATGGAGACAGTAAAAAGATTAGTGGCTGGCAGAGGTTGTGGGGAGGGAGGAGTGAATAGACAGAGCACAGAGGATTTTTAGGGCAGTGAAATTACTCTGTATGATACCAAAACGGTGGATACATGTCTTTATACATCTATCAAAACCCTTAGAACATACAACACCAGGAGTGAGCCCTAATGTAAACTGTGGACTTTGGGTGACAATCATATGTCAATGTAAGTTCATCCATTGTACCACTCTAGTGGGGGATGCCGGTAGTGGAGGAGGTTCTGTGTAAGTTGGGATAGGAGCTATGTGGGAACCCTATACTTTCTGCTTGATGTTGCTGTGAACCTAAAACTGCTCTAAAACACAAAGCTTATTAAT
Source organism: Homo sapiens (assembly GCF_000001405.40). Taxonomy (NCBI): domain Eukaryota; kingdom Metazoa; phylum Chordata; class Mammalia; order Primates; family Hominidae; genus Homo; species Homo sapiens. The sequence continues at coordinate 56,394,963 of NC_000014.9, forward strand.
TAAAAAAAAAAAATCTATTGTCTGGCCCAGAAACTTGGCTCTGGCTTGAGTAATGAAAAAATCTCTTCCTTCAAGGCTATTGTTTCTGCTACATGTTTAGAATATGTATTTAGCAATTCCAAGTAGAGAGTCGACCTTCTGACCTTTCCTGCTATCTCTGTGATCTCTTGTATCAGAGGTTCCAACGTGAAAAACTATATGACCCAAATATGCATCCGCAATATATTTTTATGTTTGAGTTCATTTTTTATATTTTAAATCCAAGATGTTTCTTTTCCAATAAGAGGAGCCAGAGCTTCTTGGAGAAGTTGCTGATTCCAGGGCTAGGGCGAGGAAAGCAGAAGATGAGCCTCTGAAACATGTTGCCATCCCAGAAAATAAGGAAGTGCTCAAAATAGGATGAGGCATGACAAAAGCACATCACAGCCAAGCCAATTGGAAGGCACTCCCAATGGGCAAATCGAGAACAATTTGAGCAACAAAATAACAATAATAATAATGGATTGTAACCCATAAAATAAAATAAATATCCATACTAATATAAATAATTGAATAAATAAATAAACAGGGGAAAGGGATAGGACAGCTTTTCCTTACAGAGGAATTCTAATTAATAAATGTAGAATGAATGCAGGAAATACATCACCACTAGGCAGATATTACATTAAACAGTAATCATTGTAGGCAAGATCCACTGACAGATGTTAAAATCAGTGGACTAAAGTTTAATAGGAAACAGGATACTTGTAGCTTCAAAGTATTGTCCCCAAACTATTGGTTTATTAGGTAAAAAAAAAAAAAATGAAAACTTTACAATGGAAAAACATGGCAGACACCATCTTAACTGAATGATCAAAGTAAGCATCACCACTGATAGGACATATTGACATCATGTACCCCCCAATATGATGCACTGAGATGGGCACAGCATCACTTTTGTGGTATTTTTGCAAAAAAATGCAAAAATCTCAACTTAATCATGAGAAAATAGAAACACTCTACAAAATAATTGACAAGTAGTCATCTAAAATGTTAAAGTCTAACATTTAAGTCTTTAATTCATCTTGAATTAATTTTTGTATAAGGTGTAAGGAAGGGATCCAGTTTCAGCTTTCTACATATGGCTAGCCAGTTTTCCCAGCACCATTTATTAAATAGGGAATCCTTTCCCCATTTCTTGTTTTTGTTAGGTTTGTCAAAGATCAGATAGTTGTAGATATGTGGCATTATTTCTGAGGGCTCTGTTCTGTTCCGTTGGTCTATATCTCTGTTTTGGTACAAGTACCATGCTGTTTTGGTTACTGTAGCCTTGTAGTATAGTTTGAAGTCAGGTAGCATGATGCCTCCAGCTTTGTTCTTTTGGCTTAGGATTGACTTGGCAATGCGGGCTCCTTTTTGGTTCCATATGAACTTTAAAGTAGTTTTTTTCCAATTCCATGAAGAAAGTCATTTGTAGCTTGATGGGGATGGCATTGAATCTATAAATTACCTTGGGCCATAAATACCCTAGAAGAAAACCTAGGCAATACCATTCAGGACATAGGCATGAGCAAGGACTTCATGTCTAAAACACCAAAAGCAATGGCAACCAAAGCCAAAATTGACAAATGGGATCTAATTAAACTAAAGAACTTCTGCACAGCAAAAGAAACTACCATCAGAGTAAACAGGCAACCTACAGAATGAGAGAAAGTTTTTGCAATCTACTCATCTGACAAAGGGCTAATATCCAGAATCTACAATGAACTCAAACAAATTTACAAGAAAAAAACAAACAACCCCATCAACAAGTGGGCGAAGGATATGAACAGACACTTCTCAAAAGAAGACATTTATGCAGCCAAAAGACACATGAAAAAATGCTCATCATCACTGGCCATCAAAGAAATGCAAATCAAAACCACAATGAGATACCATCTCACACCAGTTAGAATGGCAATCATTAAAAAGTCAGGAAACAACAGGTGCTGGAGAGGATGTGGAGAAATAGGAACACTTTTACACTGTTGGTGGGACTGTAAACTAGTTCAACCATTGTGGAAGTCAGTGTGGTGATTCCTCAGGGATCTAGAACTAGAAATACCATTTGACCCAGCCATCCCATTACTGGGTATATACCCAAAGGATTATAAATCATGCTGCTATGAAGACACATGCACATGTATGTTTATTGCAGCACTATTCACAATAGCAAAGACTTGGAACCAACCCAAATGTCCACCGATAGACTGGATTAAGCAAATGTGGCACATATACACCATGGACTACTATGCAGCCATAAAGAATGATGAGTTCATGTCCTTTGTAGGGACATGGATGAAGCTGGAAACCATCATTCTCAGCAAACTATCGCAAGGACAAAAAACCAAACACTGCATGTTCTCACTCATAGGTGGGAATTGAACAATGAGAACACATGGACACAGGAAGGGGAACATCACACACTGGGGCCTGTTGTGGCGTGGGGGAAGCGGGGAGGGACAGCGTTAGGAGATATACCTAAGGTTAAATGATGAGTTAATGGGTACAGCACACCAACATGGCACATGTATACATATGTAACAAACCTGCACGTTGTGCACATGTACCCTAAAACTTAAAGTATAATAAAAAAAAATTAAAAACAAAATAAAATGTTAAAGTCATGAAAGACAAGGAAAGACCGAAACTAAAGAAATACAACAATTAGGCCGGGCATGGTGGCTCACGCCTGTAATCCCGGCACTTTGGGAGGCCGAGGCGGGCGGATCCTGAGGTCAGGAGTTTGAGACCAGCCTGGCCAACACAGTGTAACCCTGTCTCTACTAAAAATACAAAAATTAGCTGGGCATGGTGGTGGGCGTCTGTAGTCCCAGCTACTCAGTAGGCTGAAGCAGGGGAATCGCTTGAACCCAGAAGGCGAGGTTGCAGTGAGCCAAGATCATGCCACTGCACTCCAGCCTGGGCAATAGAGTGAGACTCTGTCAGAAAACCAAACAAAACAAAAAAAAGAAATACAACACTAAAAGCAATGTGGGATCCTGGACTGGATCCTGGAACAGAAAAAGAACCTTAGGGGAAAACTGATGAAATTTGAATAAGCACTGCAGTTTAATTCTTTATAGCAATGTTAACTCATAGTTCTGAGAATTATACTATGGGTATGAAAGCTGACAATATTAGGGAAAGCTGGGTGGAGAGTATACATGAACTTTCTGCAGTATTTTCCCAGTTTTTCTACAAGTCTAAAATTGTTTAAAAATAAAAAGTAAAAAAAAAAAATCAAGATATTTCACACATGTAGAATCTGGATTTTCATGTTATCTGGAAAAATCGAAAGATCCTTACATGATTATTGGTCATGGAGAAGTAGTAACTAATTCCTTCACAGTAGGGCATGTTTTTTTCGGTTTGCCACAATCCCTTCCCCTTCTATTGTACCACATGGGGCCATGTTTTATTTATTTATTGTGCTATAAAGCCTGGTTCCAAGAAGCATTTGGTTTGGGGATCCCTTGCTCAGTAAAAATACAATGTTCCAGGCCAAATGATCTACCTGTTGTTTTCTAAACAAGCTTTGTCTTAACCCTTCCATATTCCCACTTTTGCACAAGCTGTTCCTTCTGAGTGGATTTTCTGCCTGTATCCTCAATCTTATTATTTTAGTCTTCCCTATCCTTCAAAACCTAATATGCAGACCACTTCCTCTATGAAGGCTGTGTCTATCCATTGAGTTCATCTCTCCCCCCTTTGAATTAGAGCATCTGATATTCCTTGGAAAATGGTACCAACTTTCATTCATTATGTACTGAATAGTAGCTATGTGTCAGGCACACTTTCCTAAGTGCTGGTGACACCCAGATGAGCAATATGTCATCTTTGCTCATCAATGATCTTTCAGGCCTGGAGGAAGGCAGACAAGAAAACCAGCATTAGAATTTATGTGAGATGCATTATGATAAAACTATGTGTAAAATTCTAAGAGTGCTCAGAGGAGAGGACTTCTTAAGGGGTGAACCACTTAAGTTGATTCTTAAAAGAAAGTGAGAAATTAGGTAGGAAGTGCTAAGGACTGGGAATTAGGGAAGAACCTTTAGATGAGGAAACAATTTAATCAAAGGCCTGGAAGCCTGAGAGGGTAACTGCAAGCAGCTTGGAGAGCATGTGTTTGGCAGGTGAGGCTGAACAGGTAGGAGCACACAGCTTTGTGCAGTAGCCAGATTTATATGTAACATCACTCTCACTCAACTATTAACTCCTTGAGGGTAAAAAATTGGAGACAGAAGGAAAGAACATTAAACTTCAAGTTAAAAGATCTCACCTCTCTCTGCTATTTACTAGAGTTTATGCCATTAATAGTTAAGGAGTGTCTACTTATAAGCTGTGTGATCTTGGGCAAGTTACTTAATATGTCTGTGCCTCAATTCTTTCATTTATAAAATACTACCAGCTGCACAGAGCATCGAGAGAAATAGTAATGATAACCATAATCACCATAGACACCAACCAGAATGGAGGCTGGACCAGTGAGAAATGGACACTGGCTATAAAAATCCTCTAAGTGCAAATGGTGTATTTGCTGATCATCAGCCACAGGTGCAAGGAATTAATAAGCTGATCTGTGTAAACAGCACGCACGGTGCCTGGCACAGAGTGTGCAATTAATAAGAGTTAGTTACTAGAACCATGTGCTACACACCAGTGTATTTTCTATCTTATTTGAGTGCTAATTCTTACAACAATTCTGAGACAGATGTTGTTCTTTCAAATTTAATGTTTGAAGAGAGTGAAGTTGAGAGAGGTTCAGAAACCTGTCCAAGGCCACACAGCTAATAATGATCAGAGGTGAGATCTGAAATTCCAAGTATTGTGGTTAGTACCAGCTACAAAATTTTCAGGACCAAGTGCAAAACGAGTATGTGGCCCCTTGTTCGAAATTATTGAGAATCTCAAGACGATGTGAAGGGTATCAGTACCAAAATGGAGTCACTTATGTCAACCTAAAACCACAGAGAGAATGGCTCTCCAAAGAAATGAATTTCTTTGGAAATAAACTAACAAAAATGACAGCAGAACATTAAGACAAGTATGTGATCCTTCCAAGTCTGGGAACTTTCTAAACATGGGACCCTGTGTGGTTGCATAGGTTGTACTCCTGTGAAACTAGCCCTGATTGTTTTATTTGCAAACTACCAGAGTGTGCTGAAAAGAAAACCAGCATGAAGGAAAACCTGAGCATTACTCTCAGGAATAAAATTAAATATGGGACAAATGTACGCCCATCGATGCTTCATAATGTCTTTGTAATGTGCTAATACCTTCTAATGAGTACAGAGGTCATTAGTAAAGGAAATAAGTCAAGAAATTAAAAAAACCCATCCAAGCATGATCTGCTGGTATGTGCAATGCAAATGGACTTTACAACACAATGTGAGTTTATTTAATTATTTTGTGTTTTTTTCCATATTCCAGGAAGTTTAATAATGGTCTGGATTAAAGAACACTAAAGATCTTTATATATCACACTTAGGTTAGTTTAAATTCAGCTGCTTCTTGAAATCCTGAATTTAACAGGAACAAATGTATCCCAATTACCACATTAGCTAATACTCTGGAAAAACAAGCTCAGCAAGGAAACAATTTCAACTTTGCTTAAGTAAGAAGATAAAGCAAAAGTACAGGAAAGGATGTCTGTTGAGTCATGAACTTACCTTCTCAGCTTAGTTCCCTGTGTTCTTTCCCAGAGCTTGCTGAAAAACAGCCTCTCTCCCGTGTTACAGAGAAGCCTGACTATAGAGAAGGAAGGCTTTTCTGTCAACTCCTTCCACTTTTAGACAGTCAGATGCTGAATCCATTTTCTCAGTTATGAGCATTTATCTGGAGATGCTCACACACTTCAAAAATAGCATCTTCATTTAACAAATGGGAAAACTGAGGCACCCTGGTGAACCCTCCTACACTACCCTGTAGTGCAAGCTTTAAGCACTATTTTACTTCTTTTTAGACGGAATTTTTCTCAGTTCTATGGTGAGGCTGAATCAATAGATCAACAAGCACTTATCTGACACTTACTAAATTTCCTTTTATAAATGTAGCGAAGAATACAGTGGGACTCACCATTGGAAGGAAGGGATTTTAAGCCTTCCTGCACAGAGACCTCTTGGGCCCTATGGGTGATAAAATGGTAAAGGCCCCTGACCTATTAAGCTGGAGGCCTTCTCAACCCCTTTAGGATGCTAAAGAATTCTAAAGAATTCACCCTAAAGTAGAAGGTCATTGAAAGTGTGTGGTGGCCAGGCATGGTGGCTCATGGCTGTAATCCCAACAATTTGGGAGGCTGAGGAGGGCTGATCCTTTGAGCTCAGGAGTTCAAGACCAGTCTGGGCAACATGGCGAAACCCTGTCTCTATAAAAATACAAAGTTAGCTGGGTGTGGTGGCATGTGCCTGTAGTCTTGGCTACTTGGGAGGCTGAGGCAGGAAGATCGCTTGAGCCCAGGAGGCGGAGGTTGCAGTGAGCTGAGATCATGCCACTGCACTCCTGCCTTTGGCAACAGAGTGAAGCCCTGTCTTGATTTAAAAAAAAAAAAAAGTGTGTGGTAAAGGATGACATGAAACAGAGAGTTTGATACCAGGGAAATTTATCCACAGGGCATCTAACTTAAGCCCTCAAAAACTTGGAGTAAATTTCTCTTTCAAAGAAGTATTCACCTCAGAAGGGAATAGGCTCTACTTTGTATAGGCCAGGACATTAGGTACAGGCTAAAGGAGACATCACACTAAGTCAGGACATGTCTTTTCCATTTTGAGTAAACAAAACTATATCACAGAAGAGTAGGCAAACTCCATGGTAGGTGACTTGCAGTAGATGGGAGAAGGGCCTTCAGGGAAATAGTCACATTGGCTGCCAGGGTAGCCTAGGATGGATGTCTGGGGAATTTCTGCCCTGATCTGCACGCATGAAGGCTATGTCAGAGAGCAGGACGTGGTGGAGATGGGATGTGTGGCAGAGTCTAAGTGCACAAATACCCATCCTGCTTTCTTTCTTTTAGTAATAGAACTAGGAATATGCCAGTCATTGGAGACTACATTTCCCATCCTCTCCTTTTTCTTTCTCTCATTGTATGAGGGAGTTAGGTAGCGGTATTTTCTCCTCCCAGATTACAGCTTTATATTGAAATATAATTCACAGGAACAAATTTAAAGTTTAACAAATTGTTAAATTGTTTAAATTTGTTAAAACAAATTTAAAGTGTAAAGTCACTCATTTAAATTATACAATTCAAACACGTTTAGTATATTCACAGAGGTGTAGAGCCAATAATACAATCACTTTCAGAACATCTTCATCACCTAAAAAAGAAACTCTACACCCAATAGCAGTCCCTCTCCACCTCTCTCCAAATCTACCTTAGCCCTAGGCAACCACTAATTTACTTTCTGTCTCCATGGATTTGCCTATCCTGGTCATTTCACATAAATAAAATTATACAATATGTATCTTTCTAATTGGTTTCATTCACTTAGTGCATGTCTTCATGGTTCATTTATGCTATAGTATAAATCAGTACTTCATTCTTTTTTATGACTAAATAATATTCCATTGTGTGGATATAACATATTTTAACATTTATCCATTCAGCAGTTGATGGACACTTAAGTTGTTTCAAATTTTTGGTTATTATAGGTAATGGTGCTCTGAACATTTATCTACAAATTTTTGTGTGAATATATGTTTTTATTTTTCCTGGGTATATACATATACCTAGGAGTAGAGTTGTGGGGTTATATGGTAACTCTAGGTTTAACCATTTGAGGAACTGCCAAACTGTTTTCCAAAGTGCCTTCACCATTTTGTATTCCCAATTTCTCCCCTTTTTTTTTCTTTTTTTTAAGATGGCATCTTGCTGTGTTGCCAGGCTGGAGTGCAGTGGTGTGATCTCAGCTCACTGCAACCTCTGCCTCCTGGGTTCAAGTGATTCTCCTGCATCAGGCTCCCAAGTAGCTGGGACTACAGGCATGCTCCACCACACCCGGCTAATTTTTGTACTTTTAATAGAGGCGAGGTTCCACCATGTTGGCCAGGATGGTCTTGATCTCCTGACCTCATGATCAGCCCACCTCGGCCTCCCAAAGTGCTAGAATTACAAGTGTGAGCCACCATGCTGGCCAATTTCTCCACATTCTTACCAACACTTGTTATTATCTTTTTTAGGATGGCCATTTTAGTGGGTATGAGATGGTATCTCACTGTATATTTTATTTGCATTTCACTGATGGCTAATGATGTTGACTATCTTTACTTGTGCTTATTAGCCATTTCTTTATCTTCTTTGGAGAAATGTCTATTCAAGTACTTTGACCAATTTTGAGTTATATCTCTTTATTATTGCATTGTAAGGCTTCCTGATAGATCATGGATATATGATCTTCAAATATTCCCTTCCATTCTATGCATTATCTTTTCACTTTCTGTTTTAAATTTTAGATTCGGGGGTACATGTGCAGGTTTGTTACATGAGTTAGCTGCATGATGCTGAGGCTGGGCTTCTAATGATCCCGTCACCCAAGTAGTGAACATGGTACCCAATAGGTAGTTTTTCAGCCCTTCCCTTCCTCCTTCCTTCCCTTCCTGCTTTTGGAGTCTCCAGTGTCTAACCGCACCTTTGTGTCCATGTGTATCCAATGCTTAGCTCCCACTTCCAAGTGTGAATATAAGGTATTTGGTTTTCTGTTACTTAGGATTTGCTTAGGATAATGGCTTCTAGCTACATCCATGTCTTGGCAAAGGACATGATTTTGTTCTTTTATGGCTGTGTAGTATTCCATGGCGTATAAGTACCACATTTTCTTTATCTAATCCACTGCTGATGGGCACCTGGGTTGATTCTATGTCTTTGCTATTGTCTTTTCACTTTCTTTTTTAATTATTATTTCAATAGGTTTTGGGAGAACAAGTGGTACTTGATTACATGGATGAGTTCTTTACTGGTGGTTTCTGAGATTTTGGTGCACTCATTACCTGAGCAGTGTACACTGTAACCAATGTGTGGTCTTCTATCATTTGCCCCCCTCCCACCCTTCCCCTCGAGTCTCCAAAGTCCATTTGTATCATTCTTATGCCTTTGTATCCTCATAGCTTAGCTCCCACTTATAAGTGAGAACATGTGATGCTTGGTTTTTCATTCCTGAGTTACTTCGCTTAGGAATAGTGGTCTCCGATTCCATCCAGGTTACTGTGAATGTCATTATTTCATTCCTTTTTATGGCTTAGTAGCAGTCCATAGTGTATATGTGCCACATTTTCTTTATCCACTCGTTGATTGATGGGCCTTTGGGCTGGTTCCATATTTTTGCAGTTGCAAATTGTCCTGATATAAACATGCATGTGCAAGTGTCTTTTTTCATATAATAACATCTTTTCCTCCAGGTAGATAGCCAGTAGTGGGATTGCTGGATCAAATGGTAGATCTACTTTTAGTTATTTAAGTAATATCCACACTGTTTGCTATAGTGGTTGTACTAGCTTACATTCCTACCAGCAGTGTAAAAGTGTTCCCTTTTCACCACATCCATGCCAAAATCTATTATTTTTTTATTTTTAAATTATGGCCATTTTTGCAGGAGTAAGGTGGTATTGCATTGTAGTTTTGATTTGCATTTCCCTGATAATTAGTGATGTTCAACATTTTTGAATGTATTTGTTGGCCACTTGCATACCTTCCTTTTTTTTTTTTTTTTTTTTTTTTGAGACAGAATCTTACTATGTCACCCAGACTGGAGTGCAGTGGTGCAATCTTGGCTCACTGCAACCTCCGCCTCCAAGGTTCAAGTGATTCTCATGCCTCAGCCTCCTGAATAGCTGGGATTACAGGCATGCACCACCATACCTGGCTAAGTTTTGTATTTTTTAGTAAAAACAGGGTTTCACCATGTTGGCCAGGCTCATCTTGAACTCCTGGCCTCAAGCGTTCCACCCACATTGGCCTCCCAAAGTGCTGGGATTACAGGTATGAGCTGCCATGGTCCAGCCTTGTATATCTTTTTTTTTTAGAATTGCCTATTCATGTCCTTAGCCCACTCATTGATAGGATTATTTGGTTTCTTTCTTGCTGATTTGTTTGAATTCCTTGTAGATTCTATATTGGTCCTTTGTTGCATGCATAGTTTGTGAAGATTTTCTCCCAGTGGGTCCCTCCCACACACATGGGAATGGTAGGAGCTATAGTTAAAGATGAGATTTGGGTGGGGACACAGCCAAACCTATATTATTAACCTTGAATGTAAATGGGCTAAATATCCCAATTAAAAGACAGAGTGGCAAGTTTGATAAAAAGGCAATACCTAACTGTATGATGCCTTAAGAGACCTATCTCACATTCATGATAATCATAGGTTCAGAATAAAGGAACAGAGAGAAATCTACCAAGCAAGTGGAAAACAGAAAATAACAGGGATTGATGTTGTAATTTCCGACAAAACAGACTTCAAGCCAACAATGATTGAAAAAGACAAAGAGGGGTATTACATAACGGTAAAGGGTTCAATTCAACAAAAATACCTAACTATCCTAAATATATATCCATCCAACAAGGGGGAAACCAGATTCATAAAGCAAGTTCTTAGAGACCAGCAAAGAGGCTTAGATAGCTACACAATAATAGTGGGAGACTTTAACACCCTACTGACAATATTAGACAGATCTCCGAGGCAGAAAACTCACAAAGATATTTGGGACCTTTATTTGTCCATTCTCACACTGCTATGAAGAAATACCTGAGACTGGGTAATTTATATAGAAAAGAGGTTTAATTGGCTCACGGTTCTGCAAGCTGTACAGGAAGCGTGGCTGGGTAGGCCTCAGGAAACTTGTGGCAAAAGGCAAAAGGGATGCAGGCATGTCTTACACAGCCAGAGCAGGAGGAAGAGTTGAGTGCAGTGCGCTACACTTCTAAACAACTAGATCTCATGGTAACTGACACACTAACATGAGAACAGTACCAAAGGGGAAACCCACCCCCATGATCACCCAATCATCTCCCACCAGGCTCCACCTCTAACATTGGGCATTATAATTTGAAATGAGATTTGGGTGGGGACACAGACCCAAACCATATCAGAACCTAACAGACATCTACAGAACTCTCCACCCCTCCAAAAAATATAGATTTTTCTCATCTGCATATGGCACATACTCTAAAATCAACCAAACAACAAGCAGCCATAAAATAATTCTCAGCAAATTAAAAAAAAAAACAAAATCATACCAACCATACCCTCAGACTACAGTGCAATAGAAATAGAAATTAATACTAAGAAAATCACTCTAAGCCATACAATTACATGGAAGTTAAACAACCTGCTCCTGAATGACTTTTGGGAAAACAATGAAACTAAGGCAGAAATCAAGAAATTGAAACTAATGAGAACAAAGATAAAACATACCATAACCTCAGGACATAGCTAAAGTAGTGTTAAAAGGTAGAGTTGATGGTGAAAAGTTAGAGGACCAGATGCAGTGGCTCACACCTGTAATCCCAACACTTTGGGAGACCAAGGCAGGTGGATTGCTTTGAGCCCAGGAGTTCAAGACCAGCCTGGGCAACATAGTGAAACCCCATCTCTACAAAATATTAGCTGGGCACAGTGGCTCATCCTGTATTCCCAGCTACTTGGGAGGTTTAGGTGGGAGGATTACTTGATTCCAGGAAGCAGAAGTTGCAGTGAGCTGAGATCATACCACTGCACTCCAGCCTGGATGACAGAGTAAGACCCTGTCTCCAAAAAAAAAAAAAAAAAAAAAAAAAAAATCTCAAATTAGCAACCTAACATCACACCAAGAGAAACTAGGAAAACAAGAGCAAACCAACCCCAAAGCTAGCAGAAGACAAGAAATAATCAAAATTAGAGCTGAATTGAAGGAAATTGAGACATAAAAGATTGACAAATCCAAGAGTTAGTTTTCTGAAAGAATAAATAAGATTTAGAGACTTCTGGCTAGACTAATAAAGAAAAAAGAGAAGATGTAAATAAACACAATCAGAAATTACAAAGGGGACATTACCAGTGACCCTACAGAAATACAAAAAATCTTCAGACAACTATGAATACCTCTGTGCACACAAGCTAGAAAACCTAGAAGAAATGGATAAATTCTTGGAAACAAAGAACCTCCCAAGATTAAACTGGAAAGAAACTGAATCTCTGAACAAACCAATAAGGAGTTCTGGAGTCAAATTAGTAATAAAAAGCCCACCAACCAGAAAAAGCCCAGGACCAGATGGATTCATGGCCAAATTTTACCAAATAAAGAATAACTGGTACCATTCCTACTGAAACTTTTCCAAAAAATTGAGGAGAAGTAACTCCTCCCTAACTCATTCTCTGAAGCTAGCATCATCCTGATACCAAAACCTGGCAGAGTCACAACAAATAAAGGAAACTTCAGGCCAATATTGTTGATGAATGTAGATGCCAAAACCCTCAACAAAATACTGGCAAACTGAATCCAGCAGCACATTAAAAATCTAATCCACCATGATCAAGTAGGCTTTATCCCTGGGGTGCAAGTTTGGTTCAACATATGCAAATCAATAAACGTGATTCCTCACATAAACAGAACTAAAAACAAAAACCACATAATCATCTTAATAGATGCAGAAAAGACTTGATAAAATTGAACATCCCTTTATGTTAAAAATCCTTAATAAACTAGGCACTGAAGGAGCATACCTCAAAATAATTAAAGCCATCTACAAAAAACCCACAGCCAACATTATACTGAATGGACAAAAGCTGGAAGCATTCCCCTTGAGAACAAGACAAGAACATACCCACTCTCACCACTCCTATTCAACATGGTACTGGAAGTCCTAGCCAGAGCAATCAGGCAAGAGAAAGAAAGCATCCAAATAGGAAGAGAGGAAGTCAAACTGTCTCTGTTTGCATATGATATAATTCTATACCTAGAAAATCCCATAGTCTCTGCCTAAAAGCTCCTACATCTGATTAAACAACTTCAGCAAAGTTTCAAGATATAAAATTAATGTACAAAAATCAGTAGCATTTCTATATGCCAACAATGTCCAAGGTGAGAGCCAAACCAATAACGTGATCCAATTCACAATAGCCACAAAAAGAGTAAAATACCTAGGAATACAGCCAAACAGGGAGATGAAAGACCTCTACCACAAAAATCACAAAACTCTGCTCAAACCGTCAGATTTGACACAAACAAATGGAAAAACACTTCATGCTCATGGATAGGAAGAATCAATAATGTTAAAATGGCCATACTGCCCCAACCAATTTAGAGTCAATGCTATTTCTATCAATCTACCAATGGTATTCTTCACAGAATTAGAAAACTATTTCAAAACTTACATGAAAGCAAAACAGAGCACGAACAGCCACAGCAATCCTAAGCAAAAAGAACAAAGAGGTGTCACACTACCTGACTTCAGACTATACTACAAGGCTACAGTAGCCAAAACAGCTTGCTGCTGGTACATAAATAGACACAAACCAATGTAACGTAATAGCCGAGAAAGAATGCCACACACCTACAACCATCTGATCATCAACAAAGTCAATAACAATGGGGAAAGAACTCCCTATTCAACAAGTGGCTAGCCATATGCAGAAGATTGAAAATGGACCCCTTCCTTACATCATATACAAAAATCAGCTTCAGATGGATTAATAATTTAAATGTAAAACCTAAAACTTTAAAAACCTTGAAAGGCAACCTAGGAAATACTATTCTGTAAAGGGCCCTGTCAAAGATTGCATGACAAAGATGCCAAAAGCAATTGCAACAAAAACAAAAATTGACAAATGGGACTAAACTAAAGGGTTTCTGCAAAGCAAGAGAAACTATTAACAGAGCAAAAAGGCAGCCTACAGAATGGAAGAAAATATGTGCAAACTGTGCTCCTGACAAACGTCAAATATCCAGAATCTATAAGGAATTTAAACAAGCCAAAAACAATCCCTTTAAAAAGTGAGCAAAGGACATGAACAGACACTTTTCAAAAGACATACACAAAAGCAACAAGCATATTAAAATATGCTCAACATCACTAATCATGAAAGGAATGCAAATCAAAACCACGATGAGATACCTACCGTCTCACACCCATCAGGATAGCTATTATTAAAAAGTCAACAGATGCTGTCAAGGTTGCAAAAAAAAAAGGGAAGACTTCTACACTGCTGGTGGGAATGTAAATTAGTTCAGCCGTTGTGGAAAGCAGTTCGGTGATTTCTCAAACTTAAAACTATCATTCATTCCAGCAACCCCATTATTGGGTATATACCCAAAGGAATGAATATAAATTTTTCTACTCTAAAGACACATACGCATCCATGTTCATCACAGCACAATTCACAATAGTGAAGACGTAGAATCAACCTAATGGCCTGTCAGCAGTAGCCTTGATAAAGAAAATGTGGTACATAGACAGTATGGAAGCCTATGCAGCCATTAAAAAGAACAAGATCATATCCTTTGCAGCAACATGGATGAAGCTGGTGGCCATTGTCCTAAGCTAACTAATGCAGGAGCAGAAAACCAAATACTGCATGCTCTCACTTATAAATAGGAGCTAAATATTGAGTACACAGGGACACAAACAAGGGAATGACAGACACTGGAGCCTACTTGAGGATGAAGGGTGGGAGGAGGGTGAGGGTATACATATCAGATACTATGCATATTACCTGGGTGATGAGTAATCTGTACACCAAGTGCCCATGATATGCAATTTACCTATATAACAAATCTATACATGTACCCCTGAAACTAATAGTTAAAAAAAACTTTTGTAGTTTTAGTATTTCCATTTTTGTCTTTGATCTATTTTGAGTTAGTTTTTATATATGGCATGATGAAAGGGACCAACTTCTTTCTTTTGCCTGTGGCTATCCAGTTGTTCTAGCGCCATTTGTTGAAAAGATTGTTCGTCCCCTCATTGAATTGCTCTGACACTTCGGTCACAATTCAATTGGCCATTAATTAACAGCTTCTTTGTGCACTTTCAATTCTATTTCAATGATCTATAAGTCTATCTTCATGCCAGTACCATACTGTCTTAATTATTGGATCTTTGTCATAGGTTTCAAAATTGGGAAGTATGAATCCTCCTATTTTTTTTTTCAAGATTGTTTTGGCTCCAGAACTGTGGGAAATAAATTTCTGTTGCTTAAAATCTGCCCAATTTGTGGTATTGTGTTATAGCAACCAAAATGGACTAAGGCAAGCAGCCTTCCATAAGTTTTGATATGTTGTGGTTTTCTTTTTTTCATCTCAAAGTATTATTTCCTTTCCCTTGTGATTCCTTCTTTAACTCATTGGTTATTTAGAAGTGTGTCTTTTAATTTTCACGTTTGTGAATTCCTGAAATTTCTTTCCATTACTGATTTCTAATTTCATTCCATTGTGTCATAGAAGATTCTATGATTTTCATCTCTTTAACATTATTGAGACTTCTTTCTATAGCCTAACGTGTGTTCTATTTTGGGGAATGCTGAGTGTTTGCTTGATGCAACGTGTGTTCTGTTGTTTGGTGGAGTGTGCTATAGATTTCTGTTATGTTTAGCTGTTTTATAGTGTTGTTCAAGTCTTCCATTACCTTGTTGATCTTCTGCCTTGTCAGCCTATCCCTTATTAAAAGTGGGATATTGAAATTTACAACTATTACTGCTGAATCTAATTCTTCCTCAATTCTATTAATCATTCATGTATTTTGGGCCTCTGTTATTAGGGACATACATGTTTGTAATTGTTATGTTTTCCTGATGGAATGGTCATTCTGTGATTATAAAATGTTCTTTTTATCTCTAGTAACAATGGTCTTAAAGTCGATTTTTCTGTTAATATTATAGCCACTCCAGCTCTTTTTAGGTTACTGTTTGCATAGCAGATCTTCTTCCTTCCTTTCACTTATTTGTTTTTGAATCTTGAGTGTCTTTAGACTTAAGCTCCAAACCCATTCTTCTTCCTTCAGTAACTGCTAGGCTGCTGTTTTTACAGTTACCATGGCTGTAAGGCTGTTCACTTTTGAGACTACTATGAAACTGTGGAGAAGGGAATGGGGATAGGGCAAGCTAGAATGTCACAAAGCTTGCTGTTTTTACCAATAGTCAGCTGCTTTTCTTGAAGAAATGCACCTCAGAGTGTTGTATACCTTTGGCTAATTTCCACAATTCTGAAAAAAATTGATTTTGACTATTTTTGCCAGGATGTTTATTGCTTCTTATGGAAAAGTCTATTTTTGGAGGTCATTACTCTACCATTCCAGAAATGTTTCCCTAGAATCTGAATTCCCACAAGATCCTCAGATAGTTGTAGGCACATAAAAGTTTGAGAAACCTTGGTTTATAGGATATCACCTGTCCCTAAATTTTCTGGATATCTTCATTTGAAGTTATCAGGTGACCAAGGAATCTTCCAATTGGTTTGGATTCTAACTGTATATAGGTAATATCTAATATGAAAAGTTTATATTGTCAGATCCTACAATGATTAAAAAAAAAAACAGCCTCTGTCTACCTTTGTGCTTATTTCTGGAAATGTTTGTATGAGCCTTGATCATTTTATTTGATTGTCACTCATTAATTAACATAAAAGTTTCCACTTGGTATAATTTTTTGGCATCTTCTCACCAAACATGGGTGTTGCTGGCTATTCTAAATGAACTCAGAATACCCTATCTCCTGACCCAAGGGTAGCCTGTTTTCTGTGACAAAGTAAACAAAATAGTTTCTTCCTAGCTTTTGTTTATTTGTTTGTTTCCTGAAAGAGCCATTGTGTTTCAAGGAGAAGAAGAAGAAGAACGGAACAGTTTGCTTCCTTGGAGTGCAACTGTCCCCGGGCTGGTTAGGAGGTGTAATGTGGAGCAAAGGCCGTGCGCTGAGAGGAAATATGGCCTGGTTTCCCTCTGCCTCATCCTGGGTTCTCCTCTCACCATTTCTACTCATCTTCTTACACATCTTTCTTTTTCCTTCTTTCTTCCTATTTCTTCCCCATTTGTCTTATTCAGTAAGAACTCATTTATTGGTCAGTTCACAGGATTTTCTGCTTTTCAGAGAAATTTTGGAGCAAAACTTGATTTCCTTTTCTGATCTGTGACCCTATGTCCTTTCTGGCCTTGTCTGCCTCTCTTAGCCTGAACCTTTCCCTTTTCTCTTTCCTTATTGTCCCAACATTTTTAAGTAAAAAAATTATGTTGAGAGCACATCTCTTCCTCTTGGACATGGATGTAGAATTTGCCAAATTAACCACTCATGTCCATCCTTAATGTCCTACAACCAGGCCACTCTGCCATTAGAGAGAAGCAACTTTTTTTTCAGTATAGAAGAAAAGGAGGAGTTATGCTTCAAAGGAGAAAAATACTTCACCACCTCAATTGCTAATTTTGCTGAAGTCTTCAAAAATAACAAAATAAAATGTAAATCAATAGCTGCATGAAGAGGAACAGGCACTAGAACCGAGCTGTCTTGGACAAGAAGACGGGTGGGTACTGCTCAGGCTGAAATGCATTGGCTTGGATTTAACATATAGATGAAGCACAGCTCGGTGCCTTTAGCTGGTAAGAATCAAATCGTGAGGCTAAACACTAAATTAGCTGTGTGCCTGTACCTCACAGCAGAGCCAAAATGAGGCACTGTTTTTTTATCCCTGCACCTTCCGATGCCTGCCAAAAAGAATTCAAGCAAGGAAAAATATGCCTCCTGTTGTTTGGGGGAGTTACAAGATACATTTAAAAATTGATTTATGGTTTAATCGCTTTTGAAGCTTCATTATTCCAAGTATTAGCGTGAAAGACCATCTGATCCAGCAGACTTATTTGTTAATGCACCGACAGCAGCAACAGATGTGCTGTTTTTCATCTACAACCCGATCTGCTGGCTGATTCATCTGCTTCCGTTTTCATTTTCCTGTCATTGATTTATTAATGATGTCTTACTTATCTGTGGTTCTTTTATGGGGTGGGCTTCCTCTGGCATGGTCTCAAGAGAGATGTTTTTGCACCTTCCCCAGGCATCAAAAACCCAGCCCCCTTCTCCGGTGTTCTTTATCACCACTCCAGAGATTAGAGACTTTAATCATTTAGTAACTGAAATAACCTCCGTGGCTTGCAGAGTTTATGGCCAATTTGTCTTCATTGCACCGAATTCAACTGCTTTTCTTTGCTAAGGAATGGGCCTTGCTTATTATGCTCCTTCTTTGCACCAGAGGGAATCAGTGTGTTGTCTACAGACCCAATGCAGATAGTGGGTGGCTATGAGTGGCTCAGGACCATGAAAGTATGGCTCAGAGAACACATGTATGTATACCATAGGGCTATTAGCATGTTGAGTTGCTTAGAGTTTGGCTGTGGCTTTCAGCTCCAAGTAGCAAAGGAAGGGTAGACAGGAGGGTTGAAATTCTGGGACCATTTGCAGGACCATCACTGGGATTGTCTACTCCAAATGCCACATGGACCCCTTTTGTTGTCTATGTTAAAAAGGAAAAAAAAAGACCTTGGTTTGTTTTGAAACCTGAGACCCCTAGAAAACTTAAGATGCTGGGTAATTGAGACTTACAAAGATGTATTTCACCTAAATTTTACCTGAGAATCTGAAAACGATGACTTGTTATGCAGTTAAGGTTTGTAAAACTCCATATGTGTTAGGTAGGTCGTTGTAGACGATGTCATGATTCTCTGTCTAGATCCTCCCAGCAGCCTCAAGCACTCATTCCATCTCCCCAAGGCTGACAACTCTTAACTAAGTCCTTGTTTGGGACTTGTTCTGGGTTAAAGAGAGCCAGTCACCTTGACCAAGGTTACACTTCCTTCCAAGGGGCAACCCTTACTGGGTGCCTGCCCCACTCATCTCAACTTGAGACCACGCTGCAGGGCCATCCTGGCTCCAGAGCTCGCCATGGGATCAGTGAGGCCTCTGTTGTGGTAGCATCGTGGTTCATCTTCTCCCTTGGCCCAGTTCTGCTTCCTTCACTGTCCTAAAAGAGATGGTCCCCAGAGCAGTTCCACTTCCTAATAAGCTTTTTGTGGGCAAAACTGTCTCAGATTTTCTCAGGGATCCAAACCTGCAACAGTTGGTACAAAGAGTGATAAATCACCAGAAGTCTTCCTTTGCAGCATATACAGAGACTCATCTCCTGCAGTTGGAGAGCTGATAAACTGAAGGACGGCCAAGGGCTTAATCAAGAAAGTAGCAGAGCTCCAGAGAAGGTTGCGTTCTTAGCCCTGACAGGTCTGCTGTGCTAAGGCCTGGAGTGGGACCTGGGCCTGGGATAGGTATATCTGGGTTGGTGTACTAGAAAAGTGGGAATTTCCAGATTCTTCTGAACCCTCTGGGACCACAGTTGGGTCCCACTGCTCTTTGTTAAAGGCTAATGCTCCTCCCTTGCCTGAAGATGTCACAGAGGTCTCTGTTTTACAAGGCAACATGCTCCTCCTCCCCCAAATCCGCTCACAGCTTCCCTCTTGATCAACAGGCATGTGAATAGGGTTGAGTCATACCTTGACTTGTTTGGGGAAGCAGTGGGTCTGCTGGAAAAGAAAAAGGCTGCACTGGAAAGGGGCTGCAGGACCTAAATAACACATACTGGCAAAAGCCAGGATACTACCCGTAGGACTGGATTCTGCGAGTTCTGGATCCTAGACAGAAAATAAAGTTGGACAAGGGAGAGTTTAGGGATATGAGAATCCTCTCCCATGATACAGAATATAACACCCTGACAAGGACCCCAAGAAAACAATCTAAATGCTGCTATGATGTATCTTGGAACTTGGAGAAATAGATGGCTCATACTATATGAAGTGGAAGTGTCAGAACTACCATGGAAAATGCCAGAGACAGGACCAAAGGACTCAGAGAAGCAGGCATGTTGGAGTGGATATGCTATTTAAGGCCAGAAAGTCCTTGGAATATGCTTCCTCTAGAACTTGTGTACTCATACACTGGGAAAAAGGGAATACCCAAATATTTCAGAGACAGTTGGACACAGAGTCTAAGCTGATATTGACACCTGGGGAGCTGAAGTGTCATCTAGACCGCCTGTTAAAGTGTAGACACATGGAGTCCAGATAGTAAGTGAGGAGCTGGTCAGGTCCATCTCTTAGGGTGTCTACTGGTGCACAGATCCACCAGGAAGTCTCTTTCTCAGCCCTGGAATGTATAATTGGAACAGATGTAATCAGTGATTGACAAAACACCCATGTTAGCTCCTTAGCTGTGGGGTAAGAGCTATTAATGCAAGGAAGGCTGAATGAAAACCATCTCCTCACCTCATTGGCCAAGATAGTAAATAGAAAACAACTTCACAACTGTATTAGAGTTCTTCAGAGAGAGAACCAATAGTATGTACATATAGATATGTGAGAGGCAATTTATCAGGGGAATTGGCTCACATGATTATGGAGGCTGAGATGTCCATGATGTGCCTTCTGTAAGCTGGAAAACCAGGGAAGCCAGCATCGTGGCTCCATTCAAGTCTGGAGGCCTCAGAACCGGGGAAGCCGATGGTGTAACTCTGTTAGAGACCAAAGGCCTGTGAACCTGAGGGCTACTGGTGGAAGTTCTGGAGTACAAAGGCCAGAGAACCAGGGATTCTGATATCCAACGGCAGGAGAAGGAGGATGTCCCAGCTCCAGAAGAGGGAGAAATAATTCACCTTTCCTCTGCCTTTTTGTCCTATCTGGGTCCTCAGCCAATTGGATGGTGTCACCCCCATTGGGTGAGGGTGGATCTTCCTTAGTTCACCGATTCAAATGCCAACCTCTTCCAGAAACATCCTTACAAGCATACCCAGAAATAATGCTTTACCAGCTATCTGGATATCCTTTAATCCAATCAACACCCAAAATTAACCATCACAACAACCAAGGGGCAATGAATGTCAAAGACTAGTGCAATTTTTAAAGACCTAAAAGGATGCGGGGGGAGGAGGAGAGTGGTCCCCATCATGTCCCAACTAATGAGCCAGTCTGCCCCCCTACAAAAGGCAGACAGATCTTGAAGAGTGAAACAGTGGATTACTGTAAACTCAACCAAATAGTAGCCACGATTTGCTACGATGATCAACTTGGTCTTGAGACACAGTATGTGGCTTTTAATATGGATAATGTGGGGTTTTTTTGTTCTAGTGAGAAAGGAAGATCAGAAATAGTTCGTGATCACTTTGGACAGACAAAAGAATACAAGTGTGATCTTTTCCCAGGACTATGTTAACTCTCAAACCCTTTGTCTTAAAGTAAGGTGGAAGTGGTGTATCTGAGAATTGGCACAAAAAGGGCCACAGGGCGTAAGTAGGCTGCACGAGCAGGTGGCCCAGATCCCTGTGGCATCCACTGAGAAACTGGTGCTTCTCCCTCAGCCACATGGGGGATTCTGTTATGACCACCTGACAATGGAGAGTAAAGGTCAAATTTGGTACATGGGTGGCTCAGCTCAGCATGTAGGTGTAAGCTGGAAAGCCTCACAATGGGCACAGCTTTGGGTGATTCACCTGTCTATCTATTTTGGGTGAAAAGAATAGTCATCTGAGGTTGGAATCTTTTTTTTTTTTTTTTGAGATGGAGTCTCGTTGTGTCACCCAGGCTGGAGTGCGGTGGCGCGTTCTTGGCTCACTGCAACCTCCGCCTCCCAGGTTCACGCGATTCTCCTGCCTCAGCCTCCTGAGTACCTGGGACTACAGGCACACACCACCACATCTGGCTAATTTTTTGTGTATTTTTAGTAGAGACAGGGTTTCACTATGTTGGCCAGACTGGTCTCGAGCTCCTGACCTTGTGATCTGCCCACCTCGGCCTCCCAAATTGCTGGGATTACAGGCGTGAGCCACCGCGCCTGGCCTGAGGTTGGAATCTTTATAGACAATGATAAATACTTGGCTGGTTGGTCGGGGGCCTGGAAGGAGAAAGATGAGAAGATTGAGGATAAGGAAATCAGAGGAAGAGGGGCCACAGAGAGAGAGGATGCCCAATGCAGATGGGGTGTCACCCTCCAGGATGCTGGGTATACTCTAAATCAACAACCATTAAATGGCAATGCAGAAGTGTAAAGGTCTGGCCTGCTCATCCCAATTCAGGAGAGCTCTGCAGGGTCACCCAGCCCCAAAGTTCCCTGTGGGACTCACTGAAGCTTTTTGGGCTGTATCATGGTCCTTCTGCAACTGCCCAGTTCTGAGTCCTTCATACCCCCACAAGTGTGATACTGAGAGCACTCCCTAGTAAACTACCTGCATGCAAACCATTAGATAGATTGAAGGGTTCTGGGGACCGAGAGGTGGAAGTAGGAGTGACCCTGCTTTCTGTCACTCCCAGTGACTGACTTGGAGAATTTGTGGTTTTTGGCTTCACAACTCTGGCTTTTGTGGTTCAGAGGTCCTGGTTCCCAGAATGGAAATGCATCCACCACAGGACATAGCAAGTAGCCCACTAAACCTCAGACTATGGCTTCCACCTGGTTGTGGCAAGCTTCTTATGCCAGGCAAAGAGAGGAGTCACCATTCTAGCTGGAATAACTGACCCTGATCATCAGAAGGAAGGAGAGCTGGAAAAAGTGAGTGGCACCAGGTGATCTGCTTGGATGCCTCCTGACTCTCTTGCCCCACTTTGATGAGAAATGAACAAGAGCAGCATCCATGGCTTGAGAAGTACATAGTGACCAGGCACCTAAGCTACTCGGGGATGAGAGTATGGACCACTCCCCAGGTAAACCATCTAAACCATTACGGCACTAGCTAGAGAAGATGATGGGGATCTAGAATGGATAGTAAAGAGGAGAATGGTGAGAACCAGTTATACCCCAAGATCAGCTGCTGTGGCAAGAGTTGTAGTTTATACCACTAACTTTTGTCTTAAAAGTGTCTTCCAGCCAGGTGCGGTGGCTCACGCCTGTAATCCCAGCACTTTGGGAGGCCAAGGTGGGCAGATCACGAGGTCAGGAGATCGAGACCATCCTGGCTAACACGGTGAAACCCCGTCTCTACTAAAAATACAAAAAATTAGCTGGGTGTGGTGGCGGTTGCCTGTAGTCCCAGCTACTTGGGAGGCTGAGGCAGGAGAATGGCATGAACCCAGGAGGCAGAGCTTGCAGTGAGCCGAGATCAGGCCACTGCACTCCAGCCTGGGCAACAGAGCAAGACTCCGTCTGAAAAACAAAAAAGTGTCTTCCAGGAAAAAAGATCCCTCAGTATCTTGGGGGAACTGCTGCTGGAATGTAGTGTATGAAGCCAGAAAATGGGAGCAGTGCAGGGGAGGGCTGCAGAGGACACAGTGGCACACCACCCAGATTGTAGCCCGCAAACCTGAGGCTTCACTCTCCCTGTGTTGGAGGCTGACTCTCCTCATCCAAGTGCCTTTCCAGGACAGGCCTGAAGAAAGCCACCCGGACCAAGGTCACATTCTTCTCTCCTGGGCAGCCCACATTCAATGAGTGACCACGCAGGAGTGTTAAGACCTGTCCTCCTCACTCCAATTCAGGACAACTCTGCAAAGCCAGCCCAGCCTCAGAGCTCCCAGTGGAATAAGCTGAGACTTTTGCTTGTGACTACATCACTGCTGAGTTTCTCCCACTGCCCAATCTGGCCTCCTTCACTCCCCCGTGGATGGCACTCCCCGATAAGCTACCTGCATGCAATCTCCATCTCACATTCTGTTTCCTGGAGACACCACCTGAGATCATCGCTGCAGGTGTCTTCATAACTGGTATTTGTATTTACAAAGCTCCATACCACTTTTAATCTGACAGGTGGGGTAATGCAAGCTCAGCCAAAAGGGAAACTAAAAAAGGGAAGAAGCTATTTTTTGACCTGTCCCTTAATAATTCAGTGGCCAGGTCTTACATGGGCCATAGGCCTTCTCTGTCCTCAAAGTCCAAGGTCGGTCCTTTGTCCTGGTGGGTCACCAGGGCCACTCACACTCTGACAATGAGATCGTCCAGTTCTACACCTACCTCCCTCTTTCTTCTGACCCCACCTCCCACCACTGGCATATCAGGACTGTATTAAGGAGTGGTGGGAAGGGATAGAAAAGATAATCTATGAAACAGATCAGTCGGAAGTTAACAAGAAGATTGCTAATCAGCTGCATCGCTGTGAAGTCCAAGCTCTTTGCAAATGTTCTTCCACCATCCTCCTGCAAGCCCCCATGGAGTGGGATCCATGAGGAAATCCTCCTGCAGACTTCTACTCCAGTGCATTTTGCCTTTGTAAATTAAAGTGTGCAATTTGCCCTCCTTGTGTTTGGGAATGTATCAGGTCTGAAACCTAAATCCTTTCAAGTGAACCAAAACTTCTCTCCACCCTAATGACACCAGAAGTTGACTGCTTCATGCAACCTGCTCCCCTGCCTCCCTGCCTGCAAAAGGGTGTGCTGTTATTGGGGAAGGTGGCTGCTTAATGTCTCAGAAGAGCTGGAACTTTAATGGCCTCAAGTCTGAGTTTCCACTAGCCTCCTCTGCACTGCTGGGTTTTCTTTGGGAGTCTTCAGAGATCCCTGAACAGTGACGGTTCATCGGCTCTTCTGGACCTTTCTTAACTTTGTGCCTTACATGCGCTCTGATTCAGTTCAGAGTTTGCTTTGCTTCCTACCTTCCTTGCTCCCAAGCCCTCAGGTTCATCTCTCATGCTCTGCCTTACTCTTTTGGGCTAAGCAAATGCAGGGCCAGGCCTGCGGATTAAATGTTGTGGAGACTTCTTTTAACTTTTCCATTTTAAATTTCAGCCTCACTTAATTGAATTGCAAAGTTAAATGTCCATGAGACGGGAACAGAGCAGCTTTAAGATTGGAGAAGGAATGCAAAATTCAAATTCTCACAGCTTCTTACTGAAAAATATCATGATCCACTTGGATGAAGCCAACACTGTTGGAAATGCCACTCCCACGCTGCCCTTGGCTCTGCCTGTCTGCAAGGACTGATGATTTTCAACTGGAAGGACCAGCCACAGCCAGTCCCCAAGCTGATCAGAACAAAGCTGAGAAGTTTATCCAGGGTTCCTTACCTATCATGCATGAGACATAGAATTAAGCTGTCTGAGAAGTTTATCCAGGATTCCTTACCCATCATGCATGAGATATAGAATTAAGCTGTCTGAAGCTTGGTTGCTGCTTAAGGAACTGCTGGTCTCTTGAGTAACTCTCTTAGTGTGTAATCCATATAGCAGAGAGATTTTGCCCTGCCTCATCAACTCCTCTTTCCTCCTTGGCCTGGAGCTGCCCCCTAGTTCAACACCATGACAGTCTGCTTAACTCTTTCTCCCTGTAGAGCTACATACGTTTTTACCCCCATTTCCTCCTATCCTAGCTTTAAGCTGTTCTGCTTCAATCCACACAATGGATGTGGATTACATTCCTTCTTGGAAGGTGCAGCTACTACCCAGGTGCTAAGGGGTACTTCCTTCATTCAGAGATACCATCAGTTAGACTTGAATACTTACTACTTGAATCTACCTGAAAAATAATAGTGCCATACTGGAGTGAACCCACACTTCCCATATTCCCAACCCATTACTTTTGGGGGACTGGTCATCTTCCTCAGAAGCAATGCTATAGCTGGATCTTCTGTCTGGTCCTGATCCCTACCAATTCCAGCCTGTTTTCATTTCCTTAACAGTGCACTACTGAGGGCCTTGGGTTACTTGCAGCTGATCCACAATTGACATACAAATAACTTCCAGTAGGGATAGAGCTTGAAAATATGCTCCCAGCAATCTTACCTAGGATTGTATTGTGCAGTTAGACACCAGGCTGGGTTATTATGCTATGCTGTGAGGCCAATGATTCTTATATATATTTCCCACTCCAGAACCTTTTAAAGTCAGAGATCACTTTACATGAAATGCACACCTGGTCCAAAAAAATGCCATTGAAATGCACCTTGGAAAATAATAGCTTAACGTGAACAATTCAAGTAAAAGCTGTCTTTCTTTTCCTCTTGTGAAAGCCATAAGAATTAAGTTTCATGTCTCCAGTTTCTGCCAGTATAATACTGAATTTAAGTTCTTGGGGATATTAGTTTAAGTAATGTACTAACTACTTCTGAAGGCTGAATTTCTAATGTATCTCAGAAACTGGATATGGGAAAAATAGAGTTTTATCTAGACGTGCATTTATTTCCAAAACTGGTGAGGCACAGCAGTTGAGTTCTCACTGGAGTGACCCATGCGAGACCTAAATATCCATTTCTGTCTGTTACATATTTTTATGTGCCTTAGGTTTTACAAAAATCCCTTGCTCCATATTTACCCAACTATAGAATATAATTAGAGTTTGACACTCACCTCCCCTTTGAGAAAAGGAACTGAGAAAATTCAGTTCTATGAAAGTTGAAATATTTTGTAGATATTTGTTTAATAAATATTGTTAGAGAAATTTTTCTAAATGGAATAGACGGTTTTTAATCCTAACTGGAATTCAGTACTTTTCAGCTACAAATCTGACATGATGTGATTGTGATTGGATTAGTTTCCTATTGCTGCTGTAACATTACCACCAGTTTCATGGCCTAAGACCACACACATGTATTATCTTACAGTTCCAGTGGTCAAAAGCCCAAAATGGGTCTCACTGGGCTGTTGTCAAGGCATCAATAGGGCTGTGTTCCTTCTGGAGGCTCTAGGAGATAACCTGTTTTCTTGCCTTTTACATCTTCTAGAAGCTTTCTGCATTCCTTGGCTTGTGGCGCCTTCCTCTGTCTTCCCAGCCAGCAATGGCCAGTCGAGTCTCTCTCATATCATATCACTGACAATGATTGACCTGTCATCCTCTTTCACTTATAAACACCATTGTGATTACATCGTGCCCACCCCCAGACAATCCAGGATAATCTCCCCATGTCAAGATCACAGCCGAGCATGGTGGCTCACACCTATAATCCCAGCACTTTGGGAGACCGAGGCGGGTGGATCACCTGAGGTCAGGAGTTAGAGACTAGCCTGGAGCCTGGCCAACATGGTGAAACCCCGTCTCTACTAAAAATACAAAAAGTTAGCCAGGTGTGGTGGCAGGCACCTGTAATCCCAGCTACTCAGGAGGCTGAGGCAGGAGAATCGCTTGAACCCGGGAGGCAGTGGTTACCGTGAGCTGAGATCACGCCATTGCACTGCAGCCTGGGTGACAAGAGTGAGACTCCGTCTCAAAAAAAAAAAAAAAAATCACATCTGCAAAGTCTTTTGCCATGTGCAGTAACCTGTGCACAAGTGCCAGGGAGCAGGACATAGACGTTTTGGGGAGGAGGGCACTATTCTGCCTACTGCAATGGTACTGAAGCAAAAGCAATTTTAAAGATTCTTAATATTTTCATCAGTTCGATAAATCAGAAGTGAACTCTTGAGGAGTCTTAAACATTTGGAGGAGGCTCTGTTGGAGAGCTGGCCCTTGCATGCCTCCACCACTATGTTGCTTAGCCATGACTTATCCCATTTCTTGAGGAAAGAGTAATGTGTTTTGGATCTGAGACACAGATGACTACATTCCCCTTGTCACCTTCACTTTGCCAATTCTCCATTTATTTCATTCTATAGAGACCTGACATATTGCCCTTAGAAACTGGCTACTCCCTAGAATACTGCCAATTTGGGGTTAGATGAGAACGATTATAAGATGGCTACTCAAAATAGTGCAGCTTGATTGAAGGTGTATTACAACATCCTCAGCAAATAATAAAAAATAGTGGATTAAAAAAAAAATTGCATTGGGGTTTTGTTTAAAAGGAGGTTACCCCTCCCTACATTGCTGTAGCATGGTGATTCTCTTTATTTTGGTCACTGTTATATTTCGTTCTGTTTGCAACACTATACTTCTATCAGCTGATGTGATGCAGCCAGCAGCTGCCCCCTTGTGTTAGAAATGTCCTATAGCTTAACCATGGAGAATCAGGACTTAATTCATTTACCCTGGCTCCTCCATTTCTTTCCCTGCCAACACAGCTGCAGCATAGCTCCTCCATCTAGAAACCTGGCAGCTATCCCAGCTGGAAGCTACCTGCCAACACTTTTCTGAAGACCAGCCAGAGGAGGAAGAACAGGAGGGCAGAGGGCTGAGGAGGGAGGCAAGAGAAGATGCAAATCTAATTGCACTGGCCTCCAGCCCTCTTCAGATCTCTGTGCTTCCAGAGGGGGTGACATACCATCAGCCATGACTGATCTTGCTTGTAAAAGTCCTATTTAGATGTAAGCACACTTCCCTGAGGTTTCAGATTCCAGAATTACCCTAATATTCCTCTTTACTTTGCAGTTATGCAGAACCAGGAACACCCCACTGACTGGAATAATGACCTCCCAGGCAGAAGAGTGGTGGATTGATGTTCTGATGTCTCTTTACCCTTATACTAGTCATTAAATTATGTACCTTCTTCTCACCTCCATAATGAGCCACAACGCTGTCCAACTTTTCTAGGAGAGGACCTCTTGTTAATGTCAAATTTTATACCATTCCCACATGATAGTAGTTGTACTTTTAGTATCTGTTGATTTTTAAAATATGTGATAAAAAGCACCTGAGTTCAATAAGATTTGGATTAAGTTTTATTTTAATCACACGGTATTGAATTACATTTGAAAATCAGCAAGGACGGGGACGCTGCAGTACCCTGTAAATACCAGTGAGATGAATAAAGAAAGTGCTTGGGGTGCATATGGATTCATGGACCTTTTTACAATAACTCAACACCCTAGAGAAGGAGTGGTTCACAGGCTGGGGCACCACTGGAGAGAAACAGGGGCCAAACTTGCTCAGTTTTGTGTGTGCATGGGCCGGGTCCAGGAGCAGCTCTGTGAGCTCCTTCCAAGTCTGTGCCCTTGGGAAAAGATCAGTGTTTAGATCAGGCCCACCCACAGGAAACCACACTGTTAAAATCCCTTCTTTCGTGGTTCTGAAATCTTCAAAATAAACAAAGCTACCCTGTAGGCTGGGACTTCAGTTGTATCCTTTTGGTTCATGTTACAAACTTTACAAGGAAAAGTGGCCTCATGGCAGCTGGAGCAAAGGAGGGAAATTAAGTAGACAAGACACTTCCTAGGACAGGCGGCTCTAGTCCAGGGGCCTCCCAAGGGGAGCGTGATTTCAAGTTTGCTGCTCTCCCACAAACGAGATGGTAGCTAAAGAAAAGGTAAATGAAGAGAGCTGGCTAGAAACAGAGGTGATAATTCAAGTACTTAGAAACCAGTAGGGCCTGGGTGTCAGTGCATTGGAATGATCCATGAGCCAGAGCTCCTAAAAAGGCCCTGAAGCACAGTCTTCTCCCCACTACCCTAAGGAGCAGGTATTAACCCTTTGGTTGCTGGATCAAGGGAAGGTGAGGGGTTCCAAGGTGGCTGGGGTGGTTGTACAGGGAGTGGATGCAGAGGCAACTTAGCAGCCAGTAAGGAAGCATTTCAATATTTAACAACTGGATATGCTACACCCCTGCATATTGGCAGCTGAAATCTGTAATCAAGAACTCGATGTGTCTCATAGAGGGTTTTGGAGCCATGGGGAGAAAATATTGACAAAATCCAGTTCCTTTGTTTCTCTCACTATTGCTCTAACTGGTTAAAACCTAGGCTCCCTTCTCCTGAGAAAATGACACCTTTAGATAAAAGCATCTCTTCCCGAGGTGGAAAAAGAGACTGCTATGACTGAGTGCCTACCGTGTGCCTACCCCGAGCTTGGAGTTTTATAAACATGTCTTCATTTTCCCCTGCGAGCACCACCTGGGTGGGTATTTATTACTCCCATCATACAGACGAGCAGCCTGGTGCCCAGGGTCACACGTCTGGTAAAAGGTGGATCCAAGCTCCACCCAAATCTCCCTGACTCCTGAGCTGGAACCTTCTTTCCCACCTCATCACACTACAGTTTTGAAGGTTTTCTTGTTAACATGTCAGTGATACAATTCTCCAGGTGGGCATTAGTGCTGTGCATTTTATCAAACAGGTCCACTGTATTCTTTCTAACCCTTCAAATGAGTCTTCTTATATAACAATATTTTCATTTTGTTTCCATTTATTAATTCAACTAGTAACTCTTTTTGAGAAGGAGTCTTGCTCTGTCACCCAGGCTGGAGTGCAGTGGTGCTATCTCGGCTCACTGCAAGCTCTGACTCCCGGGTTCACGCCATTCTCCTGCCTCAGCCTCCCAGGTAGCTGGGACTACAGGGGCCCACCACCATGCCCAGCTAATTTTTTTTGTATTTTTAGTAGAGACAGGGTTTCACCGTGTTAGCCAGGATCGTCTCGATCTCCTGACCTTGTGATCTGCCCACCGCAGCCTCCCAAAAGGCTGGGATTATAGGTGTGAGCCACCGCGCCCTGCCAACTAGTAACTCTTTAATCAATCTAATCACATTGAATTTATCACTTACAGTGGAGCAATGAATGAAGCCACATGTAACTTATTATTTGAAGTACATGCTTACCATACGTAACAAGGCCTTTCAGCTTTACCTGTTTCACATAGGCCTCCTGATATGGTTTGGCTGTGTCCCCACCCAAATCTCATCTTGTATTCCCATGTGTTGTGGGAGGGACTTGGTGGGAGGTAATTGAATCATGGGGGCAGGCCTTTCCTGTGCTGTTCTCGTGATAGTGAGTCTCACGAGATCTGATGGTCATGATTAGGGGGAGTTTTCCCGCACAAGCTCTCTCTTTGCCTGCTCCCATCCATGTAAGACATGACTTGCTCCTCCTTGCCTTCTGCTATGATTGTGAGGCTTCCCCAGCCACGTGGAACTGCAAGTCCAATAAGCCCTTTTTACTGTATAAATTACCCAGTCTAGGGTATGTCTTTATCAGCAGCATGAAAACAAGCTAATACACCTCCTTATTATCAAATATAAGCTATAGTTCAATTAAAAACATAAACATATGTACATATGCATAAACATTCCCCAAAAGATAACAGTTGTGGTAATTGTCAAAGTTTTCCTTGGATTTTCATCGAAAGCATTTTCCATGGAAATCAATTCCATGGGCTTGTTCATGTGAGCAATGCCTCACGATAGAGGTGATGTCTTTCCATTAAACATTTCCAACCCTCATTACACCTCAGCCTTTTTACCTCTACCATTTGTTGATAATGTAAGGTTATAAAAACCAACAAATACAAATCAATAACAATGTCCATTCCCAATTAATTTTATCTAACATTTGATACATGCTGGCAGGGCAATGAGTAAAGCCTTTCTTTGCGGGGAGTGAGGGTTTGTGGAGTAAAATGCCTTCGTTTCTAACCTTAGCCCTCCTGTTCCTTCCCAAGGTGTGCTCAGCCTCCTCCTGTGATGTATCTGGATTTCATCCTCCATGGTGAAAGGCAAAAGGCTGTTTATCTCTTCTCTGGTCTGTGTATGAAAGCTACATGAAAATGAGCATTGAAAGGGTTAAGTGCACTCTTCATGCAGAAAGACAAAACTTGTGGATTTTCTATTCCATTGGGTCCAAACAAGAAGAACGGTCTGTTGCTATTATTTTAGGATTCAACTCAATAGCTGATAAATTTGATTTCTTTCACACTCGGCAAAGACTTGAAACATTGTAGCCCCAGAATGGGAAGTCTCTTCTCCGAACTTATGAACATGTAACTCTTCAGTTCTCCCTCAACTTTATTAAGCATATTGAGTTTCAAAAGACATTCCTACTCTCCTTCTTCAATATCTTCTCTTTTTAAACGTTACTTTATTTTTTAAATGTATTATGCAGTTTTTAAGACTTTCAAAAAGGGATAAGGAAAACCAAACCAATACCTACGTATCTATCAAGCAGCTCAAGAAATACAACATTAGGAGCAGTTAAATCCACTATTTATGCTCACTGCCTTCTAGATAGAGTCTGTTACTTCCCAGAGGTCAATTCCTGAGAGCCTAGGGACCTGGGCATTGTCTTTGCCATCTTTGTGAGGCCCTGGAGATTCCCTTTATGTCTCTGGCTTCTATGTTGTCGAAGTCTAGGTTGACCTCGTGATTTTTGAGGCTGTGGGTTAGCCTTGCAATGTCTGGAACTTGGCTATGGGTTTTGAATGCTTTTCCTTGGGCCTTGTCGTCAGATGGAAGCGCACATAGCTTCCCATGGCCACCTCTTCCAGGATGTTCAATGAGAAGTCCCAAAGCCCCGCATGAGGATCAGCCTGAGAGGCCAAGGGAAGCTGACCAAGCTCTCTGAACTTGAAATGGACTAGACTCATAAAGGAGGAAGCAGTGCCACTGTTTCCTGGAGCCTCAGCCCCCTATGGGGACACCTTGTACTGACAGGGTGAGCCGGGCTGAGGCTGGGTTTGAGGGCAGGTCCAGCTGTCCTCTCACTTGGCCTCTTCTGAGCAGGGTTTCTCTTCCAGCCGTGGCACTGTCCTGGCTGGAGAGCTTCAGGGCAGTGTCTGCCCCATACCCTCATCTGGGCTCTGAGATGGCTTCGTGGGTCATTTTTGGTGAAGGGGGAGCTCAGAATATTTGCATTATTTTGTGGACATTGGTCTTGACTAAGAATAACTAAGAATTGAAGGCCCAGGGGTCTTAAAGATAAGAAAAAAATGCAAAAACTTAAGGAGTCATTTGCCCTGTTGCTCCTGGATATTGCAGCCAAATAAACACATTCCCAAATTTATTTATGTTGCAGACCAGTCATTTTTCCTTATACAGGAATCTTATTAAAGCAATAAATCAATGTTAACCTGGGTTTTAAATTGGCCCAATATGTTTGGAGAAATTGCTGGTTTAATTTTCCTCTTTTTCATTTTTCAATTAACTAATTTAGCTTTCCCAGTTGGGATACCACAAACCTTAACACATGAATTTATCTTGAAACCAGGAGGCCCCAACATACATTGCCAGCAAAACAAAAGAGGAAAACCCAACATTTGTCCTGTCATGAGACAGCAAAGAAGCACGGGTCCAGAAAATATCTATCTTTGTTGCTGCAAACTACCTAAGCCTAAGCTCTGTGAAGCAGCCTCAACTGCCTGTAGACTCCCCTGAATACTCTTTCTGAATTTTCTCCACATTCACTGTGACTAAAAGTTTCCAGAGCATCTCTGTTGTAGACTGAATGTTTATATCCCTCCTACTTCCCCAAAACTCATATGTTGAAGCCCTGACCCCTGATGTGACTGTATTTGGAGACAGGGCCTTTACAGAAGTAATTAAGGTTAAATGAGGCTATAGGATGGGGCTCTGATCTAATAGGATTGGTGTCCTTAAGAGACACCAGAGAGCTTGTTTACTCTCTGAGTGTACAAGAAGAGGTCGTATGGGCACACAATGAGATGGTGGCCACCTGCGAAGAGAAGAGGCCTCAGAATGAAACCCACCCTTCTGGCACCTTGATCTTGGATTTCCAATCTCCAGAACTGTGAGAAAATAAACTTTTGTTCTTCAAGCCATGCAATTTCTACTATTTTGTTACGACAGCCCAAGCTGACTAAACAGTTACCCAGCAATGTTTTCCCAGGAACACTGTGAAAACTGCTGGTGCCCTGCCATCCGCCTGGGAGTGCTTAGTACCCCAGCATACATGTACAACTGGACGGATCTCAGCCAAGGGACCTCATCACCCACCACAGCTTCGCTATATTATAACACAGTCCAAGACTCCAGAGTATGAATGGGCCCAGATAGCAAAGCAAGCTTCTTTCCCACCAACCTCAGAGCAAAATGTGTATGTGAGAGTGTGTGTCTGTTGGGGAGGGGAGACTTTTGCAATGGACCAATCCTCCAAGTGTCCTCAACTTCATGGGTGCGTTGTGATTTGTTCTCCACCCTGAAGCCTGCAACTTGGACTTGTGAGACCTGGCCTTAGGAAAATACAGGCTCAGTGAATGCTAAGTTTGTGGGGAAGCTGTTTTGTAGAGTCAAAAGAACACCGGCTTTGGAGTCAGACAAAGCTAGGTTCAAATTCCAGCTTTTTAGTGCATTGACCAAAATAGTAAAAGTAAGGACTCATTGTCTAAACTAATAGAGCTGACAAATCCAGGCATGTGTTTTGCCTTCAGGAACAGCTACATCCAGGCACTCAAAAGACATCATTGGAAATCTATTTCCTTCTCTCTTTCTGCTCCAGTGATTTCTCTATTGGCCTCATTCTGAGGACAGTGCTTCCTCAGCAGCTCCAGACTCACATGATGAATGGAGGAAGAAGGTCTCTGCCAAGATTTATAACACAGGTCTTGGTGAGGCTGCTGATTGGTGAATCCTAAGTCACATGTACACTCTTGCAGGGAGGTTGGGGTGGGAGAGGGAAGTAATCGATCTCATTCAACTTCAGGAAAGGTGGTGCTGTTACTTAAGGATAAAGGGATGCTGGGCAGGAAAAAAATAACACATGTCTGTATAGACACTGTGGAGCTCTGTGACTCTGAGCAAGTTATTTAACCTCTCTGATCCTCAAGTTCCCCCTTTGCAAAATGGCTAAACCAGTGTCTACCATGTTTAAAGTTATGAATATTATATGTACTCCTAGCATAGCTCAAGACACAGAAAGGACTCTCTCCCTCTTCCTTTTACCTGCCCCTCTCCTGGAGACCTGGGGAAGCTTAAGGAGTTTGGATTGTATTGAAAGTGTCATGCTGTTTCAGGCTGGACAGGCCTTGGATGGTGCAAAAACTTCAGAACCCACTCAGTGGGGCTTTTATGTCAGGGGTTGGTTCCACTAGGGAAAGGTTGCCTCAGGGCAGAGTGGGGCTCTGAGGATTCCCTGGCTGGCGCAGCTCTGGGACATCCAAGTGGGTTGACAGAGTCCTTTCAAAGGCAGTTTTCTGACAGGAGAGCTCAGAATAGCCAACAGGAAACTTTCTGTTATACTCTGGAATTAAAACCAAGCCTCTCACTGCGTGTATTACTGTCCTGTAAACAGTAGACAGTCCCTGTCAGACCTGTGGGGTTTCTCACCCAAACAACCACTGCACTACCTGAATTGAGCCTGTGAACTCTAAAGAATCCTAATGAAAATATACCACCACAAATGCTCCAAAGAGCCTGCTTTAACACACTGGAATCATGTACCTGCCCAGCTGGTGACAGGGTTAAAACTGCCAAATTTGTCTTTCCCACTGCTACCTGCGCTCCCTTCCTAACCATCCACACCAAACTTTGTGATTCCTTTATTTATAGGTTAAAAGACTGTGGGCACCTGTGCCCTCAGCTCTGTCTAGATTTATGATGAGCCAAACGGGAGGCTGGAACCACCTGCCAGCCTCACTAACACCCACTGGAAGGAGGTCTAGCAACTTAGTAGCCCACTTTTGCCCTGATGCTGCATTTTTAAAGGTCACCTACAGATTCTGAGGAAATCCAAAAGAGACTAAAAAATATATATAATTTAATAGATTTTTTTAAGAGTTTCATCACTTAGTTTCTTTGGCTCCATCTTGATTTATTCTGGGACATTGCCACAGGACCTTGCTTTGATAGCTGCTATAGAGGATATCAAGACCTCTCCTTATATCTCTACAGAGTCTCAACAATGCCTTTCTCACCTCAGCAAGCTGCTGTGCAATTAAACGAGATATATTAAAGTGTTGTGAGCGCTTTGCTGGAAAAGTTCTGTAATCCAAAGATAGCATTATGATTAGTGGCAGTGAATATGATATTTTCTCTTTGGGCAATCAGTGGCTTAGTTAGAACAGTGGATAATTCATGGGCAACACAAGATGGTTCTGTTAATAACTTGGGGTTAAGCTCAAGCTTTAGAATGGAAATGTGCTACAAAGCAGTTTTGGTATGGGCACATAAGTGTTGTTGGGACCATCACCTCCATCAGAGATGGTGATTTTGGGTAAAATTGCCAAAGTTGAGGTGGTTCACAAAGGTCTTTGTGTAAATGCAGACAAATGGTGTATCACCGTAAAGGGAAACTCATATCAATGGGCCTGACTTGACTCCCTTTTGAGGGGTCCAAACAGCTTCTAATTTATGTAATTTACGTCTTTTATTTAAAATCCATTTCCTCAGTACAGTTGTATCATGCATGGTAATTGTAGGATTGCTAATTTTTAAAGAGCTTCCTTTGATAGAGTGAGGAAAAGCCCTGTATACACCAGGGAGAGTGTGAATTGGTACAACTTCTTTCAAAAATGATTTTGCAATATCTGGCCAAATGTAAAATGCAAAACTCCTATAACACAGTGTGAAAGACAAATAAAAACTCAGGACCCCGATTCACTATGCCAAAAGGAAAAAATTAAGATGAAAGCTGAGTCATACAAGAAGCTGCCCTTCCTTTTGTTCCTAAGCAGATAAAAGGTTAACTATCTCCACAGGTATGTTCACCTTATCTGATAATAAATTGCCGACTTACTGAGCATGAGACAAATGCGTAATTGATTATTCCCCTACCTGCTCCTTTTCCCTTGCAATGTGTGGATGCCCATACCCTCTCTCTTACTCCTCCACCCCACTTTTCCCCTTTAAATATTGAAACCCTCAAATTCACTTTTGGAGAAAGGCACAGACGACAGACTGTCTCTGTGATTCTGTGTTGTTTTCTTTCTCCTGGCCATGTCCTTAACCTTGGCAAAATAAACTTCTAAATTGATTGAGACCTGTCTCATATACTTTTTGGTTTACAAATTGTCAAGCATGAAGGGACTTTGAGTGGAGGTGGTCCTGACCTTTGACAAATCTCCCAGTGGTGTTTGATACCAGCTTGGGGTATCTTTATTGCTCAAACCAACAGGACAATTTGCTGATGTCTGGGAGGTGCCCCCTCCAGAGAATCCCTGATCCTCCAAAGTTTGGTTGAGATCTCCAAAGTTGGGTTTGCTCTTCAACTCCTTTTCTGGAGGTTTACTCACTTCCAACAAGGAAGGTGAGTTTTCCTGCTTCTGTGATGATAAAGGGCAGGCAATTCCTTTCCGGTGTTTCAGCTCACTT
Source organism: Homo sapiens (assembly GCF_000001405.40). Classification (NCBI taxonomy): domain Eukaryota; kingdom Metazoa; phylum Chordata; class Mammalia; order Primates; family Hominidae; genus Homo; species Homo sapiens. The sequence goes on from NC_000014.9 coordinate 56,431,787, forward strand.
CCAATAGGGAAAGCGAGTTTGAGTTTTTTCCTGTTTCTAAGATGGTAGAGAGCAGTCTTGAGCCTGGGCAACAATCTTAGGTAAGTAGCCGAACTGGGGTTTTGTCTTGAAAATTCTCCACAATGACTAAAAGTTAAGGTTGACCACCAGCTGATCTTCATTTCTCCTTACCATTAAATCACTCAATAATTTTTTTTTTGGTAGGTTGTTCCATCTTTCTCCCATCAGATTTGATCAACTCTACCTGACTTGGTCAAATCTTAAGGAGAATTCCAAATTATGGGGAGCAAGGCCTCTGGGTAAAATTCCTTGCAGCTGCAAAAACAAAAAAACAAACAAAACAACAACAACAAAAAATGAACCCATACAGTTGGTTTCTCTGTTCTCTTTCTTCCTTCCTTTCCTTCCTTCCTTCCTTCCTTCCTTCCTTCCTTTCCTTTCCCTTTCCTCCCTCCCTTCTCCCTTTCTTTCTTTCTTTTTCTTTCTTTCCTTTTTTTCCTTTCCTTTCTTTCTTACTTTTCTTTCTACTTTTCTTTTCTTTCTCTCTTTTTTTTTGGATGGAATCTTGCTATATCACCCAGGCTGGAGTGCGGTGGTACGATCTTGGATAACTACAGCCTCTGCTTCCTGTGTTCAAACAATTCTCCTGCCTCAGCCACCCAAGTAGCTTGGACTGCAGGTGAACGCCACCACACCCAGCTAATTTTGTATTTTTAGTAGAGATGGGGTTTCACCATGTTGGTCAGGCTGGTCTCAATCTCCTGACCTCAAGTGATCCACCCACCTCGGCCTCCCAAAGTGCTGGGATGACAGACAGGAGCCACCGTGCCTGGCTTTCCTTTCTTAAAAAAAAATTGTTCTTTTTTTCATTATTATTTTTAATTTTTTCATTATTTTTTCCCACCCTATTCTTCCTTCCCTTTTGCCATCTTCAGTACCAAGTGAAAAAAATCTAGAGAGGGCTTCTAAAGACTCAAGCCCCTTAAAGAATTGAGAATAAAGGCACCATTCATCTCTGTTTTGGATGTTCTGCTTTCTTTGGGGAGTTTCTAGAGTCATGGACATATTCTTCTCAGATCTAAAGCTCTGCTTTTTTGCATGGTGTTACCTGACCTCTTTGGCTTTTGGGGGCACCTGAGATTACCTAGTACTGTGAGGGGATTTGACCTTGGCATGTGTAATAGATAAGAGCTACAATGTTAGGGGAAGTTGAGGACAGTTTACAGAAAATGGTCATTACTACAGGAGGCTACTAGTTTTTTGCATGCTTAGATTAGAAAATTGTACATGCTTTCTTGATCCTGTTTCCTAAAGGTCTCCACCCTAAAGCCAGTAATCTAATCAAGCTAAATTGAAACCACAACCTATCAAACTAAGTCACTTTAATAAAACTCTTTGTAAGGGAAATACATGTCTTTAAAGGAAATCTCCATTTTGTAAGGGCATCTCTGTCTCTGCACCTAAACCACTAGGAAATTTAGGGGGAAAGACAGTAGCTTGAAGTTTACATAACAGACCTTGCATTTGTTTAGACTTACGTCTGCGACTTTGAATTTTCTACCTTGCTTCACTTAAGTCATGTCTTTGGAGATGAAAATTTAGAGTTGCCTAATTAACTATTGTTTAGGACATGGAACAGATAATCAAGAGATTAATAGTCTAAAGTAGGGAAGAGAAATTTTTTGAAAACAGGTAAATGAAAAATTTTAAATCTGTAAAATTCACCTCTGTCTGAGCTTGCTATGTCTGTATGTTTATAAAGTCAGGTAGAAATAATATTTCACTACCAATTAGAAGAAAGAGCTCTCATTAATTGACTTTTAAAAAATAAGCATTTATCAGACCAATAGAAGCTAACTCAGAGGCTTTTCAGTTCACATGACTTCAGTATTTTTTGGTAAGATTAATTTGGTATATTTAGTTTCAAAATTCTCCCCAGTAATTTAAAATCTTAAAGTCATGTTACTTTTTTATTTTAATTTTTTTGGGTACATGGTAGGTATACACATATATTCATGTGATATTTTGGTATAGGCATGCATTGTGTAATAATCATATCATGGAAAATGGGGTATCCATTCCTCAAGCATTTATTCTTTGTGTTATAAACCAATTATACTCTTTTAGTTATTTTTAAATGAACAGTTAATTTATTTTGACTATAGTCACCCTGTTGTGCTATCAAATACTAGGTCTTATTCATTCTTTCTATTTTTTTGTACCCATTAACCATCCCCACCTCTGCTACACCCCCTCATGTTGTGATCAATTAAGTGATCCTACCTTTTTCACTAGGAATTAAGGTTACTAAGAGTTAGAATAGTGGGAGGGTAAGATGTGTTTTGGTAAACTTTGTGAAAAAAAAACAGAGAATGTGGTTTTTGTTTAAGAAAATGTAACTTTTCTAGTTTAGAAGGCCTTTCTACTGGTGTTGAGATAAAAACCACTGTTTGCATCCAAGCATTTTTTTTTTTGTAAACTTGTAAATTTGTATTGATATCTCATGGCTACAGTTCCAAAGTAAAAGCTATAGAATCTTTATTTGTATGAGTAAGTGTGCATGTGTGCTTAGGTGTATTTAAATGTACGTATATGTGTTTTGTTACGTGTTATGGCCATAAGGTACCAAATTGGCTTAAAAATAAAGGAATATTCATAAATTAAGTAAATAAGCCCAAATACTTTTCAAGTTCAAGCTACTTAAGTAAATTTTTAATCAATAAGCTGGCTCTTAAATAATTGGTAAAATGAAATGAGAATGGATTCAGAATTGTCAACATATATTATTTTTTTGATTTATTGGCCAAGCAGTTTTATATTTATCTGTGCTAAATATTATCAGATGTCAAGATTTGACATGAGGGTTATAAAGCTCTAAATGAAGCCCAAAAGAAGATTATCATGTAATTTTTTGATAAATAGGTATGTAATATTATCAATTTAATAAAAAATAGCTAAATCCTGTCTTACTAAAAAAAAAGCCACATTTACTTAACCTTAAATTTCTTACTTAGGTTAGCAACTGAAATTCACAGACTATAAAAAATGGTTAACAAGAAAATAACTTTAAATGATGACAATCACAGTTTTCATAAGTAATCTAGGTAAATTAATTTTTACAAAACGTAATTAGGTTAATATAACAATAAGTGGTTGTAAAACAAATGTATATATAATAATTTAGAATCTACAGTTAAATTAAATCATAGATATTCATTAAATGTTAGGGTCACCTAGCTTTTTAAAACAATTACAGGAAAATATTTTTCTAAAAAACAATATGTTCTTATTAAAAGGGAATAGTTTGTCTAATTCAAAGGTTATTTAAAGGTTATTTATAAAACAAGGTAAAATGAACCAGTAAATAAGAAAGATGTAAAGAAAGATAAGTACAAAGTAATACTTTTGGTAAGAAAGGTTAAAAGGAAAATAATTTTACATGAGAAGGAATCGTGTGGTAAAATTTTTGTCTTAAAACAAAATAATTGGTTATTTAAGAAAGAGGGATGTTTAGGATAAAACAGGAAGTCCAAGGGTGTCATAAATGGTTTGTATAAGTCATAATAAGGTTTGTAAAAAGACAATTTATGGAAAAAACACTTTATGTAATCAAGCTGGTTATAATTAAATTACTTACAATAGTCTTTCTAGAGATTGGGCTTTTATATTAAAAATACACTGAAGAATGGGTTAGAACAACAAAATTTTCTTAAGGTATTGATTTACTCTTCATAAAATGACAAGAGATTTTAATTTTTAACCCAAAAGTTTAATTTTTATTGTGTCTCACTGTTTTCAGCTTTCTCCCCCCATCAAGAAGGCCTGATATAATAACTCTCTTCTTCAACATTTTTGTCAGCTCCTGTAACTTTTTTCCTTCAGATTCTAACTGATGTTGTGGACTGATGCTAAAAATGTTTTATTTTAAAGGTCTAAAGGAAATGTCTTTTTCCAATGTAACGTCCTGTGCACGTGGCTTTAAATTCTTATATAAAATAGAAAACTGTCACTTAGGACACGGGACACACTCTTCCTACGTCTAAGTAAGTCAAGCCATTTTCATAAATTTTAACTTGCAGCCTATCTAAATGGACTCCCCGTAGGGAAAAGCAATCACATTTCAGAAGGTCTTTTGTTTGTTTGTTTGCCTTGTGGTAACTGGCTTAACAAATAGATTTTATATTTTATTGAAATAATTTCTACATCATTGTTATTAAGTTTTTTTATTTGCCTAGAAAAGCTGAAATTAAAAAGTTGAGTTTATTACATCCATGTAATTTTCTGTATTGCTTTTAAAGTATTTGTGTTAAGTTATAGAGCTTTGACTCCTCAGTCTAAAAGGGACACCAAGTCCTGCTAAATCTTAAACACTGACAGCAGTTAAGGTCTCATCCTCAGATCCAAGAGAAGATGACAATCAAAATAAGCCAAATTCATGAGACACAGGGTCAGAAATTAAAACTAACCCCTGTAGACCCGAGGACTATTGCAGAAGAGGTGGGAGCATGAGATTGTAAGGGTCGATTTTGAGAAATAAAATTAGTTCAGAATTTCTGTATAAATTAAACATTAATATCAAAGGCACAGTGATGCAAGACCAGCATCTGGGCCCCTATGTCAGATTAACAATGTTTTCTTGGAGCATTAACTTACTCTTTAATAAAAGCAATTACAAAAGGTTATAAAAAGGTTTATAGAAATTGCATCTTGTGGTCAAGATGATTAAAATTTAATAGATTTATTTATAAGATTTGAGAGACAGATTTAATTAGCCTCATTCTATCTTTATTAGGGCTTACTGTTTGGAAAGTAAGTCTCTTTCAAAGAATAAAGACTTTTGCCTTTTTTGAAATCTTTGAGTTGTCACTTTGGTTAAATGAATGACTTATTTCACAATGACCTGTGACCCTATTTTGTGATAATTAGGTGTTTTAAACTTTTGATATTTGATAAACTTTCCAAAATCAAATTCTAAATTTTGCCTTTTTGACCTCATTAATTTTTTGATATACGGTCCCTGAAGTCCAAAAGGGACGTATTTGGCTCATTTGGTATACTAAAATCATACAGGAAGAATTGTCAAGTATGAAATGGTGTTAACCTTCTTTAGATTAGGTTTATATAACTGTATTATTAGTAAGTGTTCCAAAATTTTATGAGATCTTGTGATTCTAATATGTCTTAGTATATCTTATCAGTAGTAATTATGATTGTTATGTAAATTGTTTTATGCCACAGAAGTAACCAAATTTCCTTGTTAATCGTGTATTGTTTTTTATTATTTTTATTTTTCCATAAGTTATTGGGGTATTGGGGTATAGGTGGTATTTGGTTACATGTGTAGTTCTTTAGTAGTGATTTGTGAGATTTTGGTGCACCTCTCACCCTAGCAGTATACACTGCACCATATTTGTAGTCTTTTATCTCTCACCACCCCCCAACTCTTCCCCCCAAGTCCCCAGATTCCATTGTATCGTTCTTATACCTTTGTGTCCTCATAGCTTAGCTCCCACATATCAGTGAGAACATACAATGTTTGGTTTTCCATTCCTGAGTTACATCACTTAGAATAATAATCTCCAATCTCAACCAAGTCACTGCAAACATGGTTAATTCATTCCTTTTATGGCTGTGTAGTATTCCATCATATATCATATATATATACACACACACCACAGTTTCTTTATCTACTTGTTGGTTAATGGGCATTTGTGTTAGTTCCACGATTTTGCAATTGTGAATTGTGCTGCTATAAACATGTGTGTGCAAGTATCTTTTTTGAATAATGACTTATTTTCCTCTGCGTAGATACCCAATAGTGGGATTGCTGGATCAAATGGTAGTTCTACTTTTAGTTCTTTAAGGAATCTCCACACTGTTTTCCATAATGGTTGTAGTAGTTTACATTTCCACCAGCAGTGTAGAAGTGTTCCTTGTTCACTGCATCCATGCCAACATCTACTGTTTTTTGATTATGGCCATTCTTGCAGGAGTAAGGTAGTATCGCATTGTGGTTTTGAGGTGCATTTCCCTGATCATTAGCGATGTTGAGCATTTTTTTATATGATTGTTGGCCATTTGTGTATCTTCTTTTGAGAATTGTCTATTCATGTCCTTAGCCCACTTTTTGGTGGGATAATTTGTTTTTTTGTTACTGATTTGTTTGAGTTTGTTGTAGATTCTGGATATTAGTCCTTTGTCAGATGTATAGATTGTGGAGATTTTCTCCCACTCTGTGGGTTGTCTTTTTACTCTGCAGACTGTTCCTTTTATTGTGCAAAAGCTCCTTAGTTTAATTGGGTCCCAGCTATTTATCTTTGTTTTTATTGCATTTGTTTTTGGGTTCTTGGTCATGAAATCCTTGCCTAAGCCAATGTCTAGGAGGCTTTTTCCAATATTATCTTCTAGAATTTTTATAGTTTCAGGTCTTAGGTTTAAGTCCTTAATCCATCTTGAGTTGATTTTTGTATAAGGTGAGAAATGCAGATCCAGTTTAATTCTCCTACAGGTGGCTAGCCAATTATCACAGCACCATTTGTTGAAAAGGGTGTCCTTCGCCCATTTTATGTTTTTGTTTGCCATGTCGAAGATCAGTGGGCTATAAGTATTTGGGTTTATTCCTGGGTTCTCTATTCTGTTCCACTGGTCTACGTGCCTATTTTTATACTAATACGATGCTGTTTTGGTGACTATGGCCTTATAGTATAGTTTGAAATCAGGTAGCGTGATGCCTCCAGATTTGTCCTTTTTGCATACTCTTGCTTTGGCTATGTGAGCTCTTTTTTGGTTCCATATGAATTTTAGAATTGTTTTTTCTAATTCTGTGAAGAATGTTGGTGATAGTTTGATGGGGATTGCACGGAATTTGTAGATTGCTTTGGCAGTATGGTCCTTTTCACAATGTTGATTCTACCCATCCATGAGTATGGGATGTGTTTCCATTTGTTTGTGTCATCTATGACTCCTTTCAGCAGTGTTTTGTAGTTGTCTTTGTAGAGGTCTTTCAACTCCTTTGTTAGGTATATTCCTAAGTATTTTATTTTATTTTTTTTCCAGCTATTGTAAAAGGGGCTGAGTTCCTGATTTGATTCTCTACCTGGTCACTGTTGGTATATAGAAGAGCTACTGATTTGTGTACATTAATCTTGTATCCGGAAACTTTGCTGAATTCTTTTATCAGTTCTAGGAGCTTTCTAGGGGAGTCTTTAGGGTTTCAAGATAAACAATCATATTGTCAGCAAACAGTGACAGTTTGACTTCCTCTTTACCAATTTGGATGCCCTTATTTCTTTCTCTGGTCTGATCAGTCTGGCTAGGACTTCCAGTACCATGCTGAAGAAGAGTGGTGAGAATGGGCATCCTTGTCCTGTTCCAGTTCTCAGAGGGAATGCTTTCAACTTTTCCCCATTCGGCATTATGTTGGCTGTGGGTTTGTCATAGATGGCTTTTATTACATTAAGGTATGTCCCTTGAATGCCGATTTTACCGAGAGTTTTAATCATAAAGCAATGCTGGATTTTGTCTAATGCTTTTTCTGCATCTATTAAGATGATCATGTGATTTTTGTTTTTATTCCTGTTTATGTGGTGTATCACATTTATTGACTCATGTATGTTAAATCATCCCTGCATCCCTGGTATGAAACCCACTCGATCGAGGTGGCTTATCCTTTTGATATGTTGTTGAATTCAGTTAGCTAGTATTTTGTTAAGGATTTTAGCATCTATGTTTGTCAAGGATATCAGTCTGTAGTTTTCCTTTTTGGTTATGTCCTTTCCTGATTTTGGTATTAGGGTGATGCTGGCTTCATAGAATGAATTATGGAGGGGTTCTTCTTTCTCTATCTTGTGGAATAGTGTCAAGAGGATTAGTACCAATTCTTCTTTGAATGTCTGGTCGAATTCTGCTGTGAATCCATCTGGTCCGGGACTTTTTTTGTTGGTAATTTTTTAATTACCATTTCAATCTCACTGCTTCTTATTGGTCTGTTCAGGGTATCTAATTCTTCCTGATTTAAGCTAGGAGGGTTGTATTTTTCCAGGAATTTATCCATCTCTTCTAGATTTTCCAGTTTGTGTGTAAAAGTGTTCATAGTAGCCTTGAATGATCTTTTGTATTTCAGTGGTGTCAGTTCTAATATCCCCTGTTTCATTTCTTAATGAGGGTATTTCGATTTGCTCTCTTTTTTTCCTGGTTAATCTTGCCAATGGTCCATCAGTTTTATTTATCTTTTCAAGGAACTAGCTTTTTGTTTCATTTATCTCTTGTATTTTTTTGTTTCAATTTCATTTCATTATGCTCTGATCTTGGTTATTTCCTTTCTTCTGCTGGGTTTGGGTTTGGTTTATTCTTGTTTCTCTAGTTCCTTGACACATGACCTTATATTGTCTGTGCTCTTTCAGACTTTTTGATTTAGGCGTTTAGGGCTATGAACTTTCCTCTTAGGACCGCCTTTGATGTAGCCCAGAGGTTTTGATAGGTTGTGTCATTATTGTCATTCAGTTCAAAAAGTTTTTTAATTTCCATTTTGATTTTCTTTTTGACCCAATACTCATTCAGGAGCAGGTTATTTGATTTCCATGTATTTGCCTGGTTTTGAAGGTTCGTTTTGGAGTTGATTTCCAGTTTTATTCCACTGTGGTCTGAGAGAGTACTTGGTATAATTTCAATTTTCTTAAATTTATTGAGGCTCATTTTACGGCCTATCATATGGTCTATCTTGGAGCGTTCCATGAGCTGTCGAATAGAATGTGTATTCTGCAGTTGTTGGATGAAATGTTCTGTATATATCTGCTAAGTCCATTTGTTCCAAGGTATAGTTGAAATCCATTGTTTCTTTGTTGACTTTCTGTCTTTATGACCTGTCTAGTGCTGTCAGTGTGGAGTATTGAAGTTCTCCACTATTATTATGTTGCTATCTATCTCATTTCTTAGGACTATTAGTAATTGTTTTATAAATTTGGGAGCTCTTGCATTGAGTGCATATATATTTAGGATTGTGATATTTTCCTGTTGAACAAGGCCTTTTACTATTATATGCTGTCCCTCTTTGTCTCTTTTAACCACTGTTGCTTTAAAGTTTGTTTTGTCTGATATAAGAATAGCTACCCCTGCTTGCTTTTGCTGTCCATTTCCATGAAATGCCTTTTTCCACCCCTTTACTTTAAGTTTATGTGAGTCCTTACATGTCACGTGAGTCTCCTGAAGGCAGCAGATAGTTAGTTGGTGACTTCTTACTCATTCTACAGTTCTGTATCTTTTAAGTGGAGCATTTAGGCCATTTACATTCAACGTTAATATTGAAATGTGAGGTGCCATTGCTTTCATCATGCTCTTTGTTGCCTGTGTACTTTGTGTCTGTTGTTGTTGTTTTTGTTGTTTTGTGTTTGCTTTTTAACTTGTATTTTTGTTTTACAGATCCTGTGTGATTTTTGCTTTAAAGAGGTCCTGTTTTGATGTGTTCCCAGGATTTGTTTCAAGATTTGGAGCTTCTTTTAGCAGTTCTTGTAGTGGTGCCTTGGTAATGACGAATTCTGTCAGCATTTCTTTGTCTGAAAATGACTGTATCTTTCCTTCATCTATGATGCTTAGTTTCACTGGATACAAAATTGTTGGCTGATAATTGTTTTGTTTGAGGAGGCTGAAGATAGGTCCCCAGTCCCTTTTAACTTGTAGGGTTTCTGCTGAGAAATCTGCTGTTAATCTGACAGATTTTCCTTTGTAGGTTACCTGGTGCTTCTGTCTCACAGCTCTTAACATTCTTTCCTTTGTCTTGACTTTGGGCAACCTGATGACAATCTGCCTAGGTGAAGATATTTTTTGTGATGAATTTCCCAGGTGTTCTTTGTGCTTCTTGTATTTGGATGTCTAGGTGTCCTTAATGGCCAGAGAAGTTTTCCTTGATTATTCCCCCAAATATGTTTTCCAGGCTTTTAGAATTCTCTTCTTCCTCAGGTACACCAATTATTCGTAGGTTTTGTCATTTAACATAATCCCAGACTTCTTGGAGGCTTTGTTCCTATTTTCTTTTTTTTTTTTTTTTTTAATTATACTTTAAGTTTTAGGGTACATGTGCACATTGTGCAGGTTAGTTACATATGTATACATGTGCCATGCTGGTGCGCTGCACCCACTAACTCGTCATCTAGCATTAGGTATATCTCCCAATGCTACCCCTCCCCCCCTCCCCCCACCCCACCACAGTCCCCAGAGTGTGATATTCCCCTTCCTGTGACCATGTGATCTCATTGTTCAATTCCCACCTATGAGTGAGAATATGCGGTGTTTGGTTTTTTGTTCTTGCGATAGTTTACTGAGAATGATGGTTTCCAATTTCATCCATGTCCCTACAAAGGACATGAACTCATCTTTTTTTTATGGCTGCATAGTATTCCATGGTGTATATGTGCCACATTTTCTTAATCCAGTCTATCATTGTTGGACATTTGGGTTGGTTCCAAGTCTTTGCTATTGTGAATAATGCCGCAATAAACATACGTGTGCATGTGTCTTTATAGCAGCATGATTTATAGTCATTTGGGTATATACCCAGTAATGGGATGGCTGGGTCAAATGGTATTTCTAGTTCTAGATCCCTGAGGAATCGCCACACTGACTTCCACAATGGTTGAACTAGTTTACAGTCCCACCAACAGTGTAAAAGTGTTCCTATTTCTCCACATCCTCTCCAGCACCTGTTGTTTCCTGACTTTTTAATGATTGCCATTCTAACTGGTGTGAGATGGTATCTCATAGTGGTTTTGATTTGCATTTCTCTGATGGCCAGTGATGATGAGCATTTTTTCATGTATTTTTTGGCTGCATAAATGTCTTCTTTTGAGAAGTGTCTGTTCATGTCCTTCGCCCACTTTTTGATGGGGTTGTTTGTTTTTTCCTTGTAAATTTGTTTGAGTTCATTGTAGATTCTGGATATTAGCCCTTTGTCAGATGAGTAGGTTGTGAAAATTTTCTCCCATGTTGTAGGTTGCCTGTTCACTCTGATGGTAGTTTCTTTTGCTGTGCAGAAGCTCTTTAGTTTAATTAGATCCCATTTGTCAATTTTGGCTTTTGTTGCCATTGCTTTTGGTGTTTTGGAGATGAAGTCCTTGCCCACGCCTATGTCCTGAATGGTAATGCCTAGGTTTTCTTCTAGGGTTTTTATGGTTTTAGGTCTAACGTTTAAATCTTTAATCCATCTTGAATTGATTTTGTATAAGGTGTAAGGAAGGGATCCAGTTTCAGCTTTCTCCATATGGCTAGCCAGTTTTCCCAGCACCATTTATTAAATAGGGAATCCTTTCCCCATTGCTTGTTTTTCTCAGGTTTGTCAAAGATCAGATAGTTGTAGGTATGTGGCGTTATTTCTGAGGGCTCTGTTCTGTTCCATTGATCTATATCTCTGTTTTGGTACCAGTACCATGCTGTTTTGGTTACTGTAGCCTTGTAGTATAGTTTGAAGTCAGGTAGTGTGATGCCTCCAGCTTTGTTCTTTTGGCTTAGGATTGACTTGGCGATGCGGGCTCTTTTTTGGTTCCATATGAACTTTAAAGTAGTTTTTTCCAATTCTGTGAAGAAAGTCATTGGTAGCTTGATGGGGATGGCATTGAATCTGTAAATTACCTTGGGCAGTATGGCCATTTTCACGCAATTGATTCTTCCTACCCATGAGCATGGAATGTTCTTCCATTTGTTTGTATCCTCTTTTATTTCCTTGAGCAGTGGTTTGTAGTTCTCCTTGAAGAGGTCCTTCACATCCCTTGTAAGTTGGATTCCTAGGTATTTTATTCTCTTTGAAGCAATTGTGAATGGGAGTTCACTCATGATTTGGCTCTCTGTTTGTCTGTTGTTGGTGTATAAGAATGCTTGTGATTTTTGTACATTGATTTTGTATCCTGAGACTTTGCTGAAGTTGCTTATCAGCTTAAGGAGATTTTGGGCTGAGATGATGGGGTTTTCTAGATAAACAATCATGTCGTCTGCAAACAGGGACAATTTGACTTCCTCTTTTCCTAATTGAATACCCTTTATTTCCTTCTCCTGCCTGATTGCCCTGGCCAGAACTTCCAACACTATGTTGAATAGGAGCGGTGAGAGAGGGCATCCCTGTCTTGTGCCAGTTTTCAAAGGGAATGCTTCCAGTTTTTGCCCATTCAGTATGATATTGGCTGTGGGTTTGTCATAGATAGCTCTTATTATTTTGAAATACGTCCCATCAATACCTAATTGATTGAGAGTTTTTAGCATGAAGGGTTGTTGAATTTTGTCAAAGGCTTTTTCTGCATCTATTGAGATAATCATGTGGTTTTTGTCTTTGGCTCTGTTTATATGCTGGATTACATTTATTGATTTGCGTATATTGAACCAGCCTTGCATCCCAGGGATGAAGCCCACTTGATCATGGTGGATAAGCTTTTTGATGTGCTGCTGGATTCGGTTTACCAGTATTTTATTGAGGATTTTTGCATCAATGTTCATCAAGGATATTGGTCTAAAATTCTCTTTTTTGGTTGTGTCTCTGCCCGGCTTTGGTATCAGAATGATGCTGGCCTCATAAAATGAGTTAGGGAGTATTCCCTCTTTTTCTATTGATTGGAATAGTTTCAGAAGGAATGGTACCAGTTCCTCCTTGTACCTCTGGTAGAATTTGGCTGTGAATCCATCTGGTCCTGGACTCTTTTTGGTTGGTAAACTATTGATTATTGCCACAATTTCAGCGCCTGTTATTGGTCTATTCAGAGATTCAACTTCTTCCTGGTTTAGTCTTGGGAGAGTGTATGTGTCAAGGAATGTATCCATTTCTTCTAGATTTTCTAGTTTATTTGCGTAGAGGTGTTTGTAGTATTCTCTGATGGTAGTTTGTATTTCTGTGGGATCGGTGGTGATATCCCCTTTATCATTTTTTATTGTGTCTATTTGATTCTCCTCTCTTTTTTTCTTTATTAGTCTTGCTAGTGGTCTATCAATTTTGTTGATCCTTTCAAAAAACCAGCTCCTGGATTCATTGATTTTTTGAAGGGTTTTTTGTGTCTCTATTTCCTTCAGTTCTGCTCTGATTTTAGTTATTTCTTGCCTTCTGCTAGCTTTTGAATGTGTTTGCTCTCGCTTTTCTAGTTCTTTTAATTGTGATGTTAGGGTGTCAATTTTGGATCTTTCCTGCTTTCTCTCGTAGGCATTTAGTGCTATAAATTTCCCTCTACACACTGCTTTGAATACGTCCCAGAGATTCTGGTATGTGGTGTCTTTGTTCTCGTTGGTTTCAAAGAACATCTTTATTTCTGCCTTCATTTCGTTATGTACCCAGTAGTCATTCAGGAGCAGGTTGTTCAGTTTCCATGTAGTTGAGCGGCTTTGAGTGAGATTCTTAATCCTGAGTTCTAGTTTGATTGCACTGTGGTCTGAGAGATAGTTTGTTATAATTTCTGTTCTTTTACATTTGCTGAGGAGAGCTTTACTTCCAACTATGTGGTCAATTTTGGAATAGGTGTGGTGTGGTGCTGAAAAAAACATATATTCTGTTGAATTGGGGTGGAGAGTTCTGTAGATGTCTATTAGGTCCGCTTGGTGCAGAGCTGAGTTCAATTCCTGGGTATCCTTGTTGACTTTCTGTCTCGTTGATCTGTCTAATGTTGACAGTGGGGTGTTAAAGTCTCCCATTATTAATGTGTGGGAGTCTAAGTCTCCTTGTAGGTCACTCAGGACTTGCTTTATGAATCTGGGTGCTCCTGTATTGGGTGCATATATATTTAGGATAGTTAGCTCCTCTTGTTGAATTGATCCCTTTACCATTATGTAATGGCCTTCTTTGTCTCTTTTGATCTTTGTTGGTTTAAAGTCTGTTTTATCAGAGACTAGGATTGTAACCCCTGCCTTTTTTTGTTTTCCATTTGCTTGGTAGATCTTCCTCCATCCTTTTATTTTCAGCCTATGTGTGTCTCTGCACGTGAGATGGGTTTCCTGAATACAGCACACTGATGGGTCTTGACTCTTTATCCAACTTGCCAGTCTGTGTCTTTTAATTGGAGAATTTAGTCCATTTACATTTAAAGTTAATATTGTTATGTGTGAATTTGATCCTGTCATTATGATGTTAGCTGGTGATTTTGCTCGTTAGTTGATGCAGTTTCTTCCTAGTCTCGATGGTCTTTACATTTTGGCATGATTTTGCAGCGGCTGGTACCGGTTGTTCCTTTCCATGTTTAGCGCTTCCTTCAGGAGCTCTTTTAGGGCAGGCCTGGTGGTGACAAAATCTCTCAGCATTTGCTTGTCTGTAAAGGATTTTATTTCTCCTTCACTTATGAAGCTTAGTTTGGCTGGATATGAAATTCTGGGTTGAAAATTCTTTTCTTTAAGAATGTTGAATATTGGCCCCCACTCTCTTCTGGCTTGTAGGGTTTCTGCCAAGAGATCCGCTGTTAGTCTGATGGGCTTCCCTTTGAGGGTAACCCGACCTTTCTCTCTGGCTGCCCTTAACATTTTTTCCTTCATTTCAACTTTGGTGAATCTGACAATTACGTGTCTTGGAGTTGCTCTTCTCGAGGAGTATCTTTGTGGCGTTTTCTGTATTTCCTGAATCTGAACGTTGGCCTGCCTTGCTAGATTGGGGAAGTTCTCCTGGATAATATCCTGCAGAGTGTTTTCCAACTTGGTTCCATTCTCCCTATCACTTTCAGGTACACCAATCAGACGTAGATTTGGTCTTTTCACATAGTCCCATATTTCTTGGAGGCTTTGCTCATTTCTTTTTATTCTATTTTCTCTAAACTTCCCTTCTCGCTTCATTTCATTCATTTCATCTTCCATTGCTGATACCCTTTCTTCCAGTTGATCGCATCGGCTCCTGAGGCTTCTGCATTCTTCACGTAGTTCTCAAGCCTTGGTTTTCAGCTCCATCAGCTCCTTTAAGCACTTCTCTGTATTGATTATTCTAGTTATACATTCTTCTAAATTTTTTTCAAAGTTTTCAACTTCTTTGCCTTTGGTTTGAATGTCCTCCCGTAGCTCAGAGTAATTTGATCGTCTGAAACCTTCTTCTCTCAGCTCGTCAAAGTCATTCTCCATCCAGCTTTGTTCCGTTGCTGGTGAGGAACTGCGTTCCTTTGGAGGAGGAGAGGCGCTCTGCGTTTTAGAGTTTCCAGTTTTTCTGTTCTGTTTTTTCCCCATCTTTGTGGTTTTATCTACTTTTGGTCTTTGATGATGGTGATGTACAGATGGGTTTTTGGTGTGGATGTCCTTTCTGTTTGTTAGTTTTCCTTCTAACAGACAGGACCCTCAGCTGCAGGTCTGTTGGAATACCCTGCCGTGTGAGGTGTCAGTGTGCCCCTGCTGGGGGGTGCCTCCCAGTTAGGCTGCTCGGGGGTCAGGGGTCAGGGACCCACTTGAGGAGGTAGTCTGCCTGTTCTCAGATCTCCAGCTGCGTGCTGGGAGAACCACTGCTCTCTTCAAAGCTGTCAGACAGGGACATTTAAGTCTGCAGAGGTTACTGCTGTCTTTTTGTTTGTCTGTGCCCTGCCCCCAGAGGTGGAGCCTACAGAGGCAGGCAGGCCTCCTTGAGCTGTGGTGGGCTCCACCCAGTTCGAGCTTCCCGGCTGCTTTGTTTACCTTAGCAAGCCTGGGCAATGGCGGGCTGCCTTCCCCCAGCCTCGCTGCCGCCTTGCAGTTTGATCTCAGACTGCTGTGCTAGCAATCAGCGAGATTCCGTGGGCGTAGGACCCTCCGAGCCAGGTGTGGGATATAGTCTCGTGGTGCGCCGTTTTTTAAGCCGGTCTGAAAAGCGCAGTATTCGGGTGGGAGTGACCCGATTTTCCAGGTGCGTCCGTCACCCCTTTCTTTGACTCGGAAAGGGAACTCCCTGACCCCTTGCGCTTCCCAGGTGAGGCAATGCCTCGCCCTGCTTCGGCTCGCGCACGGTGCGCACACCCACTGGCCTGCGCCCACTGTCTGGCACTCCCTAGTGAGATGAACCCGGTACCTCAGATGGAAATGCAGAAATCACCCGTCTTCTGCGTCGCTCACGCTGGGAGCTGTAGACCGGAGCTCCGTTCCTATTTTGTTATTCTTTTTTCTTTGTCTTTGTTGGATTGGGTTAATTTGAAGACCTTGTCTTCGAGCTCTAAATTTCTTTCTTCTACTTGTTCAATTCTATTGCTGAGACTTTCCAGAGCATTTCACATTTCTAAAAGTGTGTCCAAAGTTTCCTGAATTTTTTATTGTTTTTTCTTTAAGCTATCTATTTCCATGAATATTTTTCCCTTCACTTTTTATATCAATTTTTGGATTTCCTTGCATTGGGCTTTGCCTTTCTCTGGTCCCTCCCTGATGAGCTTAATAACTAACCTCCTGAATTCTTTTTCAGATAAGTCAGGGATTTCTTCTTGTTTGGATCCATTGCTGGTGAACTAGTGTGATTTTTGGGGGATGTTGAAGAGCCTTGTTTTGTCATATTATCAGGGTTGCTTTTCTTGTTCCTTCTCATTTGGGTAGGCTCTGTCAGAGGGAAGGTCTAGGGCTGAGGGCTGTTGTTCAGATTCTTTTGTCCCACGGGGTGTTCCCTTGATGTAGTACTCTCCCCCTTTCTCTATGGATGTGGCTTCCTGTGAGCCAAACTGCAATGATTGTTGTCTCGCTTCTTGGTCCAGCCAACCCAGCAAGTCTGCCCAGCTCCAGGCTGGTACTGGGGGTTGACTGCACAGAGTCCTATGATGTGAACCATCTGTGGGTCTCTCAGTCATGGATACCAGCGCCTGTTCTGCTGGAAGTGGTGGAGGGTGCAATGGACTCCATGAGGGTCCTTAGCTTTGGTGGTTTAATGCTCTATTTTTGTGCTGGTTGGCCTTCTGCCAGGAGGTGGCACTTTCCAGAAAGCATCAGCTGTAGTAGTGTGGTGAGGGATTGGCAGAGGGTGGGGCCCTAGAACCCCCAAGATTATATGCCCTTTGTCTTCCACTACAAGTGCAGATATGGAAGGATCATCAGGTGGGGGTGGGGCTAGGCATGTCTGAGCTCAGACTCTCCCTGGGCGGGTCTTGCTGTGGCTGCTATAGGGGATGGAAGTAAGATTCCCAGGTCACTGGAGTTGTGTACCTAGGAGGATTATGGCTGCCTCTTCTAAGTCATGCAGGTTGTCAGGAAAGTAGAGGAAAGCCAGCAGTCACAGGCCTCACCCAGCTCCCATGCAAACTGAAGGGCCGGTCTTACTCCCACCATGCCTCCCCCAGTAGCCCCAAGTCTGTTTCCAGGCAGTGGGCAATAGGCTCGAAAACTTGCCTGAGGCTCTCTGCCTCCCAGCTGTGAGAGAAAAGTGCTTTAGTTCTTCCTCTGCCTCTGAAGTGTGCATGCCTGATTCGACCCCCAAGTTCTACCCAGGAGGCTTCTTGCCTCATTCAAATTGCTACAAAGTTCAGCTAGAGAATTCCTTCTCCCTGTGGAGTTTTACCCCCTGCTCCTCTGGCCACCCTCCTGATGGATCCCTGTGGTGCCTGGAAGGAATGGGCTGCTCAGGGACCCAGTGAGCTCCCAGGGCCTTTCTGCTGCTTCCTCTACCCCTGTATTTCACTCAGCTCTCTAACTTGACTCAGCTCCAGGTAAAGTCAGAAACTTCTCCTGCAAACAGACCTTCACCTTCTCCAGTGGGGGTGTGTATTCGGGAGAGGAGTGTCTCCCTTTCCCACTTCCGCAGCTGGGGCACTCAGTATTTGGGGTGTCTCCTGGGTCATGCATGAGCAATGCACTTCCTTCAGAGGGTCTGTGGGTCCTCTCCGCATTGCTGGTTTGTTCTTGCACTTGATCTGGAGCTAAAAATTCATAATGCAAGCCTCCGCATGCTGCTCTGTCCAGAGCTGCAATCTAGTCCTGCCTCCTGTCCACCATGATCCCTTGTACCCTCATTAGTTGCGTCTTTAATCATGGCTGGTCTAAGCCTTTTGTCACCCACAATTGTTATTTTACTTTGATCCTTTTATATAGTGGATTATAATCAACTCTAAGATTATATAAGTTTCTGATAAATTTAGAGATTGTGCTATTAAAATAGAAAAACTTCCAGGATTCTCATGGAGTACTGATATATTCATGAGGTTTGCTGAATAAGCAGAACAGGAGTTAATTGCATGGACTGAACTAATAGAAGACTGACATAATCTTTTATGACTTTTTGTTTAAAACATTTTCTGATTCTTTTTGTTTTGTTTTTCACAGTCAGGGAAACTTCCTTTAAGCTGTTTATAGCTTTTAACAATTGCGTAAAGTATACTCTAATGAGCAAAATTTAAAATATAATTCCTTTCCCTCTACCTAATTTTTCCAAAATTTGGAAGCTATTTGTAAGTATTCTTAATTTATGGTCACACAGTTCTTCACATAAGCTCAATAAGAATTTGTTT
This sequence comes from Homo sapiens, assembly GCF_000001405.40. Taxonomy (NCBI): domain Eukaryota; kingdom Metazoa; phylum Chordata; class Mammalia; order Primates; family Hominidae; genus Homo; species Homo sapiens. Next base: position 56,450,164 of record NC_000014.9, read on the forward strand.
TCTTTTATAACATGACATAACTAGAGACACTGGTTATTTTACCAAGGCTTTGGCTAGAATGATGTATTTTCAGATTGCCTTATAAAAATATACAGCTGATAAGAGCCGCTTGGGAAAACTGGCCTTATACCTTGACCTTTACAGGGTCCTGACCTGTGGTAAATAAAGAATGTCACCTTCTGACATGTCGAGGAACCCCAAGTTTTCTTGAAATCTCAAAAGGAGAAGAATTCACCCAATTTATACAGATATCTGCAGGCACAGATATATTCTTGGCTGGGCTTGAGACTTTAAAAAAATGTATAATATTATATTCCTTATAGAAAACATTTCAGCAAAGCTAAATTTTCTTTAAAAAGAAAAGACCGTATGGCAAATGATTATTCTTGCTGCCTTTTATGCAAATAATCAAGCCAAGTATAATAAGACTAAAATTTATTTTACAAATAAATTGGTCCTACTATCATATTGTCTTGGGGAATTGGAGAGACAAAAATTATATTTCAGAATAAACTACAGTACACCTGCTATTAGATTATAGTGTTGCCCAATGTTTTTGAATTTTTATTATTTTCTATAATTTGGACTGAATTATAAATTGTTTTCTGGCTACGAATCTCCAAAATAATGTTTTCAAATTTTTCCTTCTTTCTTTCCTCCCTACCCCACCCCCACAGTTTTCCTAAATTGAAATCACTAAAAATGAAGCCATGCTTTCCTGAAAGCCCTATGAACTGAAGCTAGACCACTTAATCTTTAGAAGAAAGTAACAGCAACCTATTTATATACATAAATCATTTTTATAGCTGCCTACTCATGTATGGACTTCATTTGGGGAGCTGGGGAGACTGAGGGAAAGGGTAAAAAGTCAGGAAGTTTACAGGAACCAGAACTCACACATCCAACTTCCTAAGCACAGAAAACTGGAGAAGAAGCATGCTGCTTCCATTATGAAACCACTCTGTTGGTAATCCGTACTGTTATTTGATGGTCTATTATTTCGATGTCTAAACTTAAAGCTTAAGAAACTTAGAGAAATCTTTAAAAACTACTGAACTAAATTTTTTATTACTACTTTATTTATTTACTTATTTGTAAGTTTATTATTAGTGATCACTTCCATAATATCTTTATATCTTATGTAACAATAAATCCAGATGTAAGAAATTTAAATAAGTTATCTTTCTTTGTTAATCAGATTGGTAAAGCTTTAAAAGTTAGTGGGTACAAGTGTTTGCAAAAATGTAAGAGGAAAAGGCAGGCTAATTTATGTAATAATGGTAGGGGTATAAATTGGCTTGATTCTTTTAGAAGACAGGCAGTGTGTGTCAAAATTAAGAGATGCATAGTACCTGTCCCAGCAATTCCCCTTTTAGTAATTTCTCTTGCAGAAACACTGGCAGATGTGCACAAAGATTATGAAACAAGTATTTTACTCATTACTGCTGCCATTTAGAAACATTGGAAATAACCCAAATGTATATCAAAAGCAGATTAAACAATCATGATAGTGCCATACAATAGGATACTAGGGTAAGTGTAAAACAGAGAAGAAACTGCACATGCATTGACATAGATAGATGTCCATTACTAAGATTCAAGTTAAAGAAAACAAAAAGGCAATGTGAAAATAGCATTATGTATGTTCTTATTTCAATTTATGTATACTGTGAAGATCTGTAATAGCATGCTTTGAAAAAATATCTGGATGAATATAAACCAAGCAGTGTTTATCTCTGGGATTATCAGAACTTTCATGGTTTTACGGCATACACTTTGTAATCTTTATTATGGCCATCTGTTTCTTTATTATCAGAGATAACAATAATGATTTTTAAAACAAGAAAAATTATTGGTCAGAAAAAAAGAAGTGCTGCACACTCATTTTTAAAACCAATTGACACCAGAGCACTCGTGATGCTGTTCTTGAAAGTCAAAGTGTTCCCTGAACAGATTTGTACACCAGTGACTAAATTTTAGAAATTTCTTAACTGCATCTGGGGTGTATATTCTAACTTTTTATGTCACACCACTATGCATCATTAAAACATTTTTTTTACTGATTGGAGAAGCAGTAGCTTAAGAGCTTATTTACTAATATTCTAGCTAGAAAAGCCTACAAGTTATTTTAAGATGCTTAAATAAACACAACTTAGGAAGTGACGAGCATTTTTATATGACACATTAATATTTTGAAAAAAGAAAAAGGAGAGAAGGAGAAGAACATTTGGAAACATTTAAAAGCTCTATTTAGAAAACATTTTATTTCCACCTTCATGATTGAGAATACACTCCACAAGCCTCAAACTAGAAGAGGGTGCTTGTAAATTCTTCCATACCTCCTCTTTTCTGTTTGACATTTCAGACTCCAAGGTTTTCATGACTTTGTACAACTTCTAAAACTGCAGGATGGCAATAGAAAATATTCTACTCTTAAAGAATAGTTTATGGTGCCCTCTCATGGAATTCTCAGGGTGCTCTACAATGAACCTAGGAAAAGTGGCAAGGACTGTGCTTCCTCTCAGCTAATTGCCTATTCAGGTGGTTAGGATATGAGGGGTGGGGATTCCCATTCACACTCTTGTCTGGCTAGTCCAGGGTCCTGAAAAGGACTGAGCTGGTGATCCATTTCAGCATTTCCATCTACTGAGAGGAATTACAGGCTGAGAATTAAATGGCTTGCTGGCTGCAGCCTAATACAGGCAGTGAAACCCAGATCTCCTGACTGCTAATCTAGTGCTCTCTCCCAACCCCACTTTGCTCATTCCATGGCTTGTAATGAAAGTTGTTCAACTGAAGATTTGTCTTGACTGCTGGAATGTCTCAGATGTTTGACTTGAACGATGAAATGCCTAGCTGCCTTTCAGCTCATGCACAGTCTAGCAAGTCTTCTCATTAGCATATTCGGCTCAGTCTTTGCCCATCAAGCCCTGGCCTCCTTCCTGGAATAAATCACGGCTTTAACTCCAGGGCCTGCCTGGGCCTCCTACCCTTCCAGCGCCATGGCCAGCACTGCCAACATTGGCCTGGATCACAGGGCCATCGTGTCGCTGCACTTCAGTCTTCAACCTGGGAGATGAAACCTGAACTGCTCTTGGGAGCTGGGTGCAACTTCTTGGGGACCAGCAGACTCTGTTACCAGAAACACAGCTGCAACCTTCAGAGCTGTGAAGTGAAGGCCAGAGGGGCCTGGGCATTAGAGGTCAGAGGCTGGTAGCCTGGGGATCTGTGCCCTCAGAGCTGGAAAGCTGGAGGGCTACAAACTTTGGGTTCCTTCCTAGACTCTGGTTTATGAATGCTATTAATTCAAAGAGTACAAAAGAGCAGGCACAACATGGCAAACCTGGAAATGCCCTGAAATCATCAGCTCATTACAAAAGATCTGTGTATTCAGGGTTTTCGCAAACTCAAAATCCATCCTAAAATTCACACACTATTTCTAGTAACAAATTTTAAAACTGAAATAAAGTGTTAAGCTGTTAATATTACAAACACATTCTAATCTACTGCACTAGAGGAAAGAATAAATTTGTTTTCTAGGCTCTCTTTAGCAGATGATACTATACGATTGTTGATCTATGAAGAGGTGATTAAAGAATATGCAGCCAATAAGATGGGAAAGAGAATTTGAGAGGTGTGTCAGGCTGTTGATTTATTATGTTGTAGTGTTTATTGCATTTGACACAATTTTAGATTTTTAACTTGTGATTTCTTTTCTCTCTCTAAATAAATATTCATTTTGGTATGTAATTTTGAACTTTTTCTTAAAGTGGGACCCCAAATTACATAAGTATAATGCCCCCAGAGAACTTGGACTGGCTTTTGTCTACCCCTCTTGCTCTGGTTCTTACTTGGATATGTGTGTCTGTACTGACCAAGCATTATCACCATTGTCACCATCCAGATTGTCATTATGTCCCTTGGCCCATGTCTGTTGCTTTTAACTTTTCAAAGAGCTATGGCATCTATATCTTAGATCCAATTTAGAGGCTGAGTGACCTGCAACATCTCCTAATTACGTAACCTCTGTGTGCCTTAGTTTTCTCATCTGTAAAATGGGGATAATCCTGGTACCTATTTTATAGGATTACTGTGAAGGTCAAATGAGTGAATAGACATAAAGTGCTTAGAACCATGCCTGGCACAAAGCAAGCACTGTGTAGGAGCTTGCTATTATTTTATTATGTAAATTTTTATATAAATATACATAATTATGTTAAAATTATTTTAATAGCAAGCTCCAAGGTAGTACTTGCTTTGTGCCAGGCATGGTTCTAAACACTTTATATCTATTCACTCACTTGACCATCACAGCAATCCTATAAAATAGGTACCAGGGGCTACAGCTCCCAGCATGAGCGATGCAGAAGATGGGTGATTTCTGCATTTCCAACTGAGGTACTGCGTTCATCTCACTGGGGCATGTCAGACAATGGGTGCAGTCCATGGAGTGTGAGCCGAAGCAGGGTGGGGCATCGCCTCACCTGGGAAGTGCAAGGGGTGGGGGGATTCCCTTTCCAAGCCAAGGGAAGCCATGACAGATGGTACCTGGAAAATTGGGACACTCCCACCCTAATACTGTGCTTTTCCAATGGTCTTAGCAAACAGCACACCAGGAGATTATATCCTGTGCATGGCTTGGAGGGTCCCACACCCATGGAGCCTTGCTCAATGCTAGCACAGCAGTCTGAGATCAAACTGCAAGGTGGCAGCGAGGCTGGGTGAGGGGCGTCCGCCATTGCTGAGGCTTGAGTAGGTAAACAAAGTGGCCAGGAAGCTCAAACTGGGTGGAGCCCACCTCAGCTCAAGGAGGCCTGCCTGCCTCTATAGACTCCACCTCTGAGGGCAGGGAATAGCTGAATAAAAGGCAGCAGAAACTTCTGCAGACTTAAACATCCCTGTCTGACAGCTTTGAAGAGAGCAGCGATTCTCCCAGCACAGAGTTTGAGATCTGAGAACAGACAGACTGCCTCCTCAAGTGGGTCCCTGACCCCCGAGTTGCCTAACTGGGAGACACCTCCCAGTAGGGGCCAACTGACACTTCATACAGCTGGGTGCCCCTCTGAGACAAAGCTTCCAGAGGAAGAATCAGGCAGCAACATTTGCTGTTCTGCAATATTTGCTGTTCTGCAGCCTCCGCTGGTGATACCCCAGCAGACAGGGTCTGGAGTGGACCTCCAGCAAATTCCAGCAGACCTGCAGCTGAGGGTCCTGACTGTTAGAAGGAAAACTAACAAAGAGCAAGGACATCCACACCAAAACCCCATCTGTACGTCACCATCATCAAAGACCAAAGGTAGATAAAACCACAAAGATGGGGAGAAACCAGAGGAGAAAAGCTGAAAATTCTAAAAATCAGAGCACCTCTTAGCCTCCAAAGGAAGGCAGCTCCTCGCCAGCAATGGAACAAAGCTGGATGGAGAATGACTTTGACGAGGTGAGAGAAGAGGCTTCAGATGATAGCTAATAACAAACTTCTCCAAGCTAAAGGAGGATGTTCAAACCCATCACAAAGAAGCTAAAAACCTTGAAAAAAGATTAGATGAATGGCTAACTAGAATAAACAGCATAGAGAACACCTTAAAGGACCTGATGGAGCTGAAAACCAGGGCACGAGAACTACGTGACGCATGCAGAAGCTTCAGTAGCCAATTCGATCAAGTGGAAGAAAGAGTATCAGTGATTGAAGATCAAATGAATGAAATGAAGAAAGAAGAGAAGTTTAGAGAAAAAAGAGTAAAAAGAAATGAACAAAGCCTCCAAGAAATATGGGACTATGTGAAAAGACCAAATCTGCATCTGATTGGTGTACCTGAAAGTGACGGGGAGAATGGCATCAAGTTGGAAAACACTCTTTAGGATATTATCCAGGAGAACTTCCCCAACCTAGCAAGGCAGGCCAACATTCAAATTCAGGATATACAGATAATACCACAAAGATACTCCTCGAGAAAAGCAACTCCAAGATATAATTGTCAGATTCACCAAAGTTGAAATGAAGGAAAAAAATATTAAGGGCAGCCAGAGAGAAATGTCGGGTTACCCACAAAGGGAAGCCCATCAGACTAATAGCGGATCTCCCAGAAGAGAGCGGGAGCCAATATTCAACATTCTTAAATAAAAGAATTTTCAACCCAGAATTTCATATCCAACCAAAGTAAGCTGCATAAGTGAAGGAGAAATAAAATCCTTTGCAGACAAGCAAATGCTGAGAGATTTTGTCACCACCAGGCCTGCCTTACAAGAGCTGCTGAAGGAAGCACTAAACATGGAAAGGAACAACTGGTACCAGCCATTGCAAAAACATGCCAAATTGTAAAGACCATGGATGCTAGGAAGAAACTGCATCAACTAATGAGCAAAATAACCAGCTAACATCATAATGACAGGATCAAATTCACACATAACAATATTAACCTTAAATGTAAACGGGCTAAATGCTCCAATTAAAAGACACAGACTGGCAAATTGGATAAAGAGTCAAGACCCATCAGTGTGCTGTGTTCAGGAGACACATCTCATGTGCAGAGACACAGATAGGCTCAAAATAAAGGGATGGAGGAAGATCTACCAAGCAAATGGAAAACAAACAAACAAACAAAAACAGGAATTGCAATCCTAGTCTCTGATAAAACAGACTTTAAACCAACAAAGATCAGAAGAGACAAAGAAGGCCATTACATAATGGTAAAGGGATCAATTCAACAAGAAGAGCTAACTATCCTAAATATATATGCACGCAATATAGGAGCACCCAGATTCATAAAGCAAGTCGTTAGAGACCTACAAAGAGACTTAGACTCCCACACAATAATAATGGGAGACTTTAACACCCCACTGTCGACATTAGACAGGTGAACGAGACAAAGTTAACAAGGATCCAGGAATTAAACTCAGCTCTGCACCAAGCAGACCTAACAGACATCTAAGAACTCTCCACCCCAAATCAACAGAATATACATTCTTCTCAGCACCACATCACACTTATTCCAAAATTGACCACATAGTTGGAAGTAAAGCACTCCTCAGCAAATGTAAAAGAACAGAAATTATAACAAACCGTCTCTCAGTCCACAGTGCAATCAAACTAGAACACCACTCAACTACATGGAAACTGAACAACCTGCTCCTGAATGACTACTGGGTACATAATGAAATGAAAGCAGAAATAAAGATGTTCTTTGAAACCAATGAGAACAAAGACACAACATACCAGAATCCCTGGGACACATTTAAAGCAGTGTGTAGAGGAAAATTTATAGTACTAAATGCCCACAGGAGAAAGCGGGAAAGATCTAAAATTGACACCCTAACATCACAATTAAAAGAATTAGAGAAGCAAGAGCAAACACATTCAAAAGTTAGCAGAAGGCAATAAATGACTAAGATCAGAGAAGAACTGAAGTAGATAGAGACAGAAAAAAACCCTTTAAAAAATCAATGAATCCAGGAGCTGGTTTTTTGAAACAATCAACAAAATTGATGGACCGCTAGCACGACTAATGAGGAAGAAAAGAGAAGAATCAAATAGACGTAATAAAAAATGATAAAGGGGATATTACCACCAATCCCACAGAAATACAAACCACCATCAGAGAATACTATAAACACCTCTATGCAAATAAACTAGAAAATCTAGAAGAAATGAATAAATTCCTGGACACATACAACCTCCCAAGACTAAACCAGAAAGAAGTTAAATCCCTGAATAGACCAATAACAGGCTCTGAAATTGAGGCAATAATTAAGAGCCTACCAACCAAAAAAAGTCCAGGGCCAGACAGATTCACAGTTGAATTCTACCAGAGGTACAAAGAGAAGCTGGTACCATTCCTTCTGAAACTATTCCAATCAATAGAAAAAAAAAGGGAATCCTCCCTAACTCATTTTATGAGACCAGCATCATCCTGATACCAAAGCCTGACAGAGACACAACAAAAATAGAGAATTTTAGACCAATATCCCTGATGAACATTGATGCAAAAATCCTCAATAAAATACTAGTAAACCAAATACAGCAGCACATCAAAAAGCTTATCCACCATGATCAAGTTGGCTTCATCCCTGGGATGCAAGGCTGGTTCAACATATGCAAATCAATAAACATGATCCATCATATCAACACAACCAAAGACAAAAAGCACATAATTATCTCAATAGATGCAGAAAAAGCCTTTGACAAAATTCAACAGCCCTTCATGCTAAAAACTCTCAATAAACTAGGTATTGATGGGATGTATCTCAAAATAATAAGAACTACTTATGACAAACCCACAGCCAATATCATACTGAATGGGCAAAAACTGGAAACATTCCCTTTGAAAACTGGCACAAGACAGGGATGCCCTCTCTCACCACTCCTATTCAACATAGTATTGGAAGTTCTGGCCAGGGCAATCAGGCAGAAGAAAGAAATAAAGGGTATTCAATTAGGAAAAGAGGAAGTCAAATTGTCCCTGTTTGCAGATGACATGATTGTATATCTAGAAAACCCCATCATCTCAGCTCAAAATCTCCTTAAGCTGATAAGCAACTTCAGCAAAGTCTCAGGATACAAAATCAATGTGCAAAAATCACAAGCATTCCTATACACCAATAACAGACAAACAACCAAATCATGAGTGAACTCCCATTCACAATTGCTTCAAAGAGAATAAAATACCTAGGACTCCAACTTACAAGGGATGTGAAGGACCTCTTCAAGGAGAACTACAAACCACTGCTCAACGAAATAAAAAAGGACACAAACAAATGGAAGAACATTCCATGCTCATGGATAGGAACAATCAATACCGTGAAAATGGCCATACTGCCCAAGGTTATTTATAGATTCAATGCCATCCCCATCAAGCTACCAATGACTTTCTTCACAGAATTGGAAAAAACTACTTTAAAGTTTATGTGGAACCGAAAAAGAGCCCACATTGCGAAGACAATCCTAAGCCAAAAGAACAAAGCTGGAGGCATCACGCTCTCTGACTTCAAACTATACTACAAGGCTACAGTAACCAAAACAGCATGGTACTGGTACCAAAACAGAGATAAAGACCAATGAAACAGAACAGAGCCCTCATAAATAATACCACACATCTACAACCATCTGATCTTTGACAAACCTGACAAAAACAAATGGGGAAAGGATTTCCTATTTAATAAATGGTGCTGGGAAAACTGGCTAGCCATATGTGGAAAGCTGAAAATGGATCCCTTCCTTACACCTTATACAAAAATTAATTCAAGATGGATTAAAAACTTAAATGTTAGACCTAAAACCATAAAAACCCTAGAAGAAAACCTAGACAATACCATTCAGGCCATAGGCATGGGCAAGGACTTCATGACTAAAACACCAAAAGCAATGGCAACAAAAGCCAAAATTGACAAATGGGATCTAATTAAACTAAAGAGCTTCTGCACAGCAAAAGAAACTACCATCAGGGTGAACAGACAACCTACAGAATGGGAGAAAATTTTTATAATCTACCCATCTGACAAAGGGCTAATATCCAGAATCTACAAAGAACTTAAACAAATTTACAAGAAAAAATCAACCCCATCAAAAAGTGGGCAAAGGATATGAACAGACACTTCTCAAAAGACATTTATGCAGCCAACAAAGACGTCAAAAAATGCTCCTCATCACTGGCCATCAGAGAAATGCAAATCAAAACCACAGTGAGATACCATCTCACACCAGTTAGAATGGCAATCATTAAATAAAGTCAGGAAACAACACGTGCTGGAGAGGATGTGAAGAAATAGGAACACTTTTACACTGTTGGTGGGACTGTAAACTAGTTCAACCATTGTGGAAGACAGTGTAGAATTCCTCAAGGATCTAGAACTAGAAATAATATTTGACCCAGTCATCCCATTACTGGGTATATACCCAAAGGAGTATAAATCATGCTGCTGTAAAGACACATGCACATGTATGTTAATTGCAGCACTATTCACAATAGCGAAGACTTGGAACCAATCCAAATGTCCGTCAATGATAGACTAGATTAAGAAAATGTGGCACATATACACCATGGAATACTGTGCAGCCATAAAAAAGGATGAGTTCATGTCCTTTGTAGGGACATGGATGAAGCTGGAAACCATCATTCTCAGCAAACTATTGCAAGGACAGAAAACCAAACACCGCATGTTCTCACTCATAGGTGGGAACTGAACAATGAGAATACTTGGACATAGGGTGGGGTACATCACACACCGGGGCCTGTTGTGGGGTGGGGGCAGGGGGGAGGGATAGCATTAGGAGATATACCTAATGTAAATGATGAATTAATGGGTGCAGCACCCCAACATGGCACAGGTATACATATGTAACAAAGCTACACGTTGTGCACATGTACCCTAGAACTTAAAGTATAATTTTTAAAAAATGCACACAAAATAAATAGGTACTGGGATTATCCCCATTCAACTAAATACATATATACACCAGGAATAAAATAATACTTTATTTATATTATATATTTATATATAATAAAATATTCTATTAATTTATATAAAACAAATTATATATAATTTTATTTATATTATACATAATAATATATGTTTATATTGTATATATGCGTGCACTTCACAATATGTGGTAGAGCATGACCACATACTGTCTTTATCCTCACCTACCCCCTCTCATAGCTGTAATTATATTTGGAATTATGGAGGAAAGGGAGATTGGTAGTGGTAAATCTTTATCATAGGAAGTCAACAGATACATAAAAAATGCATAAATCCTGAAATCACAGTAGAAGCATATTATCTAGAAATATAGAGATACCAGAAGAAATAGCTAAAAGATTTGAAAATTGTGGCCTCTGAGAAGGTGATGAGGATTGGAGCTAGAAATTACTGGGGTTTTTTAAATTTATTTTTTAATTTACAAATATATATATTTATTGTGTACAACAATGTTGTTTTGAGATATTGTATACATTGTGAAATGACTAAATTGAGCTTGAAATTACTGTGTTTTATCATAAGCTTTGACACATTTAACAGTGCATGTGTATCTTTGATTTTTAAAAATTGTCAATTTTTTTTAAAATGTTACAAACACAAACATGCAACTAAAAATATCCTTTCAAAAAATTGTTTAGATTGGAAGAATTTCTTTTCCTGATATAATGATGCTCTTGGTTACTCTTTGTAGTCATTTTAATAAGAAAAAATAATAAGCAGCAAATCTCAACAAAAAGAAAGGCTTTGTTTAGGTAAATTACAAGTAAGCTTTCCCTCGTGGAAATCTTTGCCTAATTGGGCTGCAGCTGCTGCTAATTTATGCTTTTCACTGTATCTCAGTTTGGTCTTGCATGTGTATTTGTGTTTTAAATATCACACAATTTGAGGCTTTCATTTGATGGCATGAGTTTGGATACAACTGGAGAGGCTTATGAGAGTCTTATCCTAAGAAGAATTTACTATTTTGTTACAGTTTTTGCTGTACACCTGGGAGCTACTGAATGTAATTGGAGTACAGCTAAGAGAAACTAGGTTGGGGGTCACTGTAATCACATTTGATTTTATTTTCTCATTATATTGTTCTGGTTCATTCATTCCCCTCTCCCGCATTAGTATCTAAGGCACTGTGTCATGAAGGCAGAGCTGGGATGAAAGCAGCTCTGATTGACTGGTTAGTATGTACCCTGGTTCATTGAACACAGAACTCAGTGCTTGAACCTCTCTCTAAAAGAGGCGGCATTCTGGGCACAAAGTGGAGAGGCAGTTAGCTGTTTTAGTTTGAAAAATGGAGAATACCATCTGGGCATATTTTTCTTGTGCCTAGGAGTATTTCTGCTAGGTCTGCTGGACACCAGTTGCATTTCATTATCCTCTAACAAGCGGCATCAGTCATGGTCCCGTCTCTCCATGGCTCGCAGGAAGGAGCAATGAACAGAACATACTGTTGTTCGTCTTTTTCAGTCTAGGTACAAGGGGCAGATTTCATTTCATTATTGAATTGCAAGTCATACTCAGCTGAGATGAATCACTTGGTGAAGATTATTACTGCTTTTTTTCCCATTCATATTTTACAGAGCCAATAGCTAACTTAAAATAAAAAAGTAATCGGAGTCCAACTGCCAGCTGTTTTATAAGGCAAAACTGGGGATTTTGAGTTTGAGGTACATTAAATCATATCACAAGATACTATTAAGTTGTTCTTTCTACAAGGCTCAAAAATAAAGTATTGAAAGTAATTTTGTTTAAAAAAAAAAAAAAGCAGTGTTGAACTTTGAAAACATTAAGCTAAGTGAAATAAGCCAGACACCACAAGACAAATATTGTACGATTGTAGGAGGTACCTGTAGTACACAAATTCATAGTGGCAGAAAGAAAAATAGTGGACAGGGACTGAGGGAAGGGGAAATAAAGAATTATTGTTTAATGGGTTCAGAGTTTTTGTTTAGGATGATGAAAGAGTTCTGGAGATGTTTGGTGCTGATGGTTGCACATTATTGTAAATGATGTTGTACATTGAACTGTACACCTAATGGTTAAAATGGTAAATTTTATGTATATTTTGCCACAATTTTAAAAACACAAAAAAGCAGTGTTTCGGCTGGGTGCGGTGGCTCACACCTGTAATCCCAGCACTTTGGGAGGCTGAGGTGCACATATCACGAGGTCAAGAGATCGAGGTCATCCTGGCCAACATGGTGAAACCTCGTCTCTACTAAAAACACAAAAATTAGCTGGGTGTGGTGGCACGTGCCTGTAATCCCAGCTACTGGAGAGGCTGAGGCAGGAGAATCACTTGAACCTGGGAGGAGGCGGGGGTTGCAGTGAGCTGAGATCACGCCACTGTACTGCAGTCTGGTGACAGAGTGGGACTCTGTCTCAAAAAATAAATAAAAAATAAAAGCAGTGTTTCCTGCATGATGCCGGTGTATTTCACATCATATAAATAGACACATCATGCAATCTTATAAAACTCAGTGGTATTTACTGCTCCTCCCATCCCCCAATTACTCTTTGGCCTTTTTCCCATATTGTTCCTCAACAAGAATAGGCAAGGGAAATAAAAGGAGAATAAATTTAAATTTATAAATATTGCTGATTACTGGTCCAATCCAAGGTCCTATTGGATTGTGAGGTTTCCTACAACCTAATCAATATTCAAGGTTAGAGATTATCAGTAGATTTCAGATTTTTCCTATTCTACTTATTCTCAGTGATTGTGGATATTATGTATTGGATATGCAGTAGCTCAGTGCCATCTTTTCTCTGACTCTGATTGGCCTCCTCAACAGTTGCAGAAAGAATTTCCACAATAGCTCAGCCAAAGGAGAGCAGTGGGAATTCTGTAGGATTAGAGCTGGAATTTGGAACACTGGCACAGAGCTAGGAGGCTGCAGATGAACACTTAGGTTATTTGTTATATAAATGTTTCCAAAGCACAGCTAACTCTTGCCTATGTTTCCTTATCTCAAAAAAATCTCTTTCCTGTAGTGCTAATAAGTAGGAACTGGTAGAAATATCCCATTCATGTCACAGAGCAGTATCCATGGGGGGTCTGCTGGGAAGCATTCAGGCAGTCACGGAAGTGGGCACAGCTCACGTGCACAAGTGTAGAAGTCAGTTGCTAATTCAGGACTGTGGATTTGCTGTATAGTGCTCAACAGACCATCAGAAGATAGGCAGTCGGGAGACTGCCTTCTCCTTCTCCTGATATGTTTTATGCCTTCCTCCCTTTAACACATTTAAAGTAATGCCTATCACCTGAAAGAACTAAGTGTCAACTATTCTTACGGTTTTATAGCTTTAGTTGAATATGTCAAAATTAATGGAGAGAAAATAAGTGAGTCTATGTATCTCTGATTAAAGCATAATTATGATGCCTTTAGCCCAGTGTCCAGTCATGTTACATGTCATGCTGCAGAAATCATGGTCAGCATTATTCCATTTTCTCTATGTATATAAATATCTTATTATAAGAAATAAAGTAAGTGCACTTAACCCATTAATAGGTTATTCTAAATAAGAGAGGATTTTGAAGGGGTAGGGAAGGGTTAAAATTCAGAAGTGCATTAGGTATGTTGTTCTCTAAGGTAATAGACTTTATTATAGAAATCATGATTGAGCAAAACATTTGATTGGTATACCTAGAGAAGTTGAGAGAAAAACACAGTTGTTCTTCTAAAAGTAAGAAAAAAATTCAAAACTTGGAAATAGAGAAAAGGATGGCTACATATCTTTTCTATGTCACACTGGAGCAATGTCTAATAGACACACCTAAGGACTGCCTGATTCTCTAGGGATATTGTAGCTGCACCAGACCAGTCTGATTCAACTTTTACATAACAAAGTTATGAGATGTTTTTCAGTTGTCATGGACCCTCAGATCACGTGGCCTGAGCATGCCCAGAAGAACCAATCCTGCAATCACAGGGAGACCCTAAGTACCCCGACAGAAGAGCAGGAACTGAATTTAGAAGTGGACACCACATGGCAGGATCCAGGATCCAATCAGTAGAGTTTTGGTGTCACCCCATGACAGGATCCAGTCACATCATGCCTCCTGGCATCACCTCATTGCAAGATCCAATCAGATTATGCCTCATTACCCTATGCTTATAAAACCTGACCCAGCTCCCAGCTCAGAGAGGCACTGCTTTGGGAATTATCTCCTGTGTTCTCCTTACTTGTTACAAGTAACAAAATCCCTTTGCTAAATCTTTCTTGCCTGTGGTCATTGGGTTGATGCCCATCAAGTGATCAAATCCACCCATTACGTGGGTAACAATATGATATCTACCTTTGACCTTTTACGATTGATTTGTCAATATTAATTTGTGATAAACTTAGAGCATTGCAAATGATTCTTATAGCAATACAAAGGAATTTTGCCCGTAGAGACAGAAATGATTTCTGCCTGGTAAAAAGGATTACAACCCAAAGGTCTAAGTTTTATTGTCCTGTATGACATTAACCAATTTTGTGTGTAATTTAATAATTAATTCTAGAGTTACTTCTTTCAGTGACTACAAATACATCTGTTTCTCTCACATTTCTTTGAACCAGTTTTAGTATCCTACTGGGTCTCTCATTAATGAAATAAGCAGCTCTTTAGTGTATACTGACTTTGTTTTTGCATGAGTCATGTCTTTAACCTTGTGAAAATTATACTTCAATACTAATCGGCTTCTCAAAGCCCACAAACACAAGTCACAAATGGTCAACTGATAATGCTGATTAAAAGTCAGTTTTCTCAGTCAATGTAAGAAGCCAAAAAATGAGTTTCTGTGAAACAAAAATGTTGCCTGTTTTTCAACATGCTCAAAGCCCAGATGGGTTTAAAATTGCCTACAACTTGCCTAAGCTTTGAACTGAGACATTCTAAATTCACTATCAGAGGAAAAGATGGATGGGGTGGGAGTGGGAGGAGATGCATGGGAAGAGGAAACAAAGTGAAAAGACATTGTCCTGTCTAAGATGACTTTTCTAAGTTAGCCAGAATGCAAAAGGCCAGTTTGCTGACTAAGAGTTATGAACACAAACCCAGAAAGATGTGAGTGATGCTGTATTGTCTTAAATACTAGAGTCCTATTAATAATTCAAGTTTGAATAGAATGGAAAGAAACTTTTTATATTTAAAAGTGGGGAGAGGAGCAATCAATACTCCTTCCACCTTCAAGGGTCATGATGAAATTCATTATTTAGTGGCTCATTCTGGTCATGCAAGGCAAAGTTCCCTGGGCATGACCTGGGAAAAGAATATTAAAATGAAAAGAGATAAATTGGTCTGTGTAATAAAGTAAAAAGGATTGGAGAATTTTTCCTTAGCTTCTCTAAAGGGAGGATGTTTGGGGTCCCTGAGGGACTTAGAAAATGTGAGAGAAGAGCGATGTTTCCATTGGAAGAACGCCCTAAAACTACAGAGGAAGATCCTTCCATGGAGTGAATAATCTTGAGGAAAACTCATACTGAATATTTAATTTTGAATTTTTTCCTGCTGCTCCATAATTGCCCCAGTCCCTTCAGCCTTTCAGTAGAAATCTGTTACATTAGCAATGGTCTTGTGTAAATGGTAATTTGGGGAATAGAGTTCACACATGAGAAGTGGTGAGAAGAGGGGACAGCAGCCACAAAAGCTGAGATGGCCAGACCAAGATCTGCGTGGAAGCCAGGAGGACGAGTTCAGCCTGAGAGGGGACTGGAAAAAGTCACCCTTCTACCTCTCTACCCTACTCCCAAGAAACCTGAGAAATGGGGGAAGCATGCTGGATTCCCTACATTTATATGAAAGGGGAACTCAGTTCATTTTTCTTAATTAAAAGATCACAGGATTCTAGAGGACTTGGGGATCCAGGTTACATAAATAAATCTTTACAGTCTGAAGTGAGATAGTTATGAAAAGTAGATGGAAACCATCAAACCCAAACCTACGACTGTCTCAGTAATTTGCTAGTCTAGCATGTTCTTGCTAATTCAGAGCATGAGTAGTGCAGATTTTGAGGAGCTGATCTTTAAGAAAAAGAATACCAAATTACTGAGATAAAACGAGATGCAGCGGAGGATTCTTCAAGATGACTGACTAGAGGCACCAAACTACAATGCAAAATAAGAAGGAAGGGAAAGGATATAGAAAATAACCAGACAAAAATTAATAAAATGACAAGAGGAATAAGCTTTCACATATCCATAATAACCTTGAAAGTAAACAGATTAAACTTTCCATTTAAAAGATATAGACTGACCAAACAGATTAAAAAATAACAATAATAACGTGACCCAACTACATGCTGCCTACAAGTAACTCACCTCACCTGTAAAGATACATATAGACTAAAAGTAAATGTATGAAAAAAACATGCCATGCAAATGGAAACCAAAAGCAAACAGGAGTAGCTATACTTATGTCAGATAAAACAGATGTTAAGTCAAAAATAGTAGAAAGAGATGATGAATGTCATTATTCAGTGCTAAAGGGACCAATTCAACAAGAGTATATAAGAATTCTAAATATATATGCACTCAACACCAGAACACCCAGATATATAAAGCAAATATTAGTAGATCTAAAGGGACAGATAGACTCCAATATAATAATAGTTGGGGACTTCAACACCCCACTCTCAACATGAGACAGATAATCTAGACAGAAAATTAAAGAAACATTGGATTTAACCTGCACTTAAACCAAATAGACCTAACAGATATTTATAGAACATTTCATCCAATAGCTGCAGAATACGCATTCTTCTCACCAACACATGAAACATTTTCCATGATAAACCATATGTTGGGACACAAAACAAATCTCAACAGATTTTTAAAAATTGAAATATCAAGTATCTTCTCAGATCACAATGGAATAAAACTAGAAAAAAATCAATAACAAGAGGAGCTGTGGAAACCATACAAATACATGGATATTAAACAACAAGCTCCAGAATCACCACTGGATCAAGAAAGAAATTAAGGAGAAAATAAAAAAATTCTTGAAACAAATGAAGATCAAAACACAACATAACTGAACCTGAGGGATACAACAAAAGCAATGCTAAGAGTGAAGTTTATAGCAATAAACCCCTATATTAAAAATAGATTTCAAATAAACCATCAAACAATACACCTCAACAAACTAGAAAAGTGAGAACAAGCCAAATTCAAAATTAGTGGAAAGAAATAATAAAGACCAGAGCAGAACTAAACAAAAAAGAGACTAAAATAATAATACAAAGGATCAATGAAACATTGTTTTTTTGAAAAAAATAAAATTCACAAGTAGCTAAACAAACTAAGAGAAAAAAGATAAAATCCACATAAATGAAATTAGAAATGAAAAAGGAAACATTACAACTGATACCAAAGACACACAAAAGATCATCAGAGATTATTATGAACAACTGTACACTAATAAACTGGAAACCCTACAGAAAAATGGATACATTCCTGGACATATACAGTCTACTAAAATTCAGGAAGAAATAGAAAACTTGAAGAGGCCAGTAATGAGTATGAGATTGAATGAGTGATAAAATGTCTGCAAACAAAGAAAAGCCCAGGATTGGATGGCTTTACTGCCTAATTCTACCAAACTTACAAAAAAGACCTAACACCAATTCTCCTGGAAGTATTTCAAAAAAATGAAAAGGTTTTCTCCCTAACTTATTCTACAAGATCATCATTACCCTGATACCAAATCAGTCAAGGATGCAACAACAACAACAACAACAACAAAAACTATGGGTCAATATCCCTGATAAGTATAGATGCAAAAATTCCCTCAACAAAATACTAGTAAACGATCCAACAGCATATCAAAAATAAATACACTATAATCAAGTGGGATTTTTTCCAGAGATACAAGGATGGCTCAACATATGCAAATCAATAAACATGATACATCCTATCAACAGAATGCAGGATAAAAACCATATGATCCTCTCAATAGACACAGGAAAAGCATTTGATAAATTTCAACATCCTTCCATGATAAAAACTCATAACCAAGCGTAGAAAGAACATATCTCAATGTAATAAAAGACATTTGAGACAAACCGACAGCTAAATCATACCGCATGAGGAAAAGCTGAAAGCCTTTCATCTAAGAACTGAAACAAGACAAGGATGCCCAGTTTTATCCCTCCTGTTCAACATAGTACTGAACGTCCTAGCCAGAGCAATCAAGCAAGAGAAAGAAATAAAAGGCATTCGAATTGGAAAAGGGGAGGTCAAAGTGTTCTTCTTTGCTGTTGATATACTCTTACATCTAGAAAACCTAATGACGCTACCAGAAACTCTTAGATCTGATAAATAAATTCTGTAAATTTGCGGGATACAAAAGCAACCTACTAAAATCAGTAGCATGTCTATACACCAATAAAAAACTAGCTGAAAAAGCAATCAAGAAGTCAATCCCATTTACAATAACTACAATAAAGAAAATACATAGAAGTAAATTTAATTAACAAGGTGAAAGACTTCAGCATTGGGAAAACCACAAAACACTGGTGAAAGAAATTGAAGAGGACACAGACAAATGGAAAGACATTCCATGCTCATGGATCAGAAGAAGTGATCTTAAAATGACCACACTACCCAAAGCAGTCTACAGATTCAATGCTATTCAAATCAAAATACCAATGTCATTTTTCACAGAAATAGGGAAAAGAATCCTAAAATTCATATGGAACCAATAAAGAGTCTGAATAACAAAAACAATCTTGAGCAAGTAGAACAAAGCTGGAGGCATCCAACAACCTGACTTTAAAATATATTAGAAAGCTATAGTAATGCAAACAGCAGGGTATTGGTATAAAAACAGACACATAGTTCAATGGAACAGAATAGAGACCCCAGAAATAAACCCACAAATTTATAGTCAACTGATTTTTGACAAAAGCACCAAGACCATGGACTGGGGAAAGGACAGTCTCATCAATAAATGGTGCTGGGGAAATTGGATAGCCATATACAGAAAAACGAAACTGGACCCCTATCTTTCATCATACACAAAAATCAATTCAAGATGGATTAAAGACTTAAATGTAAGATCCCAAATGATAAAACTTCCAGTAGAAAACAGCAGACCCACTTTAGGACATTGGTCTAGACAGAGATTTTATAGCTAAGATCTCAAAAACACAAGCAACAAAAGCAAATTTAACCAAGGTGGAATGGGGTCACTGCAAGTGGGACTTGCTTAGGCACTTGGCAGCAATGGCTGCCCATGGGGGACTCTGTCCTCAGGGAACTTGCAAATGTGTGACAGCCCCCCTGCCAGGGGTGCTGAGGTTGCTATCAGTGGCTTTCACTTTAGCCCCCATTGCAGCAGCCAGCAACAGCAGCTGCTGCAGGCACAGGGTGTCAATGGAACTCCAGGGATGGGGAGGTGCAAGCCTCTTTGGCCCCAGGGCAGGATGTAGTCTGGTGAGGGCTGGGCTCTCAAAATGGCACCATGTATTTTTTGCTTAGGTCTTGGGTGGTGTGTGGGAGCCAGCGTGAGCTACCTTGCTGGACCAATGCCATAGCCCCGTCTGCAGGCAGCTAGCTCCCTGTGTTAGTGTCAGGATCCGTGAGGATGGAGTGGGGCTCTTCTTTGTCTAGGATTGCAGGAGTTGGCAGTAGTGAGGTGGACCACTGAGGATCTCTTCTACCCTTTCCTCACAGTAGGTTCCTCACTCTTGGGCTCCTAGCTGATCCTAGCAGAGCAGACTGCCTCCCTTCCCTCTCCTTCCTTGCCTTAGGTGTGTCCTGTCACTTCTCTGTTGAATTCCAAGGTTCTCTCTCAGATGCTCTATTGAGAGAGTAATTACTTACTTGCCGTTTTATTTCTTCTTTGTGGAGGAAGCCAGTGCTTGGTGCCTCCAGTCAGCCACTGAAGCCCCTTCTCTCGTATCTAGTGTTTATCATAGCTCATTGAGTTTCTTTAATATCAATATTTGGAATTCTTTTTCAAGGATTTCATAGATTTCCTTCTCTGTAAGATCTGCTGCTAGAGAATTATTGTGTTCCTTTGGAGGTGTCATGTTTCCTTGCTTTTTCATGCTTCTTGTTTCCTTAGGGTGATATCTTCACATCTGGTGTGACAGCACTGCTCCCAGTTTTACGGATAGGCTTTCACAGGGAAAGAGCTTTCTACAAGGTTGGTCAGCCAGGGTGCTTTGGCTTTGATTCTGGGTGGGTGCAATACTATAGTCTCTGTATGATTTCTTTGGCTATAATCCGCCTCAGTGACTTCTGTGATTTTCTCAGTGGTTTAGGCTGCAGTGGAGCCTGAGGCAAAGCTTTGCTGGGGATGGGGATGACATGTGGGCCAGTCTTTAGGAACCAGTGGTGGCAGTGGCAGGCCTGGTGTGCCAGTCCTTGGAGGCCTGGGAGGTGTATGCTGGCACTGGCAGTGGCAGGTCCAGGCAGGCACATCCTTGTGCCTCCAGGCGGCTTGCTTAGGTGCAGGCAATTGCAGTGGTGGGCTGGGAAGGTGTGTTCTCAGGCGCCTGGGAGATGTGCATATGGCGTCAGCAGTGGCAGTAGCAGTGGGGGGCCAACCTTCAGGCCCCTGGGTCACTCACATGGGTGCCAGCAGTGGTGGCAGCAGGCTGAGCAGACCAGTCACCAGGTCCCCGGATGGGAGCTGGCAGCGGCAGCAGCAGGCTGGGTGAGCATGGTCCAGGGGTGCAGCAGCGGGTAGGATGGGCCTGTCCCTGGACAGTGTGTGCAAGCTCCAGTAGCGGCAGCAGGTGAGCCTATCCCCAGGACCCCAGATGGCATGTGCATGGGAGCTGGTGGTAGTAGCTGGGGCGGGCCAATCCCCAGGCATCCTGACAGCTTGTGCAGAAGTGTGGTGGCTCTGCTCCTGGAGGGGCTAGGGTTGGTGTCAGTACCGCAGCCTAGGGCAGGAGGCTCTCAGGCTCTGGGGGGCACACATTTTGGCTCCCTTGGTCCCAGGGGCAGCCTCCGTGGTGCACTGCACCTGTTCTCTGGGGGGTAGGACACTGTGTTGACCAGACTGCTGGGTACAGAGCTGTGCCACTGGGACTCACCACAGTTGCAGTACTGTAGCTCTCAGGTGGACATGAGAGATCCCAGTGTGGCGCTGGGAATATGGAGATGCAGGGGCTGTGAGCAGCCAGGACAGGATGGAGTCTGGTGAGGGCTGCGCTCTCAAAATATTATTGTGCTGCAACTGCTTGGGTAGGGGAGGGGGATTGGGACCCAGCACAAAATCCCCCCGCAGAACAATGCCGTTATGTGGCCTCCAAGCAGCTCCCATACTAGTCTCAGGGCCCACAGGGGCCTAAGGGCTTTCCCATAGCCAGGATTGCAGAGTTCACTGTGGGAATGTGGACCACTTTGGATCTCTCACTTATCTTTCGCCTGCCATTGGGAATTTCTCTTGGCTTCAGGATGCTTCGCTCCCCTCTCCTTACAAGCCTCAGAAGTGCTCTGTCACTCTCTTGCTCAATTCTGGGGTTCTCTCTTGAAGTTCTGTTCGAGGTATGGTTATCTTCTTGCTGTTTTGGTCCTTCTTGGTGGAGGGTCTGGTGCCTGGTACCTCTAGCCCGCCATGTTCCCATCACTTATCCTCCCCAGCTTTTAAAACAGTTTGGAGGGTTTAGTGGTAATCCTTTTGTTTTTGCTGTCTGGCCTGGAATCCATTAGCTTGGGTGGTCCTGAATCTATATTGTTAAAAATCTATATGTATCCTTTTCCTTGCATCAATAACAGATTTTAGAAGTTTTTTTCTTTATTTCGTTTTTTTCATTTTTAGTTAGAAAAGGATATGGTGCTAGCAGCAGGATAGAAAGAGATAAAAGGCATTCACACAGCTTTTTAGGAATAAATGCCTGGAAACTCTCCAGATTTATCAATTGCATGGTTCCATTTTTATGAGAGTATTTTTAAAATTCTTTTATCATATAGGAAAGTATTTGATGTTATATGTTTTCCAAGGCACTTTTAGACACCTGATCTCATAAGATCTTTATAAGGAGCTTATTATTATGCAGAGTGTGTATTATTTTCTCTTACTTTCTTCCTTCTCTTTGCCCACCCACCCACCACAGTCTCCTGCCCTGAAATTTAATGATGATAACACTGAAATAAAGCATAGCCAGAGAAATCCCTAAACTGGCACAGCAGGCCAGTGGGGGAGCTCAGATTGGATCTCTGGCTTCCTAACTCTTAGTCCAGTGGTCTTTTTCTTTGGAACTGTAAATAAATTCTTCCACCAATGTCCATGTCATTATTCTTTGCTCTCTATTTGCCATGATCTATAGTTTTGGTGGCTCAAAATACATTATCTTCCTGGGACTGGCTCTACCAAGAGCCAAGGACATTTGTGTTGGAGCTAGCAAGGGCCACAGTTAAATGGGTGAATGAACAGGCTGGATGGAAGGACTGTGGTGGAGGATGGAGATGCCAACCTTTCTCAGAACATGAGAAAGGTCTTCCTGTGTCCAGAGTTCTGTCCATTGCACTCACACACTCTTTCCTGGCTCTCCTCTTTTCTTCTCTGGCTACTTCTGTTTTGTTTGCCGCCATCCTTCTCCACCAGGCACCTAGTGTGAGTTCCCCAAGGCTAGTCTTAGTCCCCATTTCTTTCCCTATACTCTCTTCATATGTGGATTCAACCAGGCCTTTTCTTTTCAAATGTCATCTACATGCCAATGGCTCCCAAATCAATTTCCACTCCAGACCTCTCTGTGCTCTGTCCCTTCAATGTAATTATGGACTTAATATTTCTACTAGGATGTCTCAAATTCTCAGAATGTTTCAGATAGAACTTAGGATCTTCCCTCCTCCCCCAAATTGGTTTTCCTCCAGAATTTCCTTTCTACCACACCCCATTGCACAAGTCAGTAATCCTTGGAGCTCCTCTCTCCCTCACACTCTATAGTCTGTATATAATCATGTGCTCCCATCGGGTGACTTTGACAACTTCCCACTCCATTAGCCCACCCCCTAGTCTAAGCTACCACCATCTCTCACCTGGACTGCAACAGCTTCCCACCTGTTCTACCCAAATCCACTCTCGTCCCTCTCCTACTCATTCTTTACACCAAAGTCTATGTTGTGCATCACTGTTCAACCCCCTGACTCCCTGTGCTGAGGCCGCACTGGTCTTTTAGTTCCCTGTAGCAAGACATGTTCCCATGCCTCCTCTCCACCCCCTCCCTACCCCACAACCACCATCGTCACAGGGCCTTTACTCATGGTCTACTGTATGCCCAGAGACTCCCCACCTCCAATCCACACACATACACAGCCATCTAGTTACCTCCTACTCATCCTTCAGACCTACATCACTTTCCCAGACCCAGGTCATGTTCCTTCATTAGAAACTTGTCTCCAGTCATGTTCTGGACATGTGTATCTCAGATTTGTAATTACACTCCTTCACTCACTTAACAGCTCTTTACTAAGCACCTACTTTGTGCCAGGTACTGTCCTAGGCAACTGAATAATTAGTCAAGCAATTGAAAAATAAATGCTTGAGTATTTTCTGTTACTCTCAAGTACTAGGAAACTGAAAAAATACAATATAATTACCACAGGTAATTACATTCTATGAATAATTAATTACAAGTTCATTTCTTTATTTATCTTTTTAATATCATTCCCACTCTAGGCCCTATGTTCAATGAGAGCTGGAACTGTGTATATTCTGGTCGACAAGTATCATCAGCTCTCAGTGTAGTGCTAATGCCTAGCAGGTACTAAAACATTTGGGAAATTAATGAATATTTACATTTGTAAATTAACAAGTGAATGAATAAATATAATTTGAATATTATAACCTGGCTTACATTGAACTTGTGATATTTTAATGTTTAATAAATATTGTGATATACAATTCGAAAACAATTTCATGTGTAGGCGGCAAGACAACCTTTCCCCAACTTGCCCATTAACCTGTAAAAGATGTGAATAGTTACTCCCTTCTCCCCTCACTTTTGAGAAGTGGTTTCCGAAGAGCTAGCTGAACTTTGCTGCCATCTTTTGACCAAAGTTAATACTGCAGAGATAAAAGCTACATTCCGTAGAAATTCTCATTACAGCCTCTGAGTATCAATGAGTTCTAGCTTTGTGTAAAAATGCAAGAACGTGTTGCCACTTAAGAGGAAATACATGGCCACACTCGGTGCCTACTTCTATTATATGTTTCTTTCTTTATTTGCATAGCTATCTTCTATCCACTCTTTCTTCTGTATCCCAGCACCATGGTAAAGCTTAATAAATATTTTTTTATGTGAATATTCTAAGCGAACAGTAAGTGAACAACAATTTAATATCAGGACGTGCAGTGTACAGACACCAAATAGACATTAGTTATTATTATTAACATTATCATTATTAAGACCCTTCCCCTGCAAAGTAGATGACTTCAGGAAGACTCTAAGTTCCTACTTGCTTGTGGACACCTACCCCAAACTTTGTCTCTCTCTCTCCTCTCTTCTTTCCTCTCACCCTCCCCTTCCCTGGAAGGCCCATGAAAATTACTTTTCATTGCTATCTTAATCCCTTAAAATATATAAATACAGGCCGGGAATGGTGGCTAATGCCTGTAATCCCAGCACTTTGGAAGGCCAAAGCGGGCAGATCACTTGAGGCCAGGAGTTCAGGACCAGCTTGGCTAACATGGCAAAAGCACGCTAATAGTTGTCTACAAAAAAATACAAAAATTAGCCAGACGTGGTGGCGCATCTCTGTAATCCCAGCTACTTGAGAGGATGAGGTGGAAGGATTACCTGAGCCCAGGAGGTGGAGATGGAGGTTGCAGTGAGCCGAGATCACACTGCTGCACTCCAGCCTGGGCAACAAAGTAAGACTCTGTCTCAAAAAAGAAAAAAAAAAAAAAAAAAATATATATATATATATATATACACACACATATATATATATGTATATATATACACATACATATATATGTATATATATACACATATATGTGTATATATATACATATATATGTATATATGTATATATATACATATATATGTATATATATGTATATATATACATATATGTGTGTATATATATATATACACACACATATACACACATACATACATATCTTTATATTTTGGTTCTCCATTAAAATTATAAGGCCCTAGTTGCAAAAAAATTGTATTTCAATCTTAGGATCTCCCACAGTACTCAATAAATGCTTATGGACTGCATTGAAGGTCATTTTCTGAAATGAAAGATTTAAAGAGATTTTATTTTGCTCTAACATATTTTGTGTTAAGGCTATACTGGGAAAATTATGACAGGTTCTCAGAAAGCTAGCATCGTTTTAAACTAAATATTTCAAATGATATTCATTTGGAAAATTTACAAAATTGAAAATATGACCTCTTTGAAATAGCTGTAATGCCAGGGAGTCTTTGTATATTGTAAGCTAGATAATAGAATATAACAACCAAGAATCGTGGCAATGTTAACTTCTTTAAACAAAGGAAGCCAGAGAGATGAAAAATTTGGATTGTCCCATGAGAAGTCTGATAGGTATTTGAGCAATACATAGACCTGTTTAAAAGAACAGATATACCTTGGAGTCCTTGAGGGGCGTCTGTAGCAGAATCTGGTTTCAGGAAAGTGAAATTGTTGGATAACTCATGAAAACAAAAACCATGAAACAAAGAGGTTCATCATCTGTTTGAAGAAACAGAGGTTCATCATCAGTTTGAAATTAGCCCTTTCAGCATAATGGGGAAATGCTGCAGCTGAAAGAGAAACCCTTTCATTCCACACACATGCCTGGTATATATTAGGTTGTCAGCAAATACCTATTGAATTGAAGAGGACTTTGATTAGCCACGTTCTTACCTTTCTTTACAATTCACTACAGTTCAGCTCCTGGTGATTTAATAATTCTAAATGCCCAAATTTAAACATCCAGTTTTAAACAATTGGTTCTGGATGGGCATGTCAAGGAAAATGATGTTTTGTAGTTTGCTCTGCCATGTATGACTGAGAAAACTAAACAAAGCAGTTGAACAGCTATGTGGATGATGTTATATTTAGAAGCTATATTGCATGTACTTTTTACTAATTTTACTAAAAATATTGCTCATTTTCATTTTCACACAGAAGCATATTGAGGATCGGATGCTATCTTTGGTCCTCAGTGTGGGGTAGCCTTGCTCACCAGAGATAGAACAATTTTGTTTTAGGGAAAATTTTCCAGTCCCACTGAACACATATTCAAAGCAGTGAGCTACACCACCTCTGTGTTTTTCCTGGCTCTTGCATGAAATAAAATACCTGCTCACAATTTCCTGTGCTGACAGATTAGGGATAAAATGTCTGAGCTCAAGGAGAAATGGGAAAACCTGCTGGATTGGATTGGTCATTTGGGAAGACTAACATAGGATACAAGGCACCCGCTTAAAACATCACCTGGCTATTTTAAAACCTTTCTGCAGGTCAATGAGCTAAATGGGAGTTCTATGTAGAGGATAAGAAACTATTCATTTCTCTCAGGCTTAGCTTTTCAGAAAAGCCCTCAAAAAAAAAAAAAAAAAAAAAAAAGTCCCTCTACTTCGAGTGCACTAAATCCTCTTGGTGACTTTGGTGAAAGAGACATGAAAGAGCTGATGAAGGCAAATGTGTTTCAGATGGAAAATAATAGCTCTTGGAAAGCAATGCCTGGTGAACATCTGGTGTCCCTTTATTCTGAATGAACATCTGTCACCCTTGGTTAATAGTTTACACCTGTTGACCCAATCAACATCCCTACTACAACCAAAGGTGAAAATACTGATGTTGAGGTCCCACCCCCTAGAGATCCTGATGGAATTTCTTGAGTTTGGCCTAAACTTTGGGATCTTTAACACTCCCTGGATAATTTTAATACGCAGCCAAGATTGAGAACCACTCTGTAAACAGGAGACTTTAATTGGATTTGGGAATATGACTTATTAATGCAAAAATTAAACTAGAGATATGAATTGTTTACAGACTTTTATCATGTGTTTAAAATATTTTAAGTGGTTCTGTTTACATTAAATTTATATCATTTTGATAGTTTTAGACAACTTTGTATTGGATTCATTGAGTCCCTGTCAATATTATAATTCATTGTTTCAGTTATAGGCACTATTAGCAAACAGAAAAATAAAAGTTATAAGTCTACATATTGCTTAAACGTCTATGCATGCAATCCTTCCTTGTGGGGCAACCTTATGATGAATTATTATGGTTACAGACAACCTGGAGTGATTGTTTAGTGTTTCATTACTTTTTTATTTTAAAATGATCTCATATAGTCGCGTTTTGTTTTTTTATCATTGGATAAATATAACTGGGTGACTAGGTGTGGATCTTTGTATAGCAAAGTGACAATTTAACTTGTAATGATAGAAATAGGATTCTAGAAAATCTGTTAAGAAGTCTGCTGGTCAAACATTATCTGAATTCAAAAGTGACTGAACCATGGAGCCAATAAACTATCCTCATGTTGGCAATACCGTGTCCTGTATCTTCAACCGTCTTTATGACTTTGGTTTAATGACTATTAAGGCATGACCACAAACCAAAGAGGAAAAAAATAACGCTGAACTCTAGTCCTAACCCAATGCAAACACATAGATCTATAACTACTCCCCCCACCCACCCATGTATCTACTCGAAAGGAAAACTCAAAAAACTATGAAAACTGTGCCTATTTGAAACCCTTTATTGGTTGTCGCTTTGTTTCATGGTGGCAGATGGGTCAAGTGGTCAACTTAAGATGCACTTTAAGATTACATTCTTCAAAATAAGCAGAAGCCAAAAAAATTTTTTTAACCTGGTGGTTTAGTAAAAACAGAGTTCACTTTATCCTTTTATTTATTCATTCATCCAAGTAGCTGCTGTGTGATAAACAAGTATGCATATCCCTCAGAGGTAGCTAAGAGAAAACCTCCAAGCCAAGAAGCTTAGTCAGGAAAGCCA
The DNA here is from genome assembly GCF_000001405.40 of Homo sapiens. NCBI lineage: Eukaryota > Metazoa > Chordata > Mammalia > Primates > Hominidae > Homo > Homo sapiens. The sequence continues at coordinate 56,478,562 of NC_000014.9, forward strand.
GTGTTCTATCACATCTGGCCTCAAAACATTTAAAATGTCTTCATTATAAAATTGAGTATACATTTTTAAAAATCTTTAATTTTATTTATTTATTTATTTGAGGCAAGTTCTTGTTCTGTTACCCAGGCTGGAGTGTAGTGGTGTGATCATAGTTCACTTCAGCTTTGACCTCCTGGGCTCAAGCAATCCTCCTGCCTTGGCCTCCCAAGTAGCTGGGAGTACAGGCATGCACCACCATGCCTGGCTAATTTGTTATTTTTTGTAGCAATGGAGGGGGGTCTTGCCATGTTGCCTAGGCTAGACTTGAACTTCTGGCCCCAAGTCATCCTTCTTCTTTGGCCTCCCAAAGTGCTGGGATTATAGGTGTAAGTCACAATGCCTGGCCTAAAAATCTTTAAATATTTTCCACTGGCTTATTTTTACATTCGTAAGTGATATTTTCACCATAAGTCATACAGTTTCTGGGCCTCAGTTCCTCACTTGTGAAGTAATCAATCAGAGCACAAAGGCTAAGCTGCCATCAAGAGACTTAAAATCACAGTGACTTCAATGGGTAGGATGAGAGAGAGCTTAATTTCCCTTCCATGTCCCAGGCTGATCTGGCATTCTGGGATAGTTGGGCTGCTCTGTTACAGAAGGTCATCTATTGACCTGGGATGGCTAGTAGCTCTGTTATTCTCAGTGTGTGACTTCTATCTCTGAGCCCAAGGTATCTACTGTAGCTGTTGCTGCTTCCCAGCCATCAGAAAAAGGAAAGCTTGTGAAAAGCTGCTACTTTGCTGAGGAACTGACTGGAAGTTGAATGTGTCTCTTGTGCTCATATCTCATTGATTCAAATTTAATAGCATGGCGATTCTTAGCTGTAAAGGAGCTAGGGAAATGCACTGTCTTGTTGTGTGGTGTGCTCAGATAAACCTTGGAGAGTTCTATTACTACAGGGCAGAAGGGGAGAATGAATAGTGGGAGATGTTTACTAATCTCTGCCATTTGAAGGGTTGTGACTACATGATTTTTAGTATTGCATTCAGCAGTTAAATCCTGCAAATTCATGATTTTGCATGATTTTGACCAGTCTGCTCTTTAATTTTAAACCCAAAGAGTGTGTGTGTGCATGTGTGTGTGTGTGTGTGTGTGTGTGTGTGTGTGTGTGTGTTGGGCAACAGATGGAGAGTAGGGCAAACAGATGCACTATATTTCTTAATCGTCAATTAACCCAGTGCTTCTCAAACATTAATGTTCGTATAAATCACATGGAGAACGTGTTAAAATGTAGATTCTGATTCAATAAGTCTGGAGTGTGCCATGAGGTTCTGCATTTCTTACAAGCTCCTCTGATGAAGCTGATGTCGATTCTGCTGGTCCGCAGTTAACATTTAGCAAGGAGCTAACCCATCCTGATGAGAAGGCCAGTGCTAGGTGAGGCCTTTTTGGAGAAATAGACAATATAGTAAAATCTCTACTCTCTCACACTGTGCCTTTGATGAAAGTAGACAAGGGATCATCTGGGTCAGCAAAAAGCCATCATACTTTTAATTTAAAAAATGGCAACCCAAATGTTAATTTCCCACGTATTGTGAAACTTGGGAAAGATGGTGTACAATGGGCTTGTGATACTTTCTGATGCTAACTCATGTAAATTCTCAACACATGATCTACCATCTAAAAGTAAAAGTAGATCATGGAATGTTTACATGGCATTTGTTTGGACTTTGGAAGCTTTTGCCTCCATTCCTGTATGGTTTTTTTTTTTTTTTTTTTTTTTTTTGCTAATTGTTTGATTTAAAAGTGAAATCTACCATCACATCCACATAAAGAGTTAATCTCTGTTGGACATCCAAGTAAATATGACAAGCAAAAGGCCATTTAGAGTCAGGAAAGTATTTCCTTCCCTCAAAGACTTTCCTACATATTTCAACTCAACTGGACATTATTAATATCAGTAGACACATATTGAACCATACTTACCTGCCACTTATTCATTTTATAGGATAAGACAATATTTTTCTTGATATAAATTGTTACTTGTCTAATTTAGGAAGTGTTTTCACACTTTGTGTGTGATGAGACATAACACATCGAAAGAGAAAATCGTGAAGATCTTTCTGACATCTTACCATATGACATCTTCTGTCCATTTCTGGACTACAGCATCCTGTCCATTCCCTGGACTTCACACTTGAAAAGGAGCACAGTGAATTTTGAAGCAATTAGCTATTACATTGGAGGAGTCCTGATAGAGTCATTGCCTTTTGGCAAATGACTGGAGTTCAATTTTCCCATTTAAAAATAATGGAGGTATATTCTGACATGTCAATTTCCCAAGCTCTTTGGGGTAGGTCTTCCTGACCCCTTCCCCCAGAGAGTGAATAGCCCTGTGTCTAATCAACAGTTTAGGAGCATTGTCTCATGGTGAAGAGGTCAGATTTGGGGAAAGAACAAAAAAGAGAGTCGTATCAATTCTTATAATGAATATAAAAACATAGGTTCCCCTCCAATTACCATGGAGTTACATCCTGATAAACCCATCATAATTTGAAAATATGGCAAGTCAAAAATGCATTTGATACACCTTAACCTACTGCACATCATAGCTTAGGCTCACCCACCTTAAATATGTTCAGAAGACTTATATTAGCCTACAGTTGGACAAAATCATGTAACACAAATCCTATTTTATAAGAAAGTGCTATGTATCCCATGTAATGTATTGATTTCTGTACTGAAGTATGGTTTCTACTGAATGTGGGTCACTTTCACACAATCATATCGTGAAAAATCTTAAACCCTCCTAAGTCGGGGACAGTCTGTAGATGACAGTATTTGTCTTTGGGTGGAAGATTGTGAGGCATTTAGTTTAAATTTTCTGTTTCCAAATTTTAAGTATTAATATATACTACTTTTATAATCAAAGTGCAATTTAAAATAAAATATATTAGTGAATTCATTAGAAAGAAGAAAGGAAGGAAGGGAGGGATGGAGGAAGGAAGGAAAGAAGGATGAAAGATGAAAGAAAAAAAGGCTCGGAGTGGATGACCTCTACTGTTTCTCCCTGGTTTTAAAATTAATCTTAGATTAGCTATGAATTCTATGACTAGCCTGAGAATAGACAAGATGGTCATTATGGAGAATTTTAAACCTAGTTTCCAAAGTTTTATGCCAAAAAAAAATCTGAATTTAGAGAAAGAGTGCTATTTCCTCAGAGCCAAGAACATTAATCACCAAAATGCTTGGCTGGCACAGGGCTGGAGCCTGCCTACTGGCACTCATTGTGGTCTTGGTATGTCATCTGACTATAGCCCTAAAACAAAATAAAAATGAAAGAATATGCTAATAATAATAATAATTATTATTATTATTATTATAAAAACGCTGCACGGGGAAGTTTATGATCTGTTCTACTGCTTTTTCATTTGTTTTCTTAGGAATGTCTATGTCATGGTTATACCGTGAGTAATATCAACCTTGCAGAGTGCACTTTTTGGCTCTCTATTCTCCTCTGTCAATAGCATCAATTCCAAGATTGGTCACCTTCATTCATGTTAGGATTTCTGTTCCCAAGGACTCAGAAGAGGAATATAACCTTCACTTCCCCTGGCCCAACTTGAGGGGTGGGGAGCAAATAGGACCACAGCTACTGATTATAATACATATTGATTCCATCTACCTTCTCACTTCCATTAAGATCGCTAGGTCTCCAAATGGCAACCCCTTCCCACATTTTGTTCTGTTCCCTTGCAGACAGCCAGGATGTCATCGGCTTGCTTAGTGACCAGTTAAAGATTTCTGGTTATTGCTGTGTCCGTAGTCACTCTCCACTGGCTTCTGCCATGGCTGTTGCAGAGCCACTCCTTTGAACACCCAGGAGTGTCATTCACAAAGAATATAAAGAAATGGTGCCCTCTGCAGTTGCGTAACAAAACAACACCAGCTCCCCTCATGCTTGTAGGCCCTCTCTCTACCTGGAGCCTGCTCTGAACTTTCTGGGCACCCTGCAGCTTTCCCTACTCTCAAGGAAATAAGAGAGGTATCCTTACCCCTCTTTGTGGGTAGCTCCTGAGGAGTACCTGAGTTTGTGCTTCGCAGTCTCATCTGCAGAGGAATTGGGGTGGAGCTCCTAGGGATAGACCCGTGGGCATTTTGAATGGCTCCACCTGCTTTTATTCAGAGGCATTCCTCTCTGCTGTCAGTGTCACAGGACCCTAAGCAGGATCTGGGAAGCTGTCCTCCAGGAAAATGACTTGCCCTTTCCCTTTCTAGTTACATGAGCCAGCACATTTTGTATCTTGCCTAAGCTGCCTTTAGTTGAAATTTTTATAATGTGTAATCCAAACATCTTGACTAATACCTTACTAATACTGCACTTTTTCCTCCCTTTCTTATTCCCTCCCTCTCTCCCCTTTTAAAAAACTGTTTAGAGATATTTGCTTTATTATCTCTGAGAAAGTAGTCAACTTTCTCTGAAAATCAGTGATTTTCAGATCAGAGTTAATTAATCCCATGTTTAACATACATAGAGGTGGAAAATGCTTAGTATAGTGCCAGGTATATGATAAGCACTATCTAAGTGTTTGCTCTTATTATTATTGTCAGTAGTCATAGTTCTAGCAGTAGCAAGAAGAAGTCCAACAGTACATGGTGGCATACTGTGAGGGTACCACAAAACCCTTCCAGATTATTAGGGCTTGGTTATGGATTGCCCAAGAGAAACATATAGAATGGTAGGTATGAACCAAGCCATCGTTTCCTATTGCCTCGTTCTTGATCTCATACTTTAGAAATAAGTTCAACCCATGACCCACTTTTGCAGCCTGGTGTGTTTAGTAGTAGATGCTCTCCTCGCCTGCAAAGCCAGTTAGTCCATCATGTCCCTGTCATGACTTTGTATCACAATTGCTTCAATTATCCATTCTAATTTTCGGTCACATTATTACTTCGGGAGGGATATGAACGTAAAAAGACTACTTTGTGTTATATTTCTTGGCTCACTCCTGCCATCTTCATTTTATAGGATGTATTATCTTATTGCTGATATATCAATTGATGGTCAGAATTATTGAAAGTTTGTATTTCCAGTTCGTTAATCCTAAAAATTCAAAGCCTCAGATTCTCATAAACTCATAAATTTAAAGCCTCAGATTCAGGATGGATGAAGTTTAAACCAGAAAATGAAGTGTCAATACCAGTCAATAGAACCTGAAACTACCTGGTGCTGTAGGTAAAAGTTCAACACAGTCATTCTGCCAGTATATAATGGCCCATACCCCTTTGGGCTCTGTCCCTTTAACAAAGGTAGATTTGTCTTTTGATATTGTTCTAGCTGAGAAATCCTGACAGACATAGGCATTTTTCGATGGAGTCAAACATCGTGTATCATGATTGAACCCAGTGTTTCATAGCTTGTGGTCTCCAGGATCCACTCCTCTTGTAGACCCCAGTTACCACCTTTAAAATCTCACCAACAGATAGATAGAGCTACCTCGATGTTTCTGTTACCACCGCCTTTCTCATCTACATATAACAAACAGGTGTCAACATGAACAATTCATATTTTAAGTCAGAAAGCCTATAGCTGTTTCATAAATCTCGCCCCTACATTGAGGTATTTTTAGCACTTGCCAAACAAATAGAGGTGCTTTTGTGTTGGAAAGTATAGAGTCAACCAGAAGACTTTCTACTTAGCCCATGGGCTGAGAGGACAGTCACAGACTTCCAAAACCCTCCTCAGCTAATTGAGCACTGTGCTTAGTAAACTAAACTTGGCCTTGGCCATGCTCTCTTGGATTCATATTCTCATATATTCACAAATCCCTACTGCCAGAAGCAAACCTGATGGTGAGGACAGTTTTGGCTCCAGGGCTGCAGCTGCCAGCTATGGATCCCATGGCCCACTATGAGCTCACTTCCTTTTGTATATTCTTTTTCGTGTTTTTTTTTTTTTTGAGATGGAGTCTTGCTCTGTCGCCCAGGCTGGAGTGGCAGTGGTGCGATCTCAGCTCACTGCAAGCTCCACCTCCTGGGTTCATGCCATTCTCCTGCCTCAGCCTCCCGAGTAGCTGGGACTACAGGCGCCCGCCACCACTCCCGGCTAATTTCTTTTAGTATTTCTATAATATTTCTATCTATATAAATATCTATAATATTTCTATAATAATTCTAATATTCTTTAATATACCTTTTCTATCTTATCACTAACCTTTTTTGAGCTGCTCCTCCAGTATCTAAAACATCTGACAAATGTTACCAAGGACAGTTTTGGAATTTCTAGTCTTATAATTATTTAACGTTCTTTTATAGGAACATGGCATCTTAACCAACAATCACAAGCAGAAAATGCTTTCAAAAGTGGAATGACAGGCAGCTGCATTAAGTATGCTTCAAATTCCAAAGTCCCATGACTAACACCCCTCCTGGTTTCTGCAGAGTCTTGAATCTAAAAGGTTTCTATTATGCAAACTGTCAAAATTATAGGATCAATAAGCTTATAAGGACCCAGTGGCATCTTCTGTTTTTCTCCTTACTTAAAAGCAGGGTTTTTAATATGACATTTGACAAAACAAATACCCAAAGTACACCCAGGTATGGGATGACTTCTCCAATATCCAATGCTGTGGTTTGAGGATGTCCCCTCCAAAATTGATATTGAAACTTAATCTCCATCATGGTGGTAGTAAGAGGTGTAGCCTTTTGGGAAATGTCTTAGTCAATTTCGTGCTGCTGTAACAGAATACCTAAGGCTGGGTAATTAACAAAAAACAGGAATTTATTTCTCACTGTTCTGGAGGCTGAGCAGTCTAAGATCAAGGCACCAGCATCTGATGGATCCTTCTTGTGGCATACTTACATGGCAGAAGATGGAAGGTCAAAAAGGGAGCACACTTCTCCTGCAAGACCTTTTCATGGTGGTATTAATCCATTCATGAGAGTAAGCCCTCATAAGCTAAACACCTTCCAAAAGGCCCCACCACCGAACACTGTTGCATTGGGGATTAAGTTTCCACCACATGAATTTTGGGTGACACATTGACACCACAGCATTGATGAAGTCATGAGGGCTTCTCCCTCATGAATGGATTAGTGCCTTTCCAAAAACCTGGAGGAAACTGACTTAGGCCCTTTTTGCCCTTCCACCATGTGAGGACTCAGCAGCAAGCCTCTCACCATACATCAAATACTGGCACCGAATCTTGGACTTCCCAGCCTCCAAAACTGTGAGACATAAATTTCTATCCATTATAAATTACCCAGTCTGTGATATTTTGTTATAGCAGTACAAATGGACTAAAACATCCAAATAATTCTGTCAGCCCATTTGCTTCCATTTCATGGTGAAATTAGAAATGTTCTCAGCCAATTGTTTTTGTATCAATGAACTATCCTGTGAATCTTTAGCCCAGCATATGCTAAGACATGCTTAAGACTTGTACTAGCCCTTATATTTAGGTATATTTACCAGCCAACAAGATGAGGTCATGTTTTCTGTCCCCTCCTACAGGTAACAATGTTCTTCTCATTTATCACCAATTTCAAAAACATGGTTAATCTTAAACTATTTCAAAATAAAAAGTTATTATGAAAAAACAGATGATGGTTGCTGTCTTCATCCATTAGGGCTGTTATAACAAAATACCTTATGCTGAATAATTTATAAGCAATAGAAATTTATTGCTCACAATCTGTGGTCTGGAAAGTACAAGATCAAGGGGCTAACAGATTTAGTGTCTGGTAAGGACCCAAACTCTGTTTCCAAGATGGCACCTTGTTGCCATCTTGTTCACATGGTAGAAGGGCTGAAAGGGGTAAACTCACTCTCTTAAGTCCTTTTATAAGGGTTCTAATCCTATCTATGATGGTGGAGTCCCCAGGACCTAATCACCTCCCAAAGGCCACACCTATTACTATTATCACCTTGGGGGTTAAGTTCTAACATATGGATTTTGGAGGGACACCAACATTCAATCCATAGCAGTTATCATGGTCAGATTACTTCTTAATTATTATCATAAACAGAGTAATTAATATAGTCCTAAGATAACATAATAAAAGTGTATTATGTTGCATGTAAAAGTAAATGGTTCCTGCCGGTTCTCTTTCTTAGGTGTGGGAAAGGAGGCATTATCAAGGCAATATCAAGTTCAATCACTAAATCCCATTCTTTCCCAGGTTGCTGAACTTTTTTTACACAATTGTGGAACTCAGTCCAAGGTAAATTAATAGGTGCCATCTAACATTTTCTTGGCCAAACTGAGCTAATGTGAAAAACATTAGTATTTATTAATACCCACACATTCACTGTTTCTTTAATTAAAAGTTCTACTTCCTGTTGTTTCCTGAGAGCTTGCACTATTTTGAATTTATCACACCTCTCAGCCTTGATAAATACAAAGATTTGATAAATCTAGAGATTCTCTTTTAACATGGCCAATTCAAAGAGAGAAAAGAGCATATTTTTGTATCCTAGTCACCTAGATAATAGTCATGCCAAGAAGTTTTCCTTTCATTCATGATATCCACTCTAATTACACGTTTAGATATTGGAGTGATCACCAGTTACCAACAGCTCTCTTGTTAGCAGTGTTTTTATTGATCTTTTGCCTCTTTTCCACTGCATCCACGAATTCCCTGAAATACGCCTTTCAAGTATTTGGGAATTTCTTTGCAATAACACTCTGTATTCAGAAATCCCATTTATACAACTTTAGCTCCCTCTATTGGCTCAGTTATTTTCACCAGAGCAATAAACAATAGCCAAGGCATGGCCAGTTTCACACTCATTTGTGGGGAAAAAAAATTCTCTATTTTAAATTAGTGGACCAGACCCAAGGCCATGGTTCTTCTTGTTACATATCTGAAGCCCTTAGCTATCTCACACCACAGGCACTCAGCTGATCAACCCAACACTGCAACACCGTCTTGGTCCCTTCATCTATGATAGGTCTGGAATAAAGTCGTTAAATCTCCACCTTCTCCCTGCCATCCCTAATCTGCAAGGTGACTGTATGGACAAATGTCAACAGCAAATTTGGGTTGATGGAGAGACCAATGACTCAGACTTCAAGTGATTAAGCTAAACAATATTGCAGTCAGGATAAGTAATAGAGTTAGCTAGGGCAAGCAGAGACACAAGTTTTCAAATTCTCCAATCCTCACAAAGGAGAGTGGGCTAAAAATACCCTTGTAACTGAGCATCGCAGAAAGACTGTCCTCCTTCAATTTTATGAGATTAGAGAGTTCTACATATTAATTAGTCTGGCTATATGCCAGTGCTATATATTCATCTGGGACTGATGCATCTGATAATCTTGGGGTCATGCAATAAACAACATGATTACAGAGCACAGCATGGTATGACATACTCAGGCGTTCACTCAGTTCTTGGTCTCTCAAGGCAAACACTGTCTCATTTCACTCCTAAACTAGGGAACTGCAACAAGAGTCAGTTACTCAGGCATCTCTGAATCATATTAATAGGCCCTTAGGGTAGCCATGGGATCACATGGCTGGCTCACATTTGCTTTTCTTTCCTCTTCTCACTTGTCCTATTGTTCAGAGTACAGTGTTAGATAGGATTTCATACTATGTGTGATACTTAATTGTGGCCCAAAGGTCACCCCAGCTATGGTCCCACTCTTTGTATCCCCAGGGCTGCAAATGAGGACATGCCTGTGTGGGCCATGGCACTACGACTCCAGAGAAGAGAAGCTGTTAAAAGGGCTACATGGGCAGAGAAAGAAGATATGCCTGAGTCCACATCAAGGTTTTTCACTGGGCAGAGTAGTGATATGACCTTGGGCAAATAATTTAACCTATGTCTTAGTTTCATCTAGAAAATAGAGATGGTAGATTGCAGGTTTGTTGTCTTTAAGCAAATGAATGTATCTGGAACACTAGAACATAGAAAACACTTAGTGAATGGCAGCTACATCATCATCATCATCATGATCATCATCGTCATCATCCCCAAGTTTAGCTGGGAGAGTTTGCTTGGCTGCTTCATAGAAGAATTGCAATCTGGCTTGCCCCAACATGTATAGGTGAAAGGATAGAATATTAAACTCTAAAAAGATTTACCCAAATTAGTTTCATTTCCCTCCTCACATTTTCAAAAATCTTCTTTAGCATGGCATTACATGGATTGTAGAGCACTGGAACATGAGAGTTCTCATCCCATCTCTTCCAGTAGCCATTTGTAGGGCCTTGGGCTTCCCAGAGCCTGTGTTTTCTTGGCTAGAAATGGAAATTTATGCACACTTTGCAAGATTGTTCAAAGACATGATGGGGTAAGGCATGTGATGTTCTTCATATTGTGTCTGGTATATTGCAGGAGGGCCATGAATGCTGGTATCCCTTCTACTCCCTGGGGTCTGAGCTCCACCACTTTATTTGGAAAAGAAGGGTTTAAGGGGAGTTGGGCTCATTTTTCCTCCAAGATTTTTCACTTCTAATGTCCTGTGACTCTTGCAACCTTCTCATGTGGTATATAATGTCATTTCCCAAAATACAGAGAAGAAACTGGGAGATAAACAGCTCTAGAAGGTTTCAAAGCCACTGGCTCTTATCTCCATAGTGCTAAATTCTCTTTCCTGGTTGTTCAGGGTGCCTTATACTGCAATCTGAGAACTCTTCTTCCTGATTTCCTTTGATAAACTCTATAGCTCTCTTGGACCCCTTGAAATGTGAATATTTATATTTATTGGCTCATCATCTTTGTTTAACACATTCTTTAAAAAGTTGTTCTGGCCGGGCTCGGTGGCTCATGCCCGTAATCCCAGCACTTTGGGAGGCCGAGGCAGGCAGATCATGAGTCAAGAGATTGAGACCATCCTGGCCAACATGGTGAAAGCCCGTCTCTACTAAAACACACACACACACACACACACACACACACACACACACAAATTAGCTGGGCGTGGTGGTGGGCGCCTGTAGTCCCAGCTACTCGAGAGGCTGAGGCAGGGGAATCACTTCAGCTAGGGAGGGGAGGTTGCAGTGAGCTGAGATTGAGCCACTGCTCTCCAGCCTGGTGACAGAGCGAGACTCCATCTCAAAAAAAAAAAAAAAAGTTGTTCTGTATTTTGTATCCTAATTATGAAGGCCATGACCTGATTTGCTTCCCAAACACAACCCTCAAGCAATATTTCTCATCTTGGTATATATCATTTTCTTCCATTCTGTTAGTCAATTAAAAATCAAGGTGTCATTCTCAAGTCCTCTCTTTCCCTCACTACCTATACCAAGCCATGAACAAATCCCACTGATACTACCTTTAAAACATATCTAAATGTGTCAACCATCTTCATTCCCATCAATGTCATGCTGGGCCGAGCCGCCATCATTTCTCCTGGAGGATTACTATAGCAGCCTCCTCTGTTCTCCACAAAGGATTTGTTCTCCACATAGTAACCAGAGTTTTTAAAGAATGTGAATCAAATAGTGTAATTCCCCTGCTTGATATCTTCAAAGATTATTCTCTTTGGTTTTCCAAGGCCGTGTATGATCTGGCCATCATCTGTCCTTTCCAAACTCATCTTATGCCATTCTCCCATCTACCAAGCTTCAGCAGCTCTGACCATCTTTCTGTTCCTTGAACACCTCTCATTTCTGTCTTAAACTTCTTGCTCTAGCTGTTTCTTCTGCCTAAAATGTTCCTACTCCTGATCTTCGTCTTGGCTAGCTACCTTGGCATTCATATCTAAGGGTAAATATCATCTTCATAGGGAGGACATCCTAGATGGCTCAATCTAAAGTATCTACTCAACCACTGTCTTCCACATAACTCTATTTTAATTCTCTCCAGGGCATATATCACTAAGATTTTTCTTATTTAAGTTTTAATTTTCTGTATCCCCCCATTAGAATATATGCTCCTTGAAGTGAAGACACTGGCTTATCTTCTTTGCTGCTGTACCCGGGCAGAGCCCAGAGCTGTACATGGCACAGAGTAGCTGTTCAATAACCCACTGAATGAATGGAGGCAAATTCATCCTGCATTGGATTTATATCACTATTTATCATATCATGCCGCTAGAGGGCAATACATCACCTAATTAGAATGAGGAAATCAGTGTCCCTTTCTTCCAAAAGGAACTTAATTGATTTTTAAAATTTATATATATGAGGTGTACATATTTCGAGGGTACATGTGATAATTTGATACATTCTTATAATGTGTAAAGATCAAATCAGGGTAATTGGGATATCCATCACTTTAAATATTTATTCTTTATGCTAGGAACATTTGAATTATTCTCTTCTAGCTAGATTCAGGTGTATGATTGAGCTTAATTGATTTTAATCATTAATGTGACAGACATTTATTTAAGAAAAACACTCTGAAAAGGAGCCACTAGCTTTTCAAACCAACCACCAGGCACTGCCCAGGAGAAAGAAGTTTTTTCCAGGGTTATAAGTGGTAAAATAGTTTTAAATAGACTCTGTATTATTCAGGTTAAAAAAAAACTCATATAAAATGAGAAAGCATTCATGTCCATGATATGAAATTGTTTGGGAAGTCAGAAGGAAATTAAACAATGCCTTATTTTATCCATCTTTTACACACATACACAAAAATGTATTTCTTGGCCACTATTCTTATTTTTGCTTTTTAAAGTTCGAACCCTGGACATCTCATGGGAGTAGGGATTCTGAAAGAGATTTTCTTTTTTTTTATTTTTATAATTCCATTTCTTTCCTAAGCTTTTCTTTTAAAGTAAGCAGCATGGTGTGTCTAGGATATGTCATTGAGTGCTAAGACATCCATGTTCCTGCTGACAGGTCTGCCTCGTGGTAAGAACAGCGAGAGTGACTAAGCTCCAGTGATAAGGGCAATGCTGTTTCTTGAGCCTGCTGCAGCACCTGTCATGGGAGGCAGAGAGAGCATGCAAATCCCTCAGGCCCATGTCTGTTCAATGACAAAAGGAAGGAGGATGCACTATTCCCAGTGACCTCAAGATGGCAGTGGAGAAATACTCCAAATGAATTTCCTGAGGTCACCCCCCGATCCAGCGAAGGACCACTGTAATGGTTGGTTAGCTATGAGGACAGTTTCAGCGCCACATCGGGTCAGTTACCATGACAGCTGGAAAGCTCTCCTGGAATCTATGAGTTTCTAGCTGTCCTGTCGCCAGAGATGACAAGTGACTTATAAAGGAAAAGTTTGAGCCTCCCTAGAAAAACCTTAAATTTGTTTTTAATGTTGCTGACATGACTTACTGTGGCAGAAAGGCTTCTCAGTGTGAGTGCCTATGGCCATGGGATCTTGATTGGTCAGATGAGGCTGGGACCTTTGCATTTCCAGGGCTTTGCTGGAGTAGGAGAGTGGCCTCAACTTTTCTCAGCACTTAGGAACAATGAGAATGGTTTAGGGCACCTACCATGGGCTTTGGGGGATGTATTAGTCCGTTCTTGCACTGCTATGGAGAAATACCTGAGACTGGGTAATTTATAAAGAAAATAAGTTTAATTGGCTCATAGTTCCACAAGCTATACAGGAAGCATGGCTAGGGAGGCCTCAGAAGACTCACAATCATGGCAGAAGGGGGAGGGGAAGTAGGCTCTTCTTATGTGGCCAGGAGGAAGGGAGATGTTGGGGGGAGGTGCTACACACTTTAAAACAACCAGATCTCATGAGAATTCACTCACTATTACAAGAAAAGCGAGGGGGAAATCCGCCCCCATGATTCAACCACCTCCCACCTGCCTCTCTTCTAACATTGGGGATTACAATTCAAAATGAGATTTGGGTGGGGATACAAATCCAAACCATATCACAGAAGGAAATAAGATCAGCTTTTGCTTATTTCCTTAAATTTTGTTGAGTACGGCAGGGTCTATTGAATCCTCACATCTAGTACAATAGATTACCAGCAGCTCAGGAAGAAGGATGCAAAAGGCATGAGAATGACCCCCCTCTGGCCTCCTTCAAGGAGGTGAAAGAACATTATCTCCTACACCCGTGTTCCAATTTTCAACCACAAAAACACACATATGTATGTGCATTAGCAAACACTCACTTGTTGAACACCTACAAAATAGTTATTATACTCATGGAGTCAAATGGAAATGATGCAGAATTAAAGTTATGAGAGGTATCAACAAAACGTTATTGAGAATTCAAAGGACAAATGCCTAAAGCTTTGATTAAGAGGAAATTAGGTAATATTTCATGGAGTAAAGACTGGCCATAAAAGACTGAGTAGGATTTTAGGTGGATGGAGTTGGGTGGTGAAAGGGAGGGCATCGCAAACCAGAGAAAGAGAATAAGCAGAAGTATGAAGGGAAGATCACTCTGAGTGTGTCCGATATAGATAGAGTACAGGCCTAGTATGGGAAGTAGCAGGTGATAAGGCTTTAAAGCAGTGGTTCTCAATCAGGGGAGATTTTGCCACCCAGGGGACATTTGGCAATGTCTGGAGACATTTTTGGTTGTTATAACTAGGTGAGGGTATGTTATTGACATCGGGTGAGTAGAAGCCAGGGATACTGCTAAATACCCTACAATGCACAGGATGGCTTGCCACAACAAAACTTATCCAGCCCCAAATGTCAATAGTGCCAATATTGGGAAACCCTTTTTTCGGGAAGATTGGTCTTGGTCACAGAAGACCTTGAAAATCAGGGGAAGGGAAGGGAGCTTACTTGGTAAGCAAAGAGAGTACAGAAGATTTTTAAGTGGGAGAGTGAATGTGTTGATATTATGATTTATGGGCATTATATGGATATAGGTACAAATATAACCTTTTCCCTCCCTCATCTTCTAAGGAGAAACCTTATTGGCACTACTTGGCTAGCCAGCCTTTGCTGTGCTTAGAGGGTAATAGGTAGAGATGCAGAATTGCAGAAGCCCAGGTAAACTAAATTAATCTCCATGTAAAAGGACATGGAGCCTCCCAGAGAAGAAAAAATGCAAGAGGTGGAGATGAGAGAGGCAAGAGAGATGAGTGAGAGAGTGAGGAAAACAGCACAAGATGCAGTTACAAAGAGGGAGCATCAAATTAGGTCCTGTGGGGAGATGCTAAAATAAAAAACCTTGCTTCTGCCCTTACTGAGCCCACCATCTCCTAAAGATGATGATCTTACATTAAGTAAGTCCCTATTATTCACAGAGGAAAGTATACAGTCATCTCTCCATTTGCCGGTTCCGCATCTGCAAATTCAAACCAACTATGGGTTGAAAATGTTTTTTAAAAATAACAAAACAACAATAAAAAATACTACAAATAAAAATACAGTACAACTATTTACATAGCATTTACATTTTATTAGGTGTTATAAGTAATCTAGAGATGATGTAAAAGTTATGTGCAAATACTGTGCCATTTTATATAAGGGACTTAGAGCATCCCTGAATTTTGGTATCTGCAGGGATCTTGGAACTAATCCCCAGTGGATACTGAGGGACAACTGTGTGTATTTTCACAAGGCTTTGTCGTTTCTCGGAGCTTTCACTGATGAATAAAATCTAGGTGATCTCAACTCAGGGGTAAAAGTCATTTTTGGCTGCTTTCTTTGTGGGTTTTTCTTACATAGAGCATGAAAGAAAAAACTCACCGAATCTATCCAAGTCTAGGATTAAATTATTTCTGTCTTTCGGGCTGAAGATGGATTTGATGCTGATGACTAAAGATAGCCAGTTGCCCCTTGTTACAGGTGGGTCCTCACAAATTTGGCCAGTAGAAAGCTGCAGTGGAGACACTGTTAAGACTGCAAGAATATCAGTTCCTCATGTCACAGTCAGCTGCTCTGGTCCATGCACCTCTGCCAACTTCCAGTGGCTAATAAGCTTTTGGCCCAGTGATGGAAGCAATGGTGCCAATGACAAATATAAACAAGGTCCTCTGCCAGGAGCAAAAGCTGAAATCTTTCTGGTAATTGCAGCCTGACATGTGCATGGCCCCAGGATCGTGTGCCATCTCCACCACAGTCATTTACTATCTGTCGTGGCTCCAGGGACCTCATACAACATAATGGCTGCCATGGACACCGCATTATCCTGAATATGCCAGGGCAAAATGACATCATTCTTTTTGTAACTCCCCAGAGTTGGGAATGAATGGATATTAGGAAGGACATCCACAGAGCTGGTCAGTCAAGAATGAAACCTATGCACCAAACTGAGAAAAGCTGTTGATAGAGGAATTTTAAAGAAGGAATAGGGAGAGGACTACTTCTCTGTTTTTAGCTGGAAGTTCTATCATGTACAAATGCTTTTGATCACTACTTACAGCATGTCCAGCAATGATGGCTTGAAAATGGGAGATTATTGTATGACAAGAAGTCCTATGCAGGAGGATTTTCTGGTTATAACAACTGCTCTATCATGCATCAAGGACATAGGTTATATATGTCTTTTCTGTCCTTCATTCTCAGTAAGTTGGATTTTAGTTTTTATTGTTTCATGGTATTATTTCAGGTATCATATTTAAGGTGGAGGCAAGAAGAATGGGAAAGAGGTGGTGCCAGCCATTCTGCCCCTTCTTTCAGGAAAGGAGAAACTTTTCCCATTACATTTCATGGACCAGAACTGGGTCATCTGATCACCCCCAGCTCTAAGGGAGGCTAGGAAAATGAGTGTCGTCTAAGAGCAAAAGGATTGACGTGACCAGTCACGGTTCATCTCCAAGGGCGGGCTGTTTGTTATCACAAACAAAATTAGGATTCCATTAACAAGAAGGGAAGGGAGTTATTGGGTAGACAACTCACAGTGTCTGTCACAAGCCCTTGCCATCCCAGACTTGCTGGCTTGTGAAGTGTGGTCTTCAGGTGGTGTGGGATGGAAACACAATGGGCTCCATCACTGTTTGCAGGTGTTCCCCTTGCTGTGCATGCCTTTCTCCCCCTCCTTTTCTCCTTTTCTCTTCTGAACTAACTTCTCCTTATACCCAGGGCTATGTTCCTAGTGAATTTCTGCTCATCCTCAGGCTTCTACTGAACTCATCTTCATGAGCATTTCCTGGCTCTACCTCTCAGTGTTAAGCAGGCCCATCTCTGGCCTCATGACAAACTGTGTTGGCATGTATCACACTGAATTGTAGCTGTCTGTTTTCTTATCTTTGCTCACCACTAGATTGGGCTCCTTGAGGAGTCTTATTCATATATGTCATATTCATGTTTATGTCCCCAAGACTGGGCACAGAGCCAGGCACGTAGTAGTCACTTAATAAACACCAACTGAATCAGTGAGAACCTCAGCGAGTTTTGCTGCATGCTATAATTCCTTAAGAAATAGTATTTCTGGATAAAACACACACAGAGAAAACTTCATTATTTGGGGATTGTGAAAGAACACACTTCTTAAGGAAGAGGTGCCCTGTCTCAAAGTGAAGATGCTTCTGCCTGGTGTTTCTACCTGTGTGTGCTGGCTTCCTGTATAGCCAGGCCCTTATTTACCCCAGCTCCATTTGTTTGCCTACCCCAGCTCCCCAAATGTAGAAGTGAGATCACCCTCCCTCATGGGCCATCTCTGGGAAGGCAGTGTTTCATTGGGAGAGCCTAAGCTTTGGAGATTTGACTCTGCCATTATCACATTCTACTAAAGAGCAACACAAGTTAGCCTGTTAACTAGCCTCATTAAACTTCAGTTTGCTCATTGGTGAAATATGACAATAACAGTAACTTCAGAGGAGTATGTTGAATATGAAATGACATAACACATGTAAAGTGTTTGGCACGTGGTAGCTGCTCAGAAAAGCATTATGATTAGTGACTGCGTCTTGGATCTTTAATTATATGGTTTTATCAGTTCAAAGTTTCCTTATTTGCAGGTGATTTCACTACCCTAGAACCAAAATGAACCATGTTACACAAATGAAGTTGGGAAATTTCTTCGCTCCGTATACGCACATATGTAGACAGCTCCATATCCCACAACCTCGTGATAATGAAATCCCTCGCCTCTAGGAAACATCACAGAATATCAGCTTGGGAACACTGTGTGTTTTGCATGTCAATCTTGTAAGCATGAAGACCTACTTATAGTAAGGTCATATGTGTTCTATAATGTATTTGAAAGATTTCTAACTTATCACCTATTTATTCTTCTATTGGGATATAATTTACACACTATAAATTTTACCCTATAAAGTATACATTTCAGTGGATTTTAATATATTCTGGCTTGCGTGACCATTATTGCTATCTAATTCTGTTAAGTTTTTCATCACTCCCAGAAGAAATCCCATACCCATTAGCTATTAATCCCCATTCTCCTCTCCCCCTCAGGTTCTAAAACCACTAATTTACTTTCTGTTCCTATGGATTTGCCTATCCTGGATATTTCGTATAAATGGAATTATACAACTTGTGGCCTTTTGTGTCTGTCTTCTATCACTTAGCGTGATTTCAAGGTTATCCACATTGCAGCATGTATCACTACCTCGTTCCTTTTTATGGCTGAATAGTACTCCATCATATGGCTATGCCACATTTTGTTTATCCATTCATCCATTGATAAATATTTATATTGTTTCCACTATTTGGCTATTATGAATAATGCTACTATGCAAATTTGTGTGTAAGTTTTCGTGAGGACGTATGTTTTCATTCTTCTTGGATATATACCTTGTAGCAGAATTAGTCAACCTTTTGAGGAACTACCAGACTGTTTTCAAAGTGACGGCTATATTTTATATTTTCACCAGCAATGTATGAGGATTCTAATTTCTCCACATCCTTATCAAAACTTACTGTTGTCTGACTTTTGATTTTAGCCATCCTAGTAGATATTAACTGGTATTTTACTGAGGTTTTGATTTGCATTTCTCTAATGACTAAAAATTTTGAGTATTTGCAAATTGTATATTAACAAGGTCTACTACCCAAATATATATAGAATGATTAAAAATTGACAAATATTTGAATAGACATTTCTCTAAAATTTGAATGTCTTTTTTGGAGAAATGTCTATTCAAATGTTTTGCCCATTTTCAAATTGGGTTCTTTGTCCTTTTATTGTTGAGTTGTAATCATTCTTTATATATTCTGGTAGTAGACCTAATAAAAGTCTACTACATTTATTAATATATAATTTGAAAATATTTTCTCCCATTTTGTGGGTTGTGCTGTTCACTTTCTTGATGATTTCTTGAAGATTAAAATTTCAAAAATTTAACTTTGATGAAATCCAATTATCTATTTTTTTGTTCTGTTGCTTGTACTTTCCAGGTCATATCTAAGAAACCATTGCCTAATTTCAAGTCACAAATATTTACACCTGTTTTTCCTAAGACTTTAATGGTTTTAGCTTTTACATTTAGGTCTTTGGTCCATTTTGACATATTAATAATTTTTGTATTTGGCATGAAGTGGGGGTACAACTTCATTATTTTGCATGTGGATGTCCAGTTGTCCTAGCATTATTTGTTGGAAAGACTATTCTTTCTTTCTTCATTGAATTATTTTAGCACCCTTGTCAAAAATCAACTGACCATAAATGTAAGAATGTAAGAATTTGTTCTTGGACTCTACTCTCAATTCTATTCTGTTGACTACATATTAGTCAGGGAAAGAGAATCAATTACTTACACACACACACACGCACACACACACACACACGTACACATACATATATACAGGAAGGAAGAAAGAGAACAAGGTTTATTGCAAGGAATTGGCTTATACAATTGTGACAAGCCTAAAGTTGTCAAGAAGGGCAGGCTGAAACTCTCAGGCACAAGCTGAAGCTTCAGTCCACAAGCGGAATTTCTTCTTCTCCAGGGAAGCCTCAGTTCTGTTCGTAAGTCCTTTCAACTGATTGATTCAGGCCCACCCAGATTATCTAGGATAATCTTCCTTACTTAAAGTAAACTGATTATAGATTTTGTCACATTTACAAAATACCTTCACGGCAATACCTAGATTAGTGTTTGATTGAGTAACAGGAGACTATTTCCTAGCCAAGCTGACACATAGAACTGACCATCACAATCTGCTCAGCCTTATGCCAGCACCACACAGTCTTAATTACTGCAACTTTGTAGCAAGTTTCGAACTCGGGAAGGTGTGAGTCCCCTTTGTTCTTTTTCTAGAAAGTTTTGGCTTTTCTGGGTCCTTTGCTTTTCCTATGAATTTTAGAATCAGCTTATCAATTTCTGTACCTGCATTTATTTTTATATTAAGATAAATTGGCAACTTTGAAATCTAATTCATATGATTAAAAGAGTGGGCTAAGATGTTCTGCTTTGTCTCTGTAGGGGATAAAAATGAATTATCTTGGAGGCGGGGCACTGGCTCATGCCTGTAATCCCAGCACTTTGGGAGGCCGAGGTGGGCAGATCATCTGAGGTCAAGAGTTCGAGACAAGCCTGGCCAACATGGTGAAACCCAGTTTCAACTAAAAATACAAAAATTAGCCAGGCATGGTGGCATGTGCCTGTACTCGCAGCTACTCGGGAGACTGAGGTGGGAGAATCTGTTGAACCCGGGAGGCGGAGGCTGCAGTGAGCTGAGATTGCGCCACTGCACTCCAGCCTGGGTGACAGAATGAGACTATATCTCAAAAAAAAAAAAAGTAGTATCTTTTCCTTACCCATCACAAGGTTCGTGGTTGAGGCCCTTATAACAAAAGACAGATTAACAAAAGAAAAGCATAACACATTTATTTGTTATCAGTTTTACATGACTCAGGAATGTAAGACCTTCAGAAATGAAGACCCAAAGAAACAAGGGAAACTGTATTTTTAAGAACATGTAGAAGTTTGATTGGAGGACAAAAGATGTGATCTCATGGTCACATTAACTGGGGGAACATGGCAATGCCTGTTTTTTCAGATTAATCTCTGTGTCTCTGTATTTCCAATCCTTTCTTCCAGGTATAGGGAGGACCTCTGGAATGAGGGTCTTATTCCTACTTTACAGGAAAATCAGAGAATTATTTTATGGCATGTTTCTGCCTCAAGGGAGAAGGACAGGAGAAGGTCAGAGAAGCCTTCCTGCTTTTGCTGTTTTCTCAAATGTCAAAGTGCCATATTTTGGGGTAGTGTGTCCTGAACTCCATCATCTCTCAGGATCATTTCATGTATTTCCTATCTCCTGCCAGCAATATTATGTTCTAACTGCCAGTGTGAAAGACAGAGATGAAAAAGCATCATGGGAATAAATGAATTAATATAACATTGCTAGCCAAAAGGGGTCCCAATCCAAACTTCAAGAGAGGGTTCTTGGTGCAAGAATGAATTCTGGGTGAGTCTATATTATAAACTGAAAGCAAGTTTATTAAGAAAATAAAGGAATAAAAGAATGGCTGCTCCCCTCAGGGATGCTGGTTGGCTTTTTTTTTTTTTTTTTTTTTTTTTGAGACAGAGTCTTGCTCTGTCGCCCAGGCTGGAGTGCAGTGGCGTGATCTAGGCTCACAGCAACCTCCGCCTGTGGGGTTCAAGCCATTCTCTTGCCTCAGCCTCCTGAGTGGCTGGGATTACAGGCGTGTACCACCATGCCCAACTAAATTTTTGTATTTTTAGTAGAGACGGAGTTTCGCCATTTTAACCAGGCTGGTCTCAGACTCCTGGCCTCAGGCAATTCTCCCACCTCAGCCTCCCAAAGTGCTGGGATTACAGGCATGAGCCACAGCGCCAGGCCTGGTTAGCTATTTTTATGGTAATGTCTTGATTATATGCTAAACAAGGGGTGGATTATTCATGAGTTTTTCGGGAAAGAGGTGGACGATTCCTGGAACTAAGGGTTCCTCCTGCTTTAAAACCATATAGGGTAACTTCCAGATGTCATGGCATTTGTAAACTGTCGTAGAGCTGGTGGAGTGACTTTTAGCATGCTAATGTATTATAATTTGTGTATAATGAGCAGTGAGGATGACCAGGGATCACTTTCATCCCCATTTGGTTTTGGTGGTTTTGGCCAGCTTCTTTACCACATCCTTTTATCAGCAAGGTCTTTGTGACCTGTACTTTGTGCTGACCTCCTATCTCATCCTATGACTAAGAATACCTTAACCTCCTGGGAATGCAGCCCAGTAGGTCTCAGCCTTATTTTACCCAACCCCTATTCAAGATGGAGTCACTCTGTTTCAAATGCCTCTGACAACATCAATAAGTAATTTCAATTCTCAAATACCGTAACTTAAATAATACTTCTCTCTCCTGATTGTTAAAGAGGAAAAGTGGCATGTTCTACATCCTTTACTTGGTGTGATTATTGATGACAAAGCTAAGATAGTTTCACCTTTATTGGGAGGAGCACCCAATGTACTCTCAATGTCAATTCATCATCATAAACCTATTTTGAGACTTTACAAAGCCCCAAGCTCTGTGATGTGATTTGTCGCTGGAGAGATGAATAATCATGGCTCCTGCCCTTGCAAAGCTTGGGGAGCCTTGTAGAGCAAACACAAGCCAAAACGAAGAAGCCAGCAGCCAACCTGTCTTGCAGTTTGGCTGATGGCACATTATTTTCTTTTTTACACAAGTATCAAATGTACATTTCCTGCCCTACTCACTGGGACATTTTATGGTCATTCCTATGCGGTTAGCTTTTTTAAAGACACAACTGGCTGGTGAGGAGAAGTCATGAAGTTTGTGTTCCTTTGGGACAAAAGGTAAGTGGAAAGTCCTGCTGATAATTACAGCCTGCTCCATCTCTCCTCCTCCCTGCTTAGCCATCCATTCGGTTTTCTGGGAAGGTTTCTTAGCACTCAGGCAAGATGAAGGGATTTGAGAAACAGTGAGTATTGTTAAGAATCAGTTAATAGCCACTTGCCTAGAAACATACCTAATTAACAAATGGTCCTTTTGAGGTTTATGCAGAGGAATCCTCACCTTTGCTCGTCACCCACTTTGACAATTCTTGTAAGAAATGGAACTGAAAACTCTTTCAGAGATTGAGGAATGCGGTTGAGTTTTAGAAACAAGTTTTTGGGTTTTTTTGTTGTTGTTTTGTTTTTGTTTTTCCTTGTTTTCTCTTTCTTATCCAATGATCAGATCCCTGTGAAAAAGAGGTGATGCTCAGGCTTGGGGTTGAGAAGTTAAGTGTCTCCTACTGCTGGAAAAATTTGTACTTACACTCACATTTGATGTGGGGCCTCAGAGAAAAAGTGGTTCTCGATTTTTAATTGAAGACATGATCCACCACATGATGAAAATCAGTCTCTTACCCTACTGTGAATAAATGAAAAAGAATTAGTTTTTAAGGGACCATTCAAAATACACCACTAATAGAACACACAAAAATCTGTTTAATAATGCTCATTATAATTATTCATTTAAATATAAAAGGACAGTTTGTTATTCAAAGTAAAAATGGACTAGGTATACATGTTGATTATTCTTGAGATTCTCACACCAATGAGACAGAACCTGTCCCACCCCCCACCCCCAGGCCAGTTTAAAATCAGCATGAATGCTGTGTAATCTAACCAACAGGATTGATCCAGGTCAGGTATTAAGGGCTAAAATGGATTAAACAAAAGACATTCCCCTTGTAACAAGAAGGAAAAACTTCAAAGGTGGGATTTGTTCTTGTTATGACAAAGGAAGTGGATTTACAAACTGCCTTGAGGCACACCCCTCGGTGACTTTCAATTTGCTCTCCTCTTACACGGAGAGGCCTTTTTCTCCTTCTCCTCTCCCCCACCCCCTCCACCCTCCACACCCCAGCTCCCAGAGTCCTCTCCAGGGTAAGAACTTCAGGTTAAGAGGATCAGAGCGAGAAGATTTTTTCTTGTTTGTTTTTCAAGACTTGGCACCAGGCATCTCCCCATCAAATGACACTCGTTTGAGCACCTCCCAGGTTCCCATCACTCAGATGTAGAGCAGTGACAATACTCAGGGGAAACAGGAAATGCTGTTTAGTTCCCTCCATCAGAGCAGACAGACTGCATGCTTCATCCTGGTATTTGCATTTGGTTTGAAAATCTGAAAGAGAGAAATGCAAACAAAAAGCAAGTTATTCTAATGAGTGAAAAATAACTCCACTCCATTAGTATAGCTTACTGCATAGACTTACGGTCCTGGGTCAGGATTAGCCACATTGGGTTTTATTGTTAATACCGTGATACAATGTATATATACTTTGATACAATGTAATAACTTTTATTATGATAATGCATATGTAAACATAATGTATCTCTGAGGAGTTCAAAGCATTTTTCAGCTCTTCTGCATATGTATGTATACCTACATATATATTTTACATGAATATAAATACATACATCTATGTATTTATTAATTATTGTACTCAAATTACCTTTAAAATACTTAAGTTCTCTGGGCAGGAAATGGAAATAGGACTGGTATATGAATGTGTCATCACAGTTTCTCAAACTCTAGTTCTATACAAACCCCTTTAAAAAAAAAAAAAACTCCCACTGCTCCCCAGATGTTGACTTCAATTACATTTATAATGATATTACTTCAACATGTATGAACATAAAACTAGTTATGTACTCCTTATGTTGCAGTTCTTATTCAATTACAAAACCAAAGTAAATGGACTAATTACAAACAAATTGCAAAACCAATAAAATTCAAATTAACAACATTAAATTAATGTTGACATAATGTTTTATTGAAATTGAATTACCGTTTACAACATGAATATGGTGCCAGCTGCCCCTCCCACATTCTAGTCTAGTGATTTTCCTGAGTGGAGATGAGGGTGTTCAGACTGTGATTACAGAAGATTTAGGTCATAATATAACTTGAACCCAGGTAATGGACTATCTGAGACCACGTGTTTTGGGGGATGTTTAAATATAATTACTATAAAGCAGGAACAGTACATTCTATCAGGATTATTGACAACGATCCAGTCACTGGCCTGCCCATAACTTCTGTTCATTAAGCAATCCCAGTCCTTAACATGGCTTGAGATGATTCAAGTCTTTCAACTTGCGGACGACTGAATTAAATATACAAGGGTGTGAGGAGACCCAAACTTGTAGTTTCAACATGTTTTAGTGAAAAGAAATCTGTGCATATTTGGTATTTTAACTACTTGTAATATTTAATGGAATAACAGGCTAGAGTAATTGATCAACCTTGTAATTCCAGAACTAAAATGATTCTCTGTGAAAGAAGCTGTAAAGACTCTCTACAAAAAATCAGAGTGACTGTCAACCATCTGTGCAAATACACACCCACCAGAGATAATAAAGGTGCTTAGAGAAACATAAATGTAAAGTGGGCTCCCACATCTATAGAGGCATTCAGAGCCTGAGAAAAGAGCTCCAACAAATTTCACCTCTAGCAGCCTGAGTGGACTATAACAGCTATTCCTAAGGAATAATGCTACCGATTAATAAAGATAGAAAAGTAAGATGTAATGTAAGTTATATCCAGGATTGGTCTTTCTTTCTTTCTTTCTTTCTATCTTTCTTTCTTTCTTTCTTTCTTTCTTTCTTTCTTTCTTTCTTTCTTTCTTTCTTTCTTTCTTTCTCTTTCTTTCTTTCTTTCTTTCTTTTCTCTCTTTTTTTTCAGATGGAGTCTCATTCCATGGCCCAGGCTGGAATGCAATGGCACAATCTCAGCTCACTGCAGCCTCCACCTCCCGAGTTCAAGTGATTCCCCTGCCTCAGGCTCCTGAGTAGCTGGGATTACAGGCATGCACCACCATGCCTGGCTACTTTTTTTGTATTTTTTAGTAGAGAGGAGGTTTCGCCATGTTGGTCAGGCTGGTCTCGAAATCCTGACCTCAGGTGATCTGCCCACCTCAGCCTCCCAAAGTGCTGGGATTACAGGCATGAGCCACCGCACCCAGACCAAGATTGGTCTTTCTAACTACCAATTTCAATAATTAACTAGAGAACTCAGAGATAATAAAGATACTACATAATTTTTCTACATATCTCATTTAATGGCTCATTTATAAGCCTACTCTATGATCTAAGGTCATCCTCCGGACACTTTAACAATAAATAAAGGATGTTTTCCAGATAAAACAAAAGGGAAATCTCAAGTTGCTGGTTAGGCTGTGCAATAAATAGCAATTATGTCTGCAACTTTTTATCCCTCCAACTTTTTATCCCTTCCTGTATGTATGTCCTTTGTCATGTAGCTTTGCTCTCCTACCATGGGAATGTTAGTCTGTATGTTAACACCCTATGCCATAACTTGCTTTGACTAATGCAATGTTAGTAGAGAGAATGCAAGCAGAGATTCGAGAGGAATTGTGCATTGCCTTTGCTCTCCCTTGCACTTCTGCCATCGACATGGGGATGTGCTGAGGCTAGCCTTCCACAGGACCAGAGCTGAGTCACCCCAGTCCCACCAGCCTGGATCAGCCTGCAGCTAGCCTAACCCCCAGACATGTGAGCAAGCCTAACCAAGGTCAGCAAAGCTTCCTAGCTGACCTCCAGATGGTCACAGACACGTGAGCTATCACCACAACCTGACACATACTACAAATGTGAAAAATATATGCTCTCCACGGTCATTGCCTCTAGTAGAGGCGATGGAAGATGTTTCTTTGCATGCCCTCATCAAAACACTTTCACAAAGAGAGTTGGAGCTAGTGTAAGTTTCAACAACTATGAAAAGATTTGGGCTCTGACCTGCAAGAGCTTCCAGGTCTGTTTATCAAACCAAATCATGATGGTCTTCAAATCCTATAGAGTTATTTGAAGGTGCCCCTTATATGATGATATTCCTGTTTTAGTTCTGCCTTAAATCATTTTTGATATTAATTAATTATCATTCTGTTGGGAACACTGCCATATTAACACCCTGGATCTTGACAAACAAGTGTGTCCTCAGATCTCATTACATAAGATCTGTGAGGTAAGAGTAATGACATGTCTTTCAGGGGCTGGTGGAGGGACTCATCCCAGCAATACATCACATCAATAAATGGTTCTTTGCTATCTAAATTGGACCTAACCAAGCCCAGAAGAACAATGTCTGATGAACGCTCTTCCCCTGCCTGCTAGATAAGAGAGAAGAAAGCCTAATAGATCTCTCACATCTCTAATTCCTATGATTTGGATCCCAGTAATGAAATGAGAAAGAAGCTCTGTGCATCATTTTTAATCTAAGCCTTTATTCCAAAGAAAGGTCCCTGAGGAGTTAATGTCATGTCACTAAGTAATTAGATCTCCATTGCTTAGCAAGAATTCTATGCCAAAGGCGGGATAATTCTATTAGAAAATGAAACCACAATATCATACAGTTCTGAGGCCACTAAATTTGTATTTAATTATCCAGGTAATGTAATTATGCAATCAGTTTTAGTCTGATATCAAGAGGAAAAGTTCTTGGTTGTTTTTTTGGGTTTTTTTTTTTTTTTGGTTTGTTTGTTTTGCAAGGTTTTGTGAAAGGGCCATGCAATTAATGTGACATACTTAATTACTGGAATGTAAAGATATCTTTGCAAGAATATATCCCCATCCAAGCATGTGCATTATATTAGTTGCTTAGATCCTTGCTATTCCTCATGTATTTGTGGCTTCTTATCTTATAATGACCTATGGTAACAATTAGCCCCATGATGGAACAAAGACCTTAGCACTGTATTGAAAAGCTCAATTTCCACAGTATTCCACAGAACAAGGGAGGAACAATGAAGATTCAGAAAGGAATTTAGATTCCCTTAAATGTTCATAAGAAAAAGTTTTTAAAAATCTATCCAAATCATGAAAACCCATCCGAGACACATGTTTTCAAGCCCCTTATAAGTGCCACCAAAAATAAGATTCTTTCCTTATAACTTATGATCCCTGATAGATACAGATTTTTAGAGTAAACTGGATTCTTAGTGCTAATGCTTGCTGTTGTACCAAAATGGTTATTCAAATTCCATTTTATTTAAGGCACACCTCTATCACATAAACAATGTTTCCCTACATACTTTATCTTCTTCAATTGTTTCTTTAAGATTTTAGGTGTTTGCACGGTGGCCTCGTGCTACCTGTTTCTTTAAGCTGAGAGTGTAGTGGCTTTCCAGGCACTGGTAGCACAGGTAAGAACTTATGTGCCTTCTGGTAAGCCTTCCTTTTCCTAGTCTTGAACTGTGAAACTTTCCAAAGTCCTCCATTGTCACTCTTGAAATTAAGCAAGCCTACTAAAAATTTCACTTTCAATCAGAAACTATCCTTCTGTGTTGTTTCTCTTCATTTGTTTATCCCTTTGGCCAATAGCTGTGCAGACTATTTTGTTTCCCAGCACAGGCAGAAGCTTGATGTGTGGTTGTTATTATTTAACGTTGTTTGAAACTTTGTTCCTGGAGGGTGAACATTCAAGATAAGTGAGCAGGAAATGTAGGCAGAGGCGGGGATGTGTCAATTGCTGATGGTAAAACTGGGGAATGGAGCAATTCTGTGACTGAGTTGGGGCCAGAATGCATCTTCTTTATAGTCAGAATAGAAACTTGCTGGCATGGTGGTTGGGAAATGAATTAGTTTTCTATTACTGAAAAATGAATTACCACAAACTTAGTGGTTTACAACATAACAGATTTGTCATCTCATAGTTTCTGCAGGTCAGGGTCCACCGGGCAGAAATCTTAGTTTCTGGGTCCACCAGTCAGCTAAGGCTGCAGCTCTTACCCGGGGCTTGGAGTCCCCTCCAAGCTCACTGATTGTTGGAAGAATTCATCTCCTTGCAGTTGCAGAACTGAAGTCTCCATTTTCCTGCTAGCTGATGGCTGGGGACCACTCTCAACAACTAGAGGCTGCCCACAGTTCCTTGCCATGTGGCCCCCCCACAGGTTGTTCACACCATGGATATTTTCTGTCTTCCAGGACAGCTGGAACACAATTCTGTATTTCTCTTCTGTGATCTACCAGAGAAAATGCTCTGCTTTTACAGGGCTCAGGTGATTCGTTAAGGCCCACCTGGATAATCCCCCTCTCTTTAGGTCATGTGATATGGAACCTTAATTATATCTACAAAATCCCTTTAACATAATATCTATATTAGGCCAGGTGTGGTGGCTCACACCTGTAATTCTAGCACTTTGGGAGGCCGAGGTGGGCAGATCACCTGAGGTCAGGGGTTTGAGACCAGCCTGGCCAACATGGCAAAACCCCATCTCTACTAAAAATACAAAACTTAGCAGGATGTGGTGGTGAATGCCTGCAATCCCAGCTACTTGAGAGGGTGAGGCAGGAGAATCGCTTGAACCCGAGAGGTGGAGGTTGCAGTGAGCCGAGATTGTGCCACTGCACTCTGGCCTGGGCAATAGAGTGAGAACCATGAGGCTCCATCTCAAAAATAAATAAATATATAAATAAATAATACTACCTGTATGAGTGTCTGATAGAATACCTGAGAGAAAGTGTGTGTGTGTGTGTGTGTGTGTGTGTGTGTGTGTGTGTGCATACCTGGGGCTGGGAAACTTGGGGGCCATGTTAGAATTCTGCCCACCACAGCGGACCTGCCAGGGCCTCAATTTCCTCTTTGAAATTACTGTGGCACTTGAAACCTTCTCAAGAGAAAGTCATTCCTTTGGGCTTAAGCTTCATATTTCTGAGTGTGTTATGAAATTACAGTCACGTATCCCTTAACAACGGGGATGCACTTGGAGAAAAGTCCTGTTAGGTCATTTCACTATTGTGCGAACATCATAGAGAGTACTTACACCAACTTAGATGGTATAGCCTCCTACACACCTAGGCTATGTGGTATGGCCTATTGTCCCTAGGCTCCAAACCTGTACAGCATGTTACTGTGCTGAATACTATAGGCAATTGCAATACAATGGTAAGTATTTGTGTATCTAAACATAGAAAAGATACAGTAAAACTATAGTATAAATGACATAAAATGTCACACCCATTAGGACAACTCCATTATAATTGTCTGGGACCAACACTATATATGTAATGTACCACTGACCGAAATGTTCTTATGCAGCACATGATTTTGCTACAACTACTTCCGTAATACCATTTTTGAGCACCTGATATTTGCTAGGCACTATGTATTATCTTATTTAAATTTTCACAGCAGCCCTGTGAGAAAAGTGGTATTATTCCATTACATAAATGGGGAAACTGAGGATCAGAGAAATAAAAGGACTTGCTCAGAGTTACATAACCGTTCACAGATGAGGTTGCTGTTTACATTCAGGGCTGTCTGACACCAAAGTGCTGGTTTTTCTCACATACTCCTCTACCTATCAGTCAGTGTTCTAACAAAAGAAGCACAGCACGCTCAAAGAGGTATAATCAAAAGGAGCTTAAATAAGAGATTATTTATAGAGGTGTGTGCAGGATTAAGAAAATCAACAAGAGGAGAGAGTACCTGAGGGCTAGGAGTAGCAGGAAGCCATGACCACCTATAGGCCTGGAGGGACAAGGAGGGGGAATAGAAATAACAGAACCTAGAGAAAGCTGTAGCCAGGGAGGAACCCAATCCTTGAGAAAACCTGGCCCTTCTTGGAGAGGGGCTGAAATAAATAACCTAATTCTCTCATCTGCCTCCAATTTCTTGTTAGTGCTTTTCATTGGCCAAACCAAACTCGAAGTTAGAGGACAAGAGAACCCAGGTGATTCAGTCCACTGGAGTCAGCCTCTGGGGGCACTGAGCAGGACAAAGTAGGATGGAGGGAGGTTCTAGAAAGTCAAGTGGAGAATAACCAGAATGATCCATAAAAATGCAAGTACCCCTGCAGGGGCAATGCATGGCAAGTTTTTTGAGGCCAAAGTCTCTGTCTGATATTTTCTCCTCTTAATATAATTTATAGAGAAAAATACAGATGCTCAACTTACAGTGGGGTTAAGTACCAACAAACTCATCCTAAGTTGAAAATATCAGAAGTGGAAAATGCATTTAATACACTTAAATTACTGAACATCCTAGCTTAGCCCAGCCTACCTTAAAAGTGCTTGGAATATTTACTTTAACTCACAGATGGACAAAATCATCCAACACAAAGCCTATTTTATAATAAAGTGTTGAACATCTTATGCAATTTATTAAATACTATATTGAAGTGAAAAGCAGAAGTGTTGTATGGGAACCTAGAGCTCCCACTGAATGAATTTGGCTTTCAAACCATTATGAAGTCAAAAAATCATAAGTCGAACAGTCTGTACTTAAGACTTGACTTATCAGTAGTTAATATCTTGACAGGTGTACTAGGTTGCTAGGGATACCATAACAGAATGCAACAGGCTGAGTGGCTTAAACGACAGAAATTTATTTTCTGACAGTTCTGGAGGCTAGAAGTCCAAGATCAAGGTGTTAGCTGGTTTGGTTTCTTCTGTGGTCTCTCTCCTTGGCTTGCAGGTAGCTGCCTTCTTGCTGTGACCTCACGAGGTCTTTTTCTGTGCACGTGCATTCCTGGTGTCTCTTTGCGTGTCCAAATTTCCTTTCATAAGGACACCAGACATATTGTAACAGGGCCCACCCTAATGGCCTCATTTTAACTTAATCACCTCTTTAAAGACCCTACCTCCAGATCCAGTCTCATTCTAAGGTACTGTGAGTTAGGGCTTCAACCTGTGAGCTTGCAGAGGGGCACAATTTAGCCCATAACGGGGTTGGCTTATGAGACTAACTTCTGATTAGCTAAATGAGATGGAAAAGGTAAGTTGAAATTGGAGGAGAGGCAGGGGAAGGAAATATCCATAGTGTTTTGCCCAAGAGAACACTTCTGAAGTATGCTTTGGTTTAGGGGACTCTCCCTGCCCATGGGCAGTATTCAAGCACTGATGGGGTAGGAGTGAGACGACATCATGGACAAGGGCCCTAATAGGCAGGAGATGCTTATTTTCTAATTTTGCCTAGAAATACACTACCTGGACCCCATAGTAATATACAGCAATAATTTGAACTACGTTTTCTAAAAGAAGAATGCCGTCTGACATAAGACGGACCAAGAAATCATTAAAATCAAATGAAAACAGAATCAAATACCCCAGCAGTGACTCTCAATTCTCCCTATGCATCAAACTCTGTTATCAAACTTTAAGAAATAAACATATAGAGACTTGGCCTTTATCCCTGGGGATTCTGATAGAGTAAGTCTGTAGTGGGGTCTTGTATATTTTTTACAGTTCCATAGATGATTCTAGTGTCCAGTCATAGTTAAGAGACACTGGCAAATCTTCACACAGTGGAGTTGTCTATATGTGCAATTGAACACAGGTGAATTCACTCCAAGAGCTCAGAGAGAAATGTGAGTTTGAGAATGCCAGGTATTTTCTGTAACCATGCGACTCATGGCACACAAGCCCTGGAGTATGTGTGACCAGGAGACTGAAGCAGGGAACCCACTTTCCTGTGACGGCCAGAGTGTGAGTGCTGCCACACCACGTGTGAGAGGCTGATGTTTTAAGTAGATATTTTTGTACATCATGGTTCTTAATTCAAGCCAACAACTTCATCTGGTACTCAACTGAAGAAACAGCAATTCGTATTCCAGTTCTGGAGGAGAGATTGTCTAGGTTGGCCTTATTCAGAAATTGGTAAATCAGAATTCAGCAAGGCCCCTTTCAAGAGATTTTTAAGCCTCATTTTTGACTGTATGAGAATTACTCCTTAAAAGCTAACTTTAGAGTCTAATCTCTATGCAAGATATAATTCCACTGTATTAATTTCACATACCTTGTAAAAAGGAACATTCCAACCTTGCTTTAAACTGAGTGTTCTAAACTATTTTATTCCTCCAACATTGCATGAATATTTAATAAGTGCTTACCATGTATGACGATTGCATGAGCAAGACACAGAACTCCCCACGTTTATAGGGTTGCGTTATCATTGTGGAGAAAGGGATGAAAAGCAAATAATATACTGTACATGAGGTGGTTAAAAGTAGACTAAGGAAAGGCCAGGCGCGGTGGCTCACGCCTGTAATCCCAGCACTTTGGGAGGCCGAGGCAGGCGGATCATGAGGTCAGGAGATTGAGACCATCCTGGCTAACATGATGAAACCCTGTCTCTACTAAAAATACAAAAAATTAGCTGGGCAAGGTGGCGGGCGCCTGTAGTCTCAGCTACTCGGGAGTCTGAGGCAGGAGAATGGTGTGAACCCAGGAAGCGGAGCTTGCAGTGAGCCCAGATCAAGCCACTGCACTCCAGCCTGGGTGACAGAGCGAGACTCTGTCTCAAAAAGAAAAAAAAAAAGTAGACTAAGGAGTGGTAGGGAGGTAGTAGGAAAATGAGAAGAGTGCGGCCTCCTGGTAGCCAGTACAGGAAGCGTTTCAAGAAGGAAAGAAAGATCAAATGTTTGGGATCAGATGTTCATGTCAGGCAAATAACAGGAGCACCTGGAGTTGACCACTGGATTTGGCAACAAGAAGGTCATGATGACCTTGACAAAGGCAGTTCTGAAGGAGCAACAGGAATAAGAGGGTCTGACTGAAGGGGGTTCAGAGAGAGAAACACTGTGTAGTACATACTCCTTAGAGGAAAGATGCATTTTTTAAAATGTCCACTTTCAATTCAAGGCTGGGACAAACTCCATATGTGAAGTGATGTGTGAAGGGGAGAGGACAGGTCGGTTCACCAATGTGGGCTGATCTAGACCAAGGCACTCTGACCTTGGGATCTATCTCCCCAT
Source organism: Homo sapiens (assembly GCF_000001405.40). Lineage (NCBI taxonomy): Eukaryota > Metazoa > Chordata > Mammalia > Primates > Hominidae > Homo > Homo sapiens. Next base: position 56,512,009 of record NC_000014.9, read on the forward strand.
TCTCTTCAAATGCCATTTTCCACTGTCCTTTTCCCTTCAAGGTCTACTGATCGTTGGTTCAAATCCTGCTTGACACCACCTCTAGCAAAGCCCAAATCACTTCATTTCCTGTTATGTATTTGCACTGTGAGCCTTATTGCAAAATGAGATGTAAGACACGCTGTCTCCCACTTTGCGAGGATGTCTTGCATTTGCAGCAGGAAGGAGAGGCTTTCCAGGTCAAGGAATCTTCCCAATGACTCCTCAAATCCAGCGGTATCTGCAGCTGCCCATGTGGCCTGTGGATAAGGCTCGGCTCGCTAAAGCAAGCCTTAAGTGTTTCTAAAAAAGGAAAACCAAAATGAACCCAAACAGAGAGGAACAACCTAACAGGTTTCTTCCCTGAGTGACGGGGAGGAGGTAGCAGGCTTCATCTTTCCTCCTCTGAGAGGCACTAATGCTTTAGGGCCTCAAAGAATGCCCCAATTTATACAATTCATTTCTACAGCATTAAGCCTGAATGGCATTTGGTGGCAGATAAAGTCGCTCTGTGTCACACAGTGGAAGGCTGTGTGGCCAGATCTTGTTTAGAATTACATTTAAAACCTGGAAATCAAATGATATGTCCAGATAACTTCTGTGGTAAGCCCCAAACCAGTTATGCTTCAGGTTAAGCCTCTGCATTTTTAAACAACATGCCTTTTATTCTCTCTAGGCCAATACTCGGACCTTCCTGCCAGCAATATCAAATAGCAAGAGGCTGAATGTACCCTCTGTGTGTGCATTAAAGGATAAACAGCCGAAGGAGGCAGTGCCTCTCTGCTGAGAAAATCTCCATCTTTGATATCTCTCCTCTACAAACACATCAATCAAAATAGCTCATTTCCTCTTGATTTCTGGAGTTATTTTCTAATTCTTAAAATTTTACAAACAAACAAAAACTAAACAAACCTAAAACATCCCATCACCCTGAGCAAACAGAGCTCTTAGTTTTCTGAATTTCTTTTTCTTATGTCTCACTCTTGAACAGACCTTTTTTTTTTGTATTTTTAGTAGAGACAGGGTTTCACCGCATTAGCCAGGATGGTCTCGATCTCCTGACCTCGTGATCCATCCGCTTCGGCCTCCCAAAGTGCTGGGATTACGGGCGTGAGCCACATCACCCGGCCGGATGTCCTCTTATAACATCTTGCTTCTCAGGGTCTCAGAGAGTTTGAGTGCACTAGGAAAATGGACAGACCTTCCTGGTGGCTTTCCGGGGCAAGAGAATAATCCCATCTTGGCAGCAAAGACAGAAAAGTAACACGATTTGTTTATGTTATTGAATGTTCGTGTTATTGCCAAGGAAACCAGGGCGTATGAGACAATGCAATGTCTTGAGCAAACTTGGAGACATAAGGCTGAGGGGGCTTGTGATGATGTATATCCCCTGTGTATAAGTCCTATTTCCTTGGGAAAAAGTCTGGCCCTCCCTTCTGCCTCCCATTAAGGCACCTCCTGTTAGGCACATGTGCTCATGGTCATACCAGGCACCAGGAGAAGCCTTTAAGCATCTACCGTGGTTTCCTGTGGGCAGTGGGATCAGCTTCCATTTAAGGTCATGGCTCATGAAGGAGTAGCTAAGATTTCCTTCTGCACATGCTTCCCTAAAGCAATACTTGATTCAGAGAAGAAAAGGTATAAGCTGGGACACTGAGCACATTTCAGTCCACTGGGGACAGGGACACACCATTTGTAGAACTCCACTATGCATCATTTTATTACTTTAGAAGTAAAAGAAGAATTTTTTTCTTCATGCAAAAAAATGTTGCAGTAGATTCTCTTGCTAAAAGAGTCATTTAAATATTACTGGTCACGTCACATTGTAGTTGTTTGGAAATAATTATATCCATATCACAGACAGTAAATAATAGATGTGCGTTCACTAACATTTTATTCATGTTCTGTTTTAATATGGCAAACTTAGAAGTAATTTAATCTCCCAGTAAATTGAAGTGGTGGGGGGTTCTTCACACAGAAGACTGCAAGTTATTAATTCCGGGCAGTCTTCATCTTGTACAATTAGTCACTGTTTGCAGCTGGAAATGTTTTATTAATTTTCCATAGCAGTTGATTTTCCACAGTTTTCTCAGTTTAAATTAAGCAGTAAGAGCTGCTGTTTCTTCTTAAATAAATTTTCTTTCCACAAAAATACATGCCTCTGGCTATGTCAATTTTCCCATTTGATTAAAGTGCCAGCAGGCAATTAATAACTTAATGCATTTTAAAGTACTTTTGGAAAAAGTAATTTGAATAGCCAAACTTGTGTATTTGAATGGATTGTTACAGAAGATTTAATAGGCATTGGAAAATCCTGGAACCTTGGGAAGGACGAAATGAGGCCCGCAAACTGTGTCTGGGGACCTGTGGGGTGGTCTTCATGAAACGCCCGCCATGGAAGGCTTTCAGCTCCAAGAAAGGCACCGGCACTCACACTTGGGGGGCTGATGATTGCCACTGTCCAGGAGGCTAAAGGAAGAAAGGCAACCACGTGAGTATATGGCAGACTCAGGGCTATGATGGTATGGTCTGAGGAGGAAAGTGTCTAGGGAAAGCCATCTAAAAGCCAGTGAGACAACATGAATAAACCTTGAAGACACGATGCTCAGTGAAATAAGTCAGACACAAAAGGATAGATATATGTTGCACCTGTATGAGGTTCCCGGGATCACCAAATTCATAGAGATAAAAAGTAGAATGTTGGTTGCCAGGGGCTGGTGGGAGGAGGGGATGGGGAGTTAGCATTTAAGAGGGATAGAATATCAGTTTGGGATGATGAGAAAGTTCTAGAGATGGATAGTGGTGATGGTTACACAGCAATGTGACTGTACTTAATGCCACTGGGTCACACCCTCAAAAAGGGTTAAAATTGTAACTTTTATGATAAACATTTTACCACAATTTTACAAAAAGCAAAAAAAAAGCAATGACGCTTATTCTTACATTCATGATGTCATCACATTCATGACTCATAGTATTATCTGTGGTGAGAATTAGCAGCTTCTGCCTGGCAGTGGCATCTCCAGCTGACCTCCATTTAACTGACTCAGAGGATCCATCCACCCACACTCCCTTCCAGCTGTAGAACATTTTCGATTGAGGGTCCGGCAAGCTGAAAGCTCAGCATCAGTGCCTGTGCTCATGCGTTCTGCTCCCCCTCGTTTGCTGTATGCCTCCTGAGATTCAGCTAGGTTTGGCTGTGTCCCCACCTAAATCTCATCTTGAACTGTAGTTCCCGTAATGTCCATGTGCCGTGGGAGGGCCCCAGCGGGAGGTAATTGAATCATGAGGGCCGTTACCCTCATGCTGTTCTCGTGATCGTCAGCGAGTTCTCACGAGATATGATGGTTTTATAAGGGGCTTTTCCCCTCTCCCCCATCCCCTGCTTCACTCTGCACTTCTCTTTGCTGCCACTGTGTGAAGAAGGACATGTTTGCTTCCCCTTACACCATGATTGTACGTTTCCTGAGACCTCCTGAGCCATGCTGAGCTGTGAGTCAATTCAACTCTTTCCTTTATAAATTACCTAGTCTTGGGTATATCTTTATTAGCAGTGTGAGAATGGACTAATACAGTTCCCAAACCTGTTCACACCTGGTTGTTTTAATTATGCAATTTTATTAAATATTACATAAGCTGATGAAATGTGAGCTCACAAAGACAAAGAGTTGTTTTTATGAAAACCAAGTTGAATACCTTTGTAAAACCTGATAAAGGTGAGCCCTAAAAAAATATTGCAGATGTACTAGGTATGGACAAAGTAAAGTTAAAGCTTGTGGGAAAATCATAAAAAACTTCAAAAGGATTCTGAACTTAGGTTGCTTTACAGGTGTCTTTAGGTTTTTACTTCACTTGAAAGAGACTGAAAGTGGAAATCATGCATGAGGTAATATGGCCCTGTTTTAAGCCAGTGCGATGACTGGAGCTTCAGCAGAGTCATATGCCACAGTAAGGCCTTGAGTCACTGCCCAATTGCATTGGATAAAATAACTTTCACCAAACTTTCAAGCATGGGAGCAGAGCTAACCAATATTAATTTACATGTCAAAGCCAATCGCTTGGTAGTAAGTAATTAGCATGCTGTGTTGAGAAGTATCCTGAAATTACATCTGGACTCAGTAAGCAGGAGTCCAGATGAACAATGTTTTCCAGGGGCGTTCAAGGGAAGCAGAGTGAATAAAGTGCCATATATTCACCATGACTGATCTAGAAAAATAGATAAGCACAAATTTAAAACCAAACATTAGCTGCTATTTTTTTTAACTTCCTGCTGGATCTAAGCCCAAGTCTACTTTTATTCTCACAAAATGGCATAAGTCATCCAAAGCACCCTTGTTATTTCCAACACTAGAACTACTTACTCATGATCAGAATGAAATGCCCTTTGCCTTATAGAGGAGTAAACCAGGTTTCACCGATCCTGTTGACCGACCCCAAGACTCTGCTGGAAAATTATATCCTATACACAAATCATCTTTCTAAAGAAATGTCAACGATGTTGACAATTGTGTTGGATTTCTTTTGAAGAGTCCACTGTTGGGGACTAGCCAGTTAATTAGCTAACTGCTTTTAGTTAACTGCTTGGAGAAAGGTGTAAAGTGCTTTTAAAAAATGTTTTGAACAATAACATTTTGTGTCTGGGAAGCGGTGTTAGATTATTTTTCTTGCACTGAACTGGTATGTTTCTGACAGCCCTTATGTAGATATTGGATCATGTTCCTCGTCTCAGGAGAGAAAGGAATGGTGATTTATGTTGTGGGTATCAGTTTTTCACATGTCTTACAGTGTGATATGCACCAGCTGAGGGCTTCAATCCACTTAGTGAAATAGGAAATGGCTGCTGCCTTGAATTGGTTTTTTAAGTCATGAAATAAGAGAATTAGTACCAGCACAAGCGATTGCTGAGAACCTGAAGGTGAGTTAATGTGCCATGTTTATTATCAAGCATCAGAAAGTCAGTCTGGGTTTGTGTTTTAGAGAACTTCTGAGAGGAGAAAGAAGAATTCGAAACTGTCAAATCATTTTCCTCCTCAGGAAACTTCTTTTACTTAGGCTTTTTCTCATTTTTTATGCCTTATTTCTTTGGCCATCCAATTTAAGTGTGTTTTGTTGTTGTTTTATAGGTTTTTGTACAAAAGGGGGGCTATTAACTATATCTCAGTATATCAATAAGTTTCTAAGTTCTAGGTCTCTGAGAAAATCTGTCGCAGCTTTTCTCGCCTAAAAAAATTTTAGTAACTTAATAGATAACAGAACTGTAATGAACTACAAAAAGGAGCTCTATCTGTTAAGATTAGCTTTGGCTGCATGCAATAGCATGGACTAAACAAACAAAGGCTTAAACGAGATGAAAGTATTTTTCTTTCACACATAATAGTAGTCAAGACCATAACATCATGTTGTAAATCTCAAATACGCACTATAACATTTATTTAAAAAAAAATAAGTCAAGGGAAGGCAATCCAGGGCTGATACAGCGCTCCATGGTCATCAGGGACTAGATATGCTAGCTTGCTGCCCTGCCATCATTTGTGTTGTGTTCCACAGTGGCTGCTCAATTCCCAGGCATCATGTCCAAGAAAAGAAGAGTGCACCCTCTCCCTTTGAGGGCACTTCCCAAAAGTTGCACACAACATGTCTTTTTATATATCATTGGCCAGACTGTAATCATTTGGCTATGCCTAACTTCAGGGGAGATTGAAGAGCAAATTCTTTTGACTAGACGACATGTCTAGCTAAAAATTAAGATTTTTTTTAATTAAAAAAAAAAAAGAATATTGGAGGTAAATAGCATTCTTGTCCCAGGGAAGCATTCCTAATCTATGAGAACAATTTTAGAGAAGGCAACTTTTATACTTATACCTTCCAAGTTCCCTTGAAGATATTATGAGACTACATACATATCGGGGTGGATGGATCCTTGGAGAGATTCAGCCTGTAATTTCTGCACTAGAATTTTGTTTGTAAAGTACTTATGCTCCTGTCGCCACCACCATCTTCCCACCAGCCATGAAATGTTTTGTCTGCTTCAAGGAGGCAAGTTTAGAAAGCTTTGGCAAGTTTTATCTTACTGTGCTTCGCAGGGGAGTCCCAAACCATCTGTGTCCTACCACTCTATTCCCAGAAGTTTTCTAGACAAGAAATCAATGGTCTCTTATTTTTCAACCCGAAAAATGAAAAGAAAGTAATATAAATTGCCATCTATTTGTTGAAAAAGTATAGAAGTCAAGTGATTAAATGTAGAATCTAGGCAGGTTGCCATTTCTTTCTGCCACCTTTGAGTGCTGGTGTTTGTTTTTTCTATGTTGGGTATTCCTCCTTCCTTTCTTCCTCCCTCTTTCTCGTTTCTTCCTTCCTTCCTTAACTCATCACAAAAGAAATTCATCAGCGTTAGTGCACGATTCCTGACAAATGCAAAGGCTCCCATCTCTGATTTTTGGTTGTTGATGCAAGAGAATGCCCACGGTTTGGGCAGTGGGTGGGAGCAGCTGTCTGCTGCAGACTCTGGCATTAGGCCACCCATCCAGGTATTTTCCATTGCCCCTGTCCCTATTCCACTGCCAGACATGGCTAATTTAGGAAGAACATCTCTTTTCTGACTTTCCTAAGGCTTTTTCCTCCGGTGTTGTGCCTCTGCCAGTTTCCCCTGAGCTCTCTTGCATTGATTCCCAAAGACACCATCAATATCTAAGCTTCTCCCTTTGTTCTGCGGCTTGCAAATGTTAAGCACGGGGCAACTTTTCTGAAAAGTTAAGTGGAAAAGGTGAGGTAGTCTGTTGGATATATAATGCCCTTTACTCTTGGTTAAGGGAAAGAGCGTTCTAAGCAATAATTTTAAATCCTCTTCAATGAGTACCTTGAAGCAATGAAAGGAGTAGGAAAAAGTAAGCTTGGTGGACAGCATTAAGCAATTACCACTGAAAATTATTTAAGCTTAAATAACTAAAATAATTTATTTTATAAAATCACACCAAGTAATGGAAAGGATTCTGCATGGTCAATTTGCTTTCTCATGCAGCAATTGAAGAGGTAAGCAAAAATGTTGAATTCTAAAAGTCCCAACTTAGTGAATTAATATAGATTTGGGGGTAGCATTAAATACCTGAAGACGATGATGAGTCATGGCTGCACTGGATTGGCAAATGGGATTAAATGATTTTGAGTGATACAAAAACCTAATACAATGAAATCAGTGAGTCTTGCATGATGATGACCTTCTCCCCCACTTCTTCTGCCGTAAAATGAATGCTTTCCAGTATTATAGAGAACCACTAGAGCACAATGATTAAGAACATGGGCTCTGGAGCCAGACTGCCTGAGTTTGAATCACAGTGCTGCCACTTACATTCTTGGGTAAGTTAACTGAGCGCTCTGTACCTCAGTTCCCTCATCATTAAATGGAGACAATGTGTCAGTTGCTAGTGTAAGTGCTTAGCATAGGGCCTTGTATGCAGGAAGCACTATCTGAGATATTTCTATCTGTTACACATGAATTCTTTGCTCTGCCTTTGCCCCAGATGTCTTTGGGACTGTGAGCTCTGGACAAAGGGCATTCATCAGCTTGCTGGATGCAGAGTTCCTCATAGCAGGAAGCTCATATTCCATTGTTCCCCACCATTCTTGGAGTGTGGGGAAAATCATGCATGGTATGCTAGAGAAGGGAAAGTGTCTTCTCATCGCACTCTGACTGTTCAGGATGTTCCTATTATGTGAAGAAGTTCACTGGCTGCCTCTTCTTGCCTTTAGGAATCCATTCGATAAAGACTGATTGAGCATCTGCCATATGCCTGCCCCCAGTGAAGCACTGGTGATACTGAGATTGGCAGGCACTGCCTGATCTAGGGGCTGCAGTGAGACATACAGCATGAGACAAGCAAATAGAGGCAAGCGCACACTGTCATGAGAGCCCAAGGGATACACCAACTGGGCTTTAGAAGGATCAAGACTTTGCCCAGAGGGTGACATATTTAATTAAATGTTATACAGTTGATGGAATTTTCCAGATAGACAAGAAGGGATATGGCAGAAGAAACCAAGCACCAAACTTCCCAGATGTGACTAGTTGGGGAACAAGTCATGTGCTATGGATCTTACTCTAGTATTAGGGTACCCCTCTGTCAAGGCTGTGACTGGTCTATTTGGCACATTTCTAGTGAAGATGAGAGAGTACAAGAGTGGTGAGTGGAGCACGGGCTAGACCAGTTCCTATTGAATCCCAGGCTGGAGCACCACACGCTTTGATCCTGCACTGTGGCTCCTGCCGCTCTGTTACAACGTGTTGTTGTCTTTCTCCTTGAGGTCAAGGACTCCATCTGACTCTTCTCTATATATAACCCCTGGAACAGCATCTCAGATTGGAGTTCTCAGACCACCTGCATCAGAATTGTATGGGGGCCATGTTTAAAAACACAGATTCCCACCCATAGCCAGCTCTACTGAATCAAATGTATGAGAGTGAGTGCTGGAAGTCTTCATTTTTAATAAGGAACTGGGGTAGAAATACACTTTTGTAAACATATTTTGCAGCTAATTCTAATGCACATTTTAGTAAGGAAATCACCACTATAGGACCCAGTAGACAGCCTAGTATATTATAGATATTCAATAAAAGTTTAATAAATGAAAGACCAAGTTAATACGTTGGAGGAGAATGTGATGCAGACAGGGCAGGGCAGGGCAGAGCAGAGGAATGGAAAGGCCTTCAAATAGGACAATGGGCAGCTTCTTCCATCAAAGGAAGGGTTGAGCTCCTCGTGGGGAAGCTGGGATGATATGGGCCATGCTGAGGTCTCTGCTCTCCAATGAGGGTTCTAGATGGAAACTGTGACTCAGAGCCCTCTTCTGCCCCTTGTCCCAGTCTCCTGTTTCTGTCCTTGCCCTCCACAAGGCAGCTTTTCCGTAGTTGCTTCTACAGGGCAGAGTCAGCCACACATTCATCTTCAGAGAGCAGACATCACTACAACTTCAAGGCTCTAAGTGGCTACCTCCACCCTGGCTTCTAACGCTCCTTTGTATGCTCTTAAAAGAGTGTGTGTGTGTGTGTTTGTGTGTGTGTGTGTACACACATACACATACATATATATATATATCTCCAACTTAGGTGGAGCTGGAGGCCATTATTCTAAGTGAAGTAACTCAGGAATGGAAAACCAAATACATTATGTTTCATACATACATATGTGTTACGTTATTTATATATGTTATACATATATTATTTCAACAGCTTTTGGGGAACAAGTGGTTTTTGGTTACATGGTTCAATTATATAGTGGTGACTTCTAAAATTCTAATGCACCCAAGTAGTGTATGTTATACCCAATATGTAGTTTTTTGTCCCACATCTCCTCTGACCCTCCCCCTTCTAACTCTCCAAAGTCCATTTTATCACTCTGTATGCCTTTCATACCTATAGCTTAGCTCCTACCTGTAAGTGAGAACATACGGTATCTGGTTTTCCATTCATGAGTTACTTCACTTAGAATAATGACCTCCAGCTCCATCTAAGTTGCTGCAAAAGACATTACTTTGTTCCTTTTTATGACTGAGTAGTATTCCATGGTGTATATATACCGTATATTCTTAATCCACTCATTGGTTGATGGGCATTTAGGTTGGTTCCATGTCTTTGCAATTATGAATTGTGCTCAATAAACAGACATGTGCATGTGTCTTCATGTAATGACTTCTTTTGGGTAGATATCTAATAGTGGGATTGCTTGATTGAATGGTAGATCTACTTTTAGTTCTTTAAGGAATCTCTATACTGTTTTCCATAGAGGTTGTACTAATTTATATTCCCACCAGCAATGTATACCCATTCCCTTTTTACCACATCCACACCAACATCTATTGTTTTTTGACTTTTACATAATGGTCATTCTTGTAGAAGTAAGGTGGTATCTTATTGCGTTTTGAATTTGCATTTCCCTGATCATTAGTGATGTTGTGCATTTTTACATGTTTGTAGGCCATTTGTTATCTTCTTTTGAGAAATGTCTATTCCTGCCATTTGCCCACTTTTTGATGGAATTATTTGGTTTCGTTTTCTCTTTCCTTTCTTTCCTTTCCTTTCCTTTCTTTTCTTTCTTTCTTTTCTTTCTTTCCTTTTTTTTTTTTTTGGTTCTCCTGCCTCAGCCTGCCGAGTAGCTGGGATTACAGGCACACACCACCATGTCTGGCTAATTGTTGTATTTTTAGAAGAGGCGGGGTTTCACCATGTTGCCCACTGCTGTTCTCGAACTCCTGACCTCAGGTGATTTACCTGTCTCAGCCTCCCAAAGTGCTTGGATTACAGGTGTGAGCCACTGTATCTGGCCTATTTGTCCTTTTTTCTTGCTGATTTGAGTTCCTTGTAGATTCTGGATACTAGTCCTTTGTCAAATGCATAGTTTGCAAACATTTTTTCCCATTCTGTGGGTTGTCTGTTTACTCTGATGATTATTTCTTTTGCTGTGCAGAAGATTTTTAGTTTAATCAGGTGCCATTTATTTATTTTTGTTTTTATTGCATTTGCTTTTGGGGCTTTAGTCATGAATTATTTGCCTAGGCCAATGTCCAGAAGGGTTTTTCCAAGGTTATTTTCTAGAATTTTCATGGTTTCAGGTCTTAGATTTAAGTCTTTGACTCATCTTGAGTTTTTTGTTTTTTTTTAATAAGGAAAGAGATAGGGATCCAGTTTCATCCTCCTACATGTGGCTGGCCAGTTTTCCCAGCACCATCTATTAAATAATCTACCCCTCTTTTTACAAAGGAAAAAATATGTTTCTTCAGACCTCTGCAGAAAAACAGATGAATTAGCCATAATTTTCAACGAGTGGTAACAGATAAATATATTGCAAATTCCAGGTAACAGCCTTGTAATTTAACAGAGTCCTTCCAAAGCCATGGTTCTCAAACTTAGCTGCATGTTGGAATCACCTGGGGAAGCTTTCAAAATGATGCCTGCTTGGTCTCACCTCCCCAGAGATTCTGATATTTTATTAGCCTGGGGCACAGCCTGGGCATCGAGGACTTTTTTAACTCCTCAAGGGATTCTGATGTGTCCTCAGGATTGAGAATGACTTCTAGGACACCGTCATCTGAGAAATTCTGATGGTAGAGTCTTCAAGCATCCCGATAAGTCAGTCCAGGGAAGGGTAGGTCCGGGCAGAAGAGCACCAAACCACATCATCCTATCCTGAGCTGCACTAAAGGGTGGCTCAGCAAAGCAGCTGCTCAAGACCCTGCCAAAGTGTCTCTAGAACTGTTAGGAGATGGAGAAACTAGACCCCCTTTTCAGGTAAAGATATGCAACAGGTTGGAAGGAATTCTTAATTGAACAGCTGTAAGTATGAAGCTTTTTTTTTTTTTTTTTTGGAGACAGATTCTCGCTTTGTCACCAGGTTGGAGTGCAGTGGCACGATCTCGGCTCACTGCAACCTCCGCCTCCCGGGTTCAAATGATTCTCCTGCCTCAGCCTCCTGAATAGCTGGGACTACAGGTGTGTGCCACCATGCCCAGCTAATTTTTGTAGTTTTAGTAGAGATAGGGTTACACCATGTTGGCCAGGATGGTCTCGATCTCTTGACCTTATGATCTGCCCACCTCAGCCTCCCAAAGTGCTGGGATTACAGGCATTAGCTGCTGCACCTGGCCAAGTATGAAGCTTTAAGTAAGCATCCCCAAAGGGCATGCTATGAAGGGCAATGAACTACTGCTAAATTGTCTTCTAAGAAGCACAAACACTTAATCACAGGAATTTTGTTTTGCTGGGCCAAAATGAAAAGTTGGGGGCCAAAACTGAATTGTCACCAGGAGTTGGTGTTCTCCAGCCTTTCCTTCTTCAGCCTTCAGCCATTCCTACATAGTTAGCAAAAATGTAAACAGTATCAGTTTGAAAGGGATCCAAGTTACTAAGTCCTCTTTTCTTAGCCTGGACCTGACCATCAGTTCCTCTACCTCTGAGTAAAAAGGTTCAGGTTCTCTGCAAAGACAGGGCTGTCCAGCCCAGGCTGCTGCTTGATTATAAAGGGGGATGCTTGAAAGTATGCTTCCTTCTGAAATAGCAGTCTTATTATAACTATTATAAAACTCCTAGCCAATTTAGATTAGTTCTTTAATTATGCAATTATAAAATATTTTCACCATGTTTCAGCTTTTTAAATCTCTTGACTGCTGATACTTAAACATTTTTTTAAATTTACTTCTTTGTTTAGTCAGTTTTTAACCTTTCTTAGCAGATACATAAGTGAAAAGGTGCATTACCTGAAGAGGGATCCTGAGTGAAAAGAAGCATCTTTGTGGCAGTTAGTTGGATGACAAGACAATAGACACCTAGAAGCCCGTCAGAGTTCTTGTAATTGCCATCTGAAGTCAGCCTGGTACCTGGATGCAACCACACACAACTAGTGTATTTGCAGGGTCATCATCCATTTGCATGGGGCATTGCCAAAAGGGCATCTTATCCTCACATACTGTAAATTACTAAGTAACCCAATTCAACAAGCATTTATTTAAGACCAAGCCTGGGGTAGGTGTCTGGCAGATGTGGCCTTTCCTTTCTAGGTGCTCATAAACTTAATGAGGAGAGAAGGTACATTTCCCCATATGAAGCAGTTATATAGTGAACTGTATCTCGGTATTGATGGATATAGTGAGAACACAGACTTATGTTTTAACTCAGTTCTTTCACCTGCACAATGGGATGATAGTACTTACCCACAGGGTTGTCACTAAGTCAAATAACTATACATCATTGAAATAAAATATTTAAATACCTGAGTGTATAGTAGCAGCTAAGGAATTTTTGCTTTCTTCCCCTGGCTTAATCAATGAGATTGAAGATCATCTGGTCTAGTATCTTCATTTTAGAGATAAGGAAACTGAGACTCAGAGGGGCAAAATGACTTGTCCAAAGTCACACAGCTAGAAAGAGGCACAGTTAATAACCAAAATAAGGAATTGTATTTTTCTTTGGATTTCACAGAAAGTGATTGTCAGGGCTCTTCAAAATTCCACATTGCCCTGTAAAATGAATGTCCCAGAACAATGGCGTGAGGTAGTTTACATGACAAAATACAAGTCTCCCACCTAGGTTTAAAGCCACATTCATCTGTTTTCAGTTGAGAAAGCTGCTAATGGCTCTTACCATGCCTTTCTCAGTTGAAGCATAGAACCAAAACATTTGCAGGCTGAGGATTCCCTCCCACTGTTTGTAGATCAAACACAAACAGAAACAGTGGGAGGCTGGGCCATCTCTGAGAGAATCAATATCAATGAAACAGACAAAATCCCAAAATCTCAAAATAATGAAAACAAAGATATCCAAGTAATAAAATCTGCTAGAATCACAAAGACAACACAACTCCGATCTCAGCTGGCTCAAAGAAAGTGTCCATTAACAAGGGATTAACACAAGGGAAGTACACAACCAGTCAATGGGAAATGAAAACATTTCACACAGCCTAGTCGCTTTTGAGCCCACCCCAGGATTATGGATGAGGGTGTGTTGAGATAGTGTGGTTCTGACTAGAGAGAGTTTCCAGAAACCATCAGCCATGTACTGGCTTAAAAAAGCACCCCAAACTGGTGTTTGTTGGACTGAAAATTTGGAACTGACAAGCCAGAAGATGAGACAAAGCACTGATTACCTGCCCTTTTTAGTCTTGTCTGTTGCAATTTTCAGCAGACCTTTGGAAAAAAAAAAAAAGCCACACTCGCTGTAGTATCTTTTAAAATACGGATTTTAGTTAAAGTTCCCTCATGCCAGAGCTTTTGGGAAGGGTGGAAGGGAAAGAAACAAAATAAAAACAAGACCAAAATTGTATTAGCTTATCGCAAAATAAGTCAAATGGCACTTCCTGTGCCCTATATGAAGACAAGGCAGGTGCTATGGCTTGAATGGTGTTGTCCCTCCAAAATTCATATTCAAACTCAATTCCCAAGGGAATAGTATTAAGAGGTGGGACCTTTGGGGAAGTGATTAATTCATAAGATGTAAGCATGGGTTTTGGGATGAGACCATCCCGAAGTGCCCTTGTGAATGGGAAAATGCCCTTATAAAAGAGGCATCAAAAAGCTGCCTGGCTGTTCCATCTGTTTCAACCCGAGAACATCTGAGAACACAGTAAGAAGGTGCCATCTTGGAAGCAGAGAGCGAGCTCTTAGCTGACACTGACTCTGCTGGCACCTTGATTTTGGACTTTCCAGCCTCCAGAACTGTGAGAAACTGATTTCTATTATTTATAAATTCCTCATTCTAAGGTATTTTGTTATAGCAGCAGGAATGAACTAAAACAGTGGGCATCTTTCAATTTAAAATAACATCATTTGGATGAGGTCAGAAGCAAACACAAAAATGAATATAGTTGGCCAGTGGGCATACATTAGTACAACTATTATATTGCTATAATGGCTGTGATAGTCCTAGTGAATAGCCAAGCAGCCTATAGCATTGAATGAAATGTTTGCTATTTATATGATAAAAGTCAAATGTATCTGCAAGGTTTAAACACTTAAAAAGTAAGACAATTCTTTTTCAAATTTTTGCTCATTTTATTTTAGTGTAAAGCTATCACTACATCCATTTGATGAGTATATCTATAATCAGGTGCAATTATTTCAGATAAAATGGACTTCATGTGTGTGTTTGTTAATCATTAGCAATTCCGAGCAGCTTCCCAATTTTAAAAACTGGCCTCATGAGCGCACCCAAGCCCTGTGGTCTGAACTACACAAGTGCCTTGGCCTAGAAATGTGAGTTTCACCCTGGAAACTTATTATAAAGAACAGAAAAGCAACAGGAAAAGATAGAGAAGAGGGAATGGCCAAACTAAGCATCTCTCACCGAAGTTTAATCCAAGGAGGTTTAAATCATTGTGATAGAAAATGATTGCCAGAAGCTTATAGATAAAGGCAAGTATTTCACACATGACAGTTCAGACACATCATCAAACATTTGGGCTGCAACGGGACAGAATATTGAAAATTGGGACTTCCCTAGAAAATCTCACTCCACAGGGGTTTCCTTATGAGGGATCCTGATGCTATCCTAGAAGAAAGTCATGTTTATGATGTCTTCTTGGCTCCTTCCTTAGCTCTGCAGTTTGCAGTCTACCTCATCAGCTGTTGTCCTCAAAAAACTTTTCCTCCACATGTGTATACAGACAGGCTCATGCCAATCACTCATTTGTTTTCCAATTACAAAAATATCCCGTATCTAGTAGCATCCATGTCTCCTAAGGAGAAAATGTGAGTTTAGCAAAAATGCGAAGCTTAGTGCCAATAACTTGCTGCTTAAAGGCAAAGGATTTGAGGCAGGTCTTAGGGGCTAAAAACATATTAGTAAAAGCTTAGATAGACGGAGAGACAAGAGTAGTCTTGGAATTGTTTTCTGTATCTAGCTGTTGGAGAAATCTTTTCATGTAAATGGTCTCCAAACCTTTTAAAAACCACTTAGCAAAGCAGTAAGGCTTAGCATCCCTGCCTTTTTTTTTTTTTTTCTCAGTATCCCTAAGCAGAGACTTTAATGGTGTGCAACTGAACTGTAGCCAATTGTGCAGCATTTGCTGTCATCCAGAGGAAATTACAAGGAAGGTGTTTACATAGGAGGATACTCAAACTTCTCTATTTGGTGGGATTTCAACATGGTGCCTTGGGTGGCTACTATGTGCTAGTCACTGGGAATATGATTAATAAGATAGGGTCCTTTGGAGGCTGCAAAGCCTTTAAGATGAAACCATCCCAAAGTGATAGATCCTATAGTTACTTGCCTAATCATTCTCCCTTTGCTCCTTGCTAAAATAATCCTGCTTTGGGTTCTTTGTCCAGATAAAAATACTGGTTCCTGGCCTTTCCAGAAAACAAGTAGCCATGAGACAGGTTCTGGCCAATGAGATGCTGGATGGGATTGTGGGGAAGCTTTAATTAAGAGAAGCAGCCTAAGCTGTCAGGTTTCTTTGCCACTCTGTCTTTGCGTCTTCCTGCTACAGGTGTAGCAGCCATATGGCAATGATGAATCCAAGGACAAAACCCAACATACTCTGAAGCACAGAGTGGAAAGACACAAAGAGCCTGGGACCCTGGGATCTTTGATCCAATACGGCAACCCTAGATGGCCTCCTCATGAGCTCTTGTTGCGTGAGCCAAATAAAGGCCAACTTCCCTAAGCCACCAATTGTCAGGTTTTCTGTTATTTTCAGCCAAAGTCACTTCTGATGATAAGCTAATGATGTCTCAGAACTTCATTTTCCTCATGTGTGAAATGTGTATCTACTCTTTACCAACTTTGAAGCTTTGCTGTAAAGCCTGGTTGGTATATGTATAACTCCTAGCCCGGTGCTTGGCTCACAGTAATAATTGGAGATGATTATTAATAATATATAATGATTATTATTATTCAGAATAAAATGAGTCTTTTTGGGGGGGAAACTTAAAGAGCAGACCCAAACTTACCTTGAGGTGGCACTGTCTTCTGGGCAAAGTGTTAAGGCCATATTGGAGTGGAAACTAACAGGCTGAGCTCAGCTTTACAGACCCTTACCTAGTTAGGATGGTCCATAAATAGTATCTAAAAACTGTGTCCCTCTGCTCTGACTTTAGGAGATTTCTCTGCTTATGGCTAATGCATGCTCAGTGTTTCTAACACCTGGAGAGCAAGTTGTTGCTTTGTTTATAGTGAAACCAAATCCCGTGGCCGCATTTGATTCCTGAGTGGTTATCACACCAGCAAACGGCAAAATTAGCATCTAATAGAGCATTTCAGTGAGAAAACAGAAACATTCTTTGGATGCACAGTTTTTGCCTCCAAACACTGAGCTTCCCACTGCCTGGCCACTCCTTTTTTAGTCAGTTTTTTTCTGAGTGTGTAAAACTGTGCTAATTCCAATTTGTTTAATGTTACATGCATTTGGCCTTCAGTTTAGTAGTCAAAATAATCATTTGTTGTTCATTTCTTTAACCTGTTAATTCATGTTATTTGAAGCCTGCTGATATTTTTGGCCAGCATAGTCAAGCTGTAGGGGCTTAGAGATTTATCCTGTGTAAGATTTAGAGCATCTTCTGCTATGCACATCACAGAAGAAAGGGACGGGATTCCTGCCGGGATTCCTGCCCTACCTGAGGCCCCTTCTGGTGCTTTGCCATAACGCAGTTCAAAAACTTAACGGTGAAATCTCTTTTTCTGAACTTCAGTTAAGCCAATTTGGAATGTAGTAAATGAAGGCTGAGATTCAGTCAGGACCAGGAAAATACTCCACCTGTTTGTGAGGGGCCTGTTTGAGGAGTGATAAGTAGAATAAGTAGCTATAATGAGCTCTCTTGGTCAGTTAAGTGGAGGTTTTCATGCTACAAAGATTTTAACCGGCTGGGTGCAGGGCTCACACCTGTAATCCCAGCACTTTGGGAGGCTGAGGTGGGTGGGTCATGAGGTCAAGAGATAGAGACCATCCTGGCCAACATGGTGAAACACTGTCTCTACTAAAAATACAAAAATTAGCTGGGCATGGTGGCACATGCCTGTAGTCCCAGCTACTCGGGAAGCTGAGGCAGGAGAATTGCTTGAATTCTCCTGGGAGGCAGAGGTTGCAGTGAGCCGAGATCGCGCCATTGCACTCTAGCCTGGCAACAAAGCGAGACTCTGTCTCAAAAAAAAAAAAAAAAAAAAAAAGATTTTAACCAACTGTTCCTGAATATTTTGAATTCCCCATTTTTCTAGAGGAAGGTCAATGCCATTGTTGTCCAATAGAAACATAATGCAAACCATAAATATGAGCCATATGTGTAATTTTAAATCTTCCTGTAGTCACGTTTTTAAACAAAAATATATAGGTAAAAATAATTTCAATAATATATTTTTCTTAACTGAAAAATATACCTAAAATATCATTCCAACAAGTAATTGATTAAAAAGTCGTGAAATTTTTTACATTCTTTTTTTCATACTAGGTCTTTAAAATCTGGTGTGTATTTTATACTTGCAGCGTATCTCAGTTCAGACTAGCCACATTTCATGAGTTTAACAGCCACATGTAGCCAGTGGCTAACATATTAAAATGTCCTGTGCTGTCTTGACATCATTCAGATTCCTGGGGACTCCCAAAACTTAAATGCAATTTCCTCTGCTCTCTTCCCAAAAAAGTAGGAATGGCTCCCTACCCAGCTAGTTCCCCTGACAGCCAGAGCAGCCACTCCCCACCTGCTTCTCAACCTAATGAGCCATTTCCCTGCCAGCCTGTGGAATTATCCAAACAAGCCAGTTACATCCTCCCGTGAGAACCAGGAGTCATCTCCCCATCTTGTTACTACAACACCAGCCTTCCACAGTCTCTGCTGGTTCACCTTGCTCCTGAGTGCAACCCCTGCATGGCCCTGGCTGTCACGCAGCATCTTCCTCCCTAAGTATTTGAGTGTGAGTATATGGGACTAATAACTGCTGTCAGTCTCACCTACTGAGTGTCCAGCGTCATGTATTCAGCTCTCTCCAGAACCATAGGGCAGCATTCCCTTCCTCACCCACAAGGTGAGGAAACAAAGCATCAGCATGTGTCTATACTTTTTTTAAGAGAGTTTTATAGTCAATTTTTCAAACATATTTGGAAGAATCTGGGCTTGTCTCCTAGCCCTCCTACGTTTACATTGTCCAAAAATGTTTAGTTGTAGTTCTCCATAGTTTTTCTTTTTTTGTTAATATTTTTAGTATCTCATGGTGCTTACTTTTTGGGTCAGCTTTGCAGCTGATGTATGCTGGTTTAGGTCAGTTTTGCAGGTGATGTGTATTATCTTATTCCACATCTTCTGGTCTTCAGCAATCATGCTGATGGTGACCAATCAAATTATTATTAGGCACTAACATGAATTTGATTCAAAAACAAAGGCCTGCTCCATGGATGGGGTGACAAATACCTTGCCAGTGTGCTGCCACTGCTCTTGCTGTGCCTGCAGCAGGATCACCCAGCCAGTTCTCCACCCCAGAATCCTCTTGGCATTTGAGATGAAATCTGATGGTCACGTCTGGCCTAGAAACTCTGGGCTATCCTTGAGCCTTCTTCTTGATCCTTAATCTATATGCAGTGATCAGTGGACTGTCTCTCTACCCCGACCTGAATCATTCCACCCCCAAAACCTCTTTTGAATGTGTGTCCTTTCCTCTCTGTGAAAGAAGGAAATAATGTATATAGTGGTCCATTTCCAAGACAAAGTGCCTTAAATCGGCTTATGTCAGCAAACTACAGAAAAAACAGGATATACTAGGCCCCTGCTTGGAGAGCTGAGGACTGCTTGTGGGGCCCTCTACCCTTAGTTGCCCTCACCCGAACCAAAGAAGTTTAGTCTAAGATAAAAATTTACCAGCAAAAAAGCAAGCAAAATAGCTTGCTTTTGTCTGTTCTTATCAGCCTGCCCAGCTACTTAGGTCGTAAGTCAAATACTTTAAAATCCCCTGAGCTGACTAGGTTGCAGCAAGGCAACCCTAAAGAAAACACCTAAAGCCCCAACCCAACAACCAATAGGCGACGTCCAAGAAGATTGTGACCCCATAGTACTCAGCCTACGAGAAACCGGAACCTGTGAGGGACCTGAGCACTAGGGGATAAATTGCTTGTTGTAACTGTCCTGGGTGTGCCTGCCCATCAGACACTCGATCTTGCAAGACCGTCATTAAAAGTCTCACTTTCGATGTTCTCAGGTCTCTGAGTCCATTCCTTGGATTTGGATTGGTGAGTTTGTTTCTCACAATGAATATTGTGTGATCTCTAAACCAGGTTTTTGTTGTGTCTAAGGTGATCTATCAGACTCGAGTTCCAGTGGGTCTTTCTGCCTCCAGACGCCCTGGACTCCCCACCCCCTCCACTCTGCTGCCTATGTGATCCAAAACTCAGAGCTCATTGATGACTTTATGTCTTAAACACCTCCAACAGCTCCCTGCTGCTACCCGATATCCAGATATCTTAGCCTGATAATCAAGACACATAATGAAGCCCCAATCTATCATTTCATTTTAACCTTCAGCTACATCTTCTCATTGATTCCCCTTGCAAACTATTTCCCATACTCCAAACAAACCTGGCACCTTCCTACCCCGGTGCCTTTATGGCAGCTGCTCTCCACTTCACTTGCCCCTAGGTGCTACCTCAGGGACAGAGAGAGAGATTGAATTGAATGTATTAAAGGAAAACCGCACATTGCAATGAGGTATGTTTTCCATGAGGGAAAGATTACTGGAGGCTAGTAACCCCCGAAAGCTAGGCCCTTGTATTCCTCACTAAGTCCTACCAAGCACCCTGAAGGCTGTTGTAGAATTGGGCCTTCAGCTCAGGAGACATTGCCAGCCACAATCCCTTGAGCTATGAGCAACCCAAACAAGGTAGAGTTTTTTATTTCTCTCATTCAAGACACCAAAATAGGTAACATAATTAAAAAGAATCTAGCCTTCTGAAAGACAAACTACAAGTAACTTCCTACAGTCTAGGCCCTAATCAATAATAAATAGTGTCAAAAAAAGGTACAAGATCCAATTAGTTAATTAGTTAATTGCTTAGTAACTTAATTACTTAATTAAAAACATGAAAGCAAAAACCTGCTTCCGCGGTGCTGTTTTCTGCGTGCATTTCAGATATGAGGCCTTGGGCAGATACCTGTGGGCAGAACAAACAGTGGGACACACGAGGAAGCTGCCCAGGTTCTTTTGCGCTGGTTGTGCACACGTCCATTCACCCAGCCATGCTAGTGGTGAACTCTATGTAAGCCAGAGGTAGCCCAGAGTCATCAGCCGCTCCCAACAGATTTATATGTGTGATTTGCTTTACTGATAAAAGTAACTGTAAAGAAAAAGTCCACCTATAAACCCATAATAAAATAAAAATTGCATTTAACTGCATATAGTTTATTGAAGCCCAACTTTGTGAGAAAGGATTCCATAACACTGTAGGGTAAAGAATACCATGTTTGTATTCATTTCAAAGGAGCTGTCAATCCCGGCATAAGCAATTAGTTATTTAGCCTCTCAGGCCTCAGTTTTCTCATCTGAACATTGTAAAATGCAAACAAGTTAACTACGTAGAATTTTTAAGGGATGTAATGAGAAAATCCATGTTATGTACATACACAACATATGCAAATATTACCATTATTGTAAACATAATATATTTATATATTTTAAAATATATTTACTTTTGTTTTTCCAACTATCACAGAAATTTATCTTAGACAGAAAACTATCTCTGATTGGAAAAATAATTTAGTAAATGCCTGCTACAGAATATTGAACCCCAAAAATCTTTTTTGTTTTGGTTTTGCTTATTTTTCTATATCACAACCCCACCAGTAATTAGAGTCAGAGGACAGAGGTTTTTTGATATCTCTGGTGCCTGGCACCTAATAAAAGCAGAAGGCTTCTCTATCCACAGACTGGTGGCTATGCATCTACTTTTAGAGTTTCATTTCACGTGTCAGTTATTTACTGACATTTTTTCAGCCTGGAGAAATTTTAGATTTATGTCCCTGATAATAGGTGCTTTATACAGAAGACACGGAAGCATAGTGGGGAGAAGCCTCACCAGGGAGGAAAATGGGCACAGAAGAGAGAATGTGCCAAAACAAATTTCTCCCACTTCACCACTTCCGAAGAAGAGAGTAAATATTTATTGGGTGTCTAATTCACAACATGTACTTTGCTGAGTACTTTATATGATAATAACAACAGCATTTGCTATTATTTATTAACTAATAACCATTTGCCAGGCATTGCACTAATTGTTGTATGAATATTTTCAGTTCATTCTTGCCACAACGTTATAAGCATTTGGTAGATACCTTCTTTTTATGAAGGAGAAAAGCGGGGCTTAGAGAAGCTGAATCATGCGTCAAGGTCGTGCAGCTAGTTCTAATTCCAGCTGGAGCTAGACACTGGAGCTACCTGACTCTGGTTTGTCTGCCTACTGTTTTCCATGTACCATGACCTCTCCACTGGAAAGCACCTCCATGGGAAACACTGCCATTTTCTAGTAATCTTCCTGGGCCCAGCTCCAGTAGATCCCTCACTCATAGTAGGCACCCAGTAAATGTTTATAGAATGTATAAAAGTAGAGAAAAGGGCTGGGCTCAGTGGCTCACACCTGTAATCCCAGCACTTTGGGAGGCCGAGGTGGGTGGATCACTTGAGGTCAGGAGTTTGAGACCCACCTGGCCAACACGGTGAAACCCCATCTCTACTAAAAATACAAAAATTAGCCAGGTGTGATGGCACAAACCTGTAATCCCAGCTACTTGGGGGGCTGAGGCAGGATAATCACTTGAAGCCAGGAGGTGGAGGTTGCAGTAAGCCGAGATCACGCCATTGCACTCCAGCCTGGGGGACAGAGCAAGACTCTATCTCAAAAAAACAAAACAAAAGTAGAGAAAAGACAAGAGGAAGGTAGGTAGGAGTGTTAATACATTGCAAACTGAGCAAGAGAGGGAAACAAGACAAGGGACAAGTGGGTGTCCTTCAGAGTGACATCATGCAACATATAACTCTATTCTTGGTCGGCTACATTTAACAACGCCCCTACCTGATTTACATGGTCAGAAATAAACTCATCTGCAGCGACCATCATTTTGTGAGCCAGGTTGGGTTCTTTATACCTGCTGATTTCCATTAAATGCTGTTTAGAAAAATAATTTTGTAACCCTGCCCTGCTGGTGTTAAATATAAATCATTGGTTTGGCTGCTAAAATATAACATTCAAGGTGAACAGAGAGACAAGCAATCTTGTTTTCTTCCCCAACGATGCTTTAACTCAAGACAGGAGCTCCCGGGTGGCTTCGCATCGCAATTTGCCACACGTGCACTGATGGCTCTGCTGGGCTCTGCTGGCGGTGCTGGGCTGCCGGCGTCACGGAGCCATCAGTCACGGATTATGGCTGCAAGGGGTGCCTGGGTTTAATCTCATTTTTGAATGAATTAATATTATTAGTTTTGAAGAATTAATGGTATTAAATGTGCAAGGTTCATATAAATTATGTCCACATCCACCTATTACTAAATGTGTCTCATTCTTGTGCAAGAAAGCTTCAAGAAGCAATTCAGTGGAATCCTCTCTTTTCTGTTTTTCTAAAGTGCCCTCCTAAAAGAGTTAGATAGACTAATATATACCTAGGACAAGTGCTTTATGATATAAATCTGTCCTTTGGTCCATGCTCAAGGGGATGACATAATTGAGTCAGTTACCAGAGGAAGACATAACTTTGTGGTAGTTTATTACAGGCCTTTACAAATGTAGACAGAAGTATACACCATCCAAGAAAATCCTATATTTTAGAAGAGGCTTGAGCTTCCTTACTCTCTTATTTCCCCCTTGCAGTAAAAAAATAAGTGCTAAGGTATACCCATGTTGTAGCATTGAGAGAGAGAGAAAGAGAGAGAGAGAGAGAGAGAGAGAGAGAGACAGAGAGAGGATCATGTTTATGTGTATCTTTTTCAATCTGAAACCAATTTTTGTCCTTACCTAAGTCTAAATGAAATGCATATTGGGCTGGGAGCAGTGGCTCACGCCTGTAATCCCAGCACTTTGGGAGGCCAAGGAGGTGAATCACTTGAGTCCAGGTGTTTGAGACCAGCCTGGGCAACATAGCAAAACCCCATCTCTACAAACAATAAATTATCTGGACATGGTGGCGCATGCCTGTAGTCCCAGCTCCTCAGGGGGACTGAAGTGGAAGATTGCATGAACCTGGGAGGTTGAGGCTACAGTAAGTTGTGATCGTGTCACTGCACTCCAGGCTGGGTGACAGAGTGAGACCCTGTCTCAAAAAAAAAAAAATCATTTAAAATAAAAGCAAGAAATGCCTATTGTTGGAATCCTATGCTAGCAAGACTAAAATTCATGTCTGTGTTTGAAGCTTTTGGGAAGATGATGATCAAATGTGAATGAGCCCATTGCCTCTTCTTTCTGAATGATATTTCTGTTAAGGGATCTATCAGGTTGAATCCTGTGAAGTATACTTATCTTTTAACCCGGACACCGTGACACGCACTGATTGTTACATACAGCAATTGTCGCCTTTATTGCCTGCTTAAAAACTCAAATTGCATTCAGGTATATGGGTGAGATGACTTGATTTCAAGAAAGGTGAACTCTTTACCCTGGGTCCTTGGGATAATCCTATTATCCTTTGCTGTGTTTAATGACCTAATTCCAGCCAACGAGATGTAAAGAGATGGATAAAGTTTTTGAACCTCAGTGTGCCAAGCACAATGCCTCATAGTCCATTAATAAGATATATTCATTCTATATGTTCTTCATAGGCTCTTTTTTGGCATCCTTGAGTGGACATGAGCTCTTAATGAGTATTTAACAGAAAGACATTCCGCACACCTGTACTTTTAGTAACTCTTAAAAACTTTTTCCTAAAATGTATATATGTGTACTCAAGTAACCACATCATTCCCTTTCAGGATTTCCATATCTTCTCATTAACAATTTTTACCATCTTCTACTTCATTAGAGACTTTTGTCAAAGTTCTATGATAGCACTTTTCAATAGAAATCCAATTTGAACCACATATATAGTTTTAAATTTACTAGTAACCACATTGAAAAAGTAAGAAGAAACAGATAAAATTAATTTTAAGGTGATACTTAACCCAGTATGTCCAATATAATTTTGTTTTGACTCATAATCAGTATTTTTAAATTATTGAGGTATTTTACATTCTTTTTAAATATTAAGTCTCTGTTCCAGTGTGTATTTTATACTTACAGAATACAGGCATATTGCATTTCATTGTGCTTTGCTTTACTGCACTTCACAGATACTAGATTTTTTTTTTTTTTTACAAATGGAAGGTTTGTGGCAATCCTGTGTCAAGCAAATCTATTAGCACCATTTTTCCAACAGCATGTGCTCACTTCATGTCTGTGTCACATTTTGGTAATTCTTGTAATACTTTAAACTTTTTCCTTGTTATTAAATCTGTTAAAATGATCTGTGATCAGTGATCTTTGATGTTACTATTGTAATTGTCTGGGGGCATCAGGAACTGTGGCCATGTAAGATGGAAACTTAACCAATACATGTTGTGTGTGTTCTGACTCCTCCACTCATGGCCATTCCCCTGTCTCTCTCCCTCTCCTCAGGACTCCCTATCCTGGGGACACAGCAATATTGAAATTAGGCCAATTAATAATCCTATAAAGGCTTCTAAGTGTTTAAGTGAAAGAAAGAGTTACACATCTCTTAAATGAAAAGTTAGAAATGATTAAGCTTAGTGAG
This sequence comes from Homo sapiens, assembly GCF_000001405.40. NCBI lineage: Eukaryota > Metazoa > Chordata > Mammalia > Primates > Hominidae > Homo > Homo sapiens. The sequence continues at coordinate 56,537,254 of NC_000014.9, forward strand.
GAAGGCATGTTAAAAGCCAAGATAAGCTGAAAGCTAGGCTTCTTGCACCAAATAGTTAGCCAAGTTGTAAATGCAAAGGAAAATTTCTTGAAGGAAATTAGAAGTGCTACTCCAGTCTAGGCACAGTGGCTCACGCCTGTAATCCCAGAACTTTGGGAGGCTGAGGTGGGCAGATCACCTGAGATCAGGAGTTCAAGACAAGCCTGGCCAACATGGTGAGCCCCTGTCTTTACTAAAAATACAAAAAATTAGCTGGGCATGGTGGCACGTGCCTGTAATCCCAGCTACTAGGGGGGCTGAGGCAGGAGAATAGCTCGAACTTCAGAGGTGGAGGTTGCAGTGAGCCGAGATGATGCCATGGCACTCCAGCCTGGGCAACAGAGCGAGACTACGTCTCAAAAAAAAAAAATAAATAAAAAATAAAGAAGTGAGGAAGCTGCAGAACAAAAGTTGGAAGCTAGCAGAGGTTGGTTTATGAGGTTTAAAGAAACATGATATTAAAGTGTAAGGTGAAGAAAGTGCTGACATAGAAGCTGCAGCGTTATCCAGGAAGATCTAGCTAAGATCATCAATGAAAGTGGATACACTAAAGAACAGATTTTTAATGTAAATGAAACATCCTTCTATTGGAGGAATACACCTTTGAGAACTTTCCTAGCTAGAGAGAAGTCAATGCCTGGCTTCACAGTTAACTCTCTTGTTAGGGGCTAATGTACCTGGTGACTTTAAGCAGAAACCAATGCTTATTTACCATTCTGAAAATCCTAGGGTCCTTAAGAATTATGCTAACTCTATTCTTTTTGTACTCTATAAATGGGGCAACAGCCTGGATGGCAGCACATCTGTTTACAGCATGGTTTATTGAATATTTTAGGCCCATTGTTAAGAATTGCTGCAAAGAAAAAAAAATCCTTTCAGAATATTACTGCTTATTGATGACATTGCACTTGGTCACCCCAGAGCTCTAATGGAGATGTACAAGGAGATGAATATGGTTTTCATGCCCGCTAACACAACATCCATTCTGTGGCCCATAAATCAAGGACTAATTTTAACTTGCAGGTCTTATTACTTAAGAAATACATTTTTATAAGGCTATAGTTGCCCTTATAGTGATTCCACTGATGGATCTGGGCAAAGTAAATTGAAAGTCTTCTGGGAAGGATTCACCGTTCTAGATGCCATTAAGAACATTCATGATACATGGCAGAAGGTCAAAATATCAACATTAACAGACATTTGGAAGAATTTTATTCCAACCCTCCTGGAGACTTTGAGGGATTCCAGACTTCAGTGAGGGAAGTAACTGCAGATGTGGTAGAAATAGCAAGAGAATTAGAAGTAGAGCCTGAAGATGTGGCTGAATTGCTGCAATCTCATAATCAAACTTGAATGAATGAGAAGTTGCTTGTTATGGATGAGCAAAGAAAGTGGTTTCTTTACATGAAATCTACTCCTGGTGAAGGTGCTGTGAGCATTGTTGAAATGACAACAAAGGATTTAGAGTATTACATCAACTTAATTGCATCAACATAAAGCAGCAGCAGGGTTTGAGAGGATTGACTCCAATTTTGAAAGAAGTTCTACTGTGGGTAAAATGCTATCAAACACTATTACATGCCACAGAGAAATTTTTCATGAAAGGAAGCGTCAATCGATGTAGCTAACTTCATTCTTGTCTTATTTTGAGAAATTGCCATAGCCACCCTACCTTTAGCAACCACCACCCTGATCAGTCATCAGCCATCAACATCAAGGCAAGACCCTCCAATGGAAAAGACTATGACTTGCTGAAGGTTTAGATGATTGTTAGTTTCTTGTATCAATATTTTAAAATTATGTACATTTTTAGACATAATGCTATTGCATACTTAATATACTGCAGTATAGTATAAAAATAACTTTTATATGCATTAGGAAATGAAAAATTTGTGCAACTTCCTTTATTGCAATATTTGCTTTACTGTGGTAGTTTGGATCCAAACTCACAGTTATTTCTGAGGTGTGCCTGTATCTCAATTTGGACTGGTCATTACTCGCCAGACTTTCTAACTTTTTCCCCTATATAACTTCTCATCCTGCTGACCTGATTAATTTCATATTATGCTCAATATTTTGAAATGTTTGTTTTCCCCAGCCTATCCAATTATCACTCTTTTTATATCTTTCAGTTTAATAAGCAGTTATTATTTAGTGGCTACTATAAGACAAAGAGAATATTTCCTGCCGCTAAGCTGTGTACACATTTGGTGAAGAGAGCCGCAGTCCGAACAATGGGCTTCTTCTTTTCTGTTCTACTACAGTTTACATGCACCTCTCTTACAGCAGTTGTTAGGCTTCCTGCACTTAGGGAATAGCCATGGAGACAGCACTGCTTCCACTTACAGAAGAGACTTTTGTCTGTACACTAGTGTTAAGTAGGATTTTATATAATAAGGGTTTAAATTGGAAGGGATCCCAGAAGGTGTGATGGTTAATTTTATGTACCAACTTGACTAGACCACAGGATCACAGGATGCCCAGATATTTGGTCAGATATTATTCTGGGTGTTTCTATGAGGGTGTTTTTGGATGAGATTAACATTTAAATCAGTAGACTGAGTAAAGCAGGTTGCCTTCTCCAATGTGGGTGGACCTCATCCAAACAGCTGAAGGCCAGAATAGACAAAAAGGCTGACCCTCCCCTGAGTAAGAGATAACTTTTCCTTCCTGAATGCCTTTGAACTGAGAAATTGGCTTTTTTTCTGCCTTTGGACTAAAAATATTGGCTCTTCCTGAGTTTTGAGCCTCCTGGCCTTTGAACCGGAACTACAATGTCAGCTCTCCTGGGTCTCCAACCTGCTGACTCACCCTGCCTCCATAATGGCATGAACTAATTCCATATATAAGCTATGTATGCACACACATTCACACACACAGGGTTTGAATAGGCTGTGAATAAGGTTTGGAATACGGTCTGAATATAGAACAAGGTTCTGTTTCTCTGGAGAACCCTAATATAGAAGGCTTTTCACCCAACCTCCTCGCTTTAGAATTGACTCAGCTAAGGACCAGAGAGGCCAGTAACTTGCTCGAGCTTACACAGCCACTTGGGAATAAATCAGGATCAGAAATAGTTTCTCAAATTCTTACTTCAGCGCTCTTGCACACTGTGCCACTTGTGCACTGTATCACATTGGTGTGCACACACACACACACTCACACAGACATGCATGTACTTTTAAAACATGAAAACAACTTATTTAAATGAGAATTTTGCCTTTGTACCCAACAGAAAATAATATTTGAAACTCAAGTAAATTGTGGTGGAAAGTCCACTAGGATTCCATGGAGAGAATTCATTAGCTAGAGGATGCAAATAAGATTGGTGGTGAGAAGTTTGGAGAGACAGCAACAATAGTTTTCCAGTAAGAATGGAAAAAACTGCCTGAGGTTTTGGCTATGTCTGCAGATCTGGGTTAATGATTTTATGAGTAAGCCAATTCAAGATGGCAGGATTCTGTTTGGCCCATTTTCCTACTACAGTGCATTCCAACCCGGAAGTATCAGACCCTTTAGAAGCTCAAGTGTCTGGGCTAGAAAACAGCCACATTGGATTGAGCTGGAGGTCCAACAACAGGCTGAACAGAACAGAGGATGGACACAACTGCTGAGACAGCCTCTCATGGCTAAGGTGTGGTAAGAATAGTAATAGCCATTGAGTTAGATGGACGAGATAGTCTTCTAAGTCCTCTCCTTGAATTGACTCATTTAAGCCAACAATAACTCTACAAGGAGGTACTGTCATTATCCCCTTTTTACATGTGGCAAAACTGAAGTACAGAGAGATCAGTAAGTGGTGGGCCTGGGATCTAGAGCAGGTGATCTGGCTCCAGAGCCTCTGCCCTTAACACCATAGCACCCCTTACCTGCAGAAGCCTGGGTGGATTTCCTTGGAAAGCTCAGAAAGTCTTATGTTCTATTGAAATATCTGTGCTAAGAAAGGTTGTGACCTTCTAAACTGCTTCCTGGATGAGAATGAGGAAATTTGGGTCTAGCTCTGCCATTCATTAGGCACCTGGCCTTTGGCAAATCACATAACCTCCCTAGGCATCTGTGTCCTTCCTTATATATGAATTTACATTGTTAGGCTGATTCCTACAATCACATCTAGCTATGAAATTCTATCATCCTGATCATTGTGACATTATACTATTTACAAATGTTTTTTTATCATTATATATATTATTATTACAATCTTTTTCATTATATTCGGGAAATACCTTTAATGACGTATAGATGACTTACTAATTTGTGAGTAAAAATCTTCTGAAGGAATATGTCTTATCCCTTGAACAATATGTTAAATCATGCCTCTTCTAATATTTTCAAATGAGATCTGGAGAGAAAAAAGAGTAAGGGCTGAGCAATGCATTGTTAATTTCTAAGTATACATGGAAATATCATGAATGGGGAAATACATAATGCTTTGATTAATGGAGAGCCATTCATGCCATAGTTTATATTAGTAATTGCCCGGTAAGAACTCTATGGTTTATCTAGGCTGACTTGAGATGGGAATTTCAGATCCAGCTCTGGCACAAGCTAGACCTGTGATCTTGGGCAAATCCCCACGGCCTCCTTGTTGTCAGTATTTGAAGGAAGATGTTTGGGCCATCTGGTTTTCTTATGAGTATAATGATGCAGATGTGGGCAGGGCTTCCCTGGAAGAGCTCTGTTCCCAAGGCAATTCTGCCAGTGTGGACCCAAGTCAATTGCACCTGAAAGGAGGCCTCAATCTTGGCATCTTTGACAGGCTTCATAAGATACATTGCTAAAGGTGGAAATTTCCAAGTTACATCTAAATAATGTTCAGAAAATGGCAGAGGATATGACACCTCTTACCATCTCCCCAACTCCATGCATAGGGTTCAGCAGGAGAAGCTGCCCCAGGTATCATGCATGCTCAGCAGGTTGATGCTAGAGGACCACCCTTCAAAAGCTATTGTTTTCCCCCGAGTGTAATGGAAGGTTGTTGCCTCTGTGAGTAGCTCCCTTAGAAGCAGGACTGTCAGGAACTATTCCCAAGTCCCAGCAGAGCTGCTATAAGCTGTGCTTGGCCCTTTAGTATGAAGGCCACTTTAGGTTCTATCTGGTCCTGTCCCCCAAAACCTCATTTAATTCAGTCTCTTCAGTTCAATACAATTTGCCTCTGAGTGCACCATGTGGGGAGATGAGAGTTTCAGCCTCGGCTCTCTCACTCTCTAGACCTGTGATCCTAGGCAAATCTACTCCACCCACTCCTATCCATAGCCTAGGATCTGCTCTAGTATTTGTCATTAGTGCTCTATCAGAATTCCAGAACTCTGCCAGGCACAGTGGCTCACTCCTATAATCCCAGCACTTTGGGAGGCAAGGGCAGGAGGATGGCTTGAACCCAGGAGTTCGAGACCAGCCTGGGCACAGTAAGGAGACCACATCTCTACAAAAAGACTTTTCAAAATTAGCCTGGTGTGGTGGTGTGGGATTACAGTTCCAGCCACTCTGGAGGTTGAGGTGGGAGGCTTGCTTGAGCGCAGGAGTTCGAGGCTGCAATGAACCATGATTGTGCCACTGCATTCCAACCTGGGTAACAGCCCCATCTCAAAAAAAAAAAAAAAAAGGAAAATTAAAAAAAAGAATTCCAGAATTCCTAAGCTAATCTTTCTGTATTTTGCTGGTTGGGGAACTAGTCAATTAACTACTGTACAGGTAAATTCTATAATTCTACAGGTAAACACAGGCAACTGCTCATTTCCATGGCTGTCATGAGTGTGGCCCATGTGTATGTGTGTGTTTGTGTGTGTGCGTACATGCAGTTTCCAAAAGCTTTTTCCAAACTTGGATTTTGCAATTCTTAAACACCTATTCAGTTCTTCTCTGAAGATTCTGAGTGTTCTTTTTGTACCAGTATATTTGTACCACACCTACCAACCCGCAAATAGGCGCTAATCCCCCACAGTAATTAGCCCTAACCAATATTTAAGTGCTTAATTTTTTTCAAGTTCTGTTTGTTTTGCCCATCACACTAATTTATGGTTAGGTTATAATGATGGCAACCACGACCATTTAAACTGCTAAGAAATTCATAAGCTTTTAGGGACCTTATTTTGGGGAGGCAAAACCCCCCCTAAATTGTTGTTTATTTTATGATTATTTTTGTTTTAAAATTCTCCCAGGATTTTCTCTCCACACTTTACCTCATTCTAGGTATTTTAGGAATAACTAACAGTGAACTTGTCTGGGTAAAACTGCCCTGAGCTATTCTTTAAGTTAATTATCACTTCTTTTGCTTCTGTGAATGGCTGTTCAATGACACTGTCAGCAAGTGGAATGAACCAAATTACTTTAATTATGGAGTAATTGCACAGAGTGATGGTAATTAAATCTTGATCAGTTTAAGTGAGTGAATTAATTGCTCTAACTTGGAATGCACACCACAGCAAGAGGAGTTGTTTTGTAGTTTAATTAACACCATCCACTAAAGTCACATCATATTCTAAAATGTAGACAATTAATGAGTTTGATATTATTCTCACCTTTGCAAGAACTAGGACAGAATACATGCTGAGAAAGGTAGTGTACTAAGGGAATGATAGAAAACTTAATATTCTTGTCATTTGTATAGATATATTGGTTGCAATCTCTACTTTGCCTTCTGGAGAAATGTGCAAATAGAAATATTTCCATATAATTAGCTTCTGGCCCCATTTCATTTCAATATTCCCTGATCTGTGCAACAGTATACATTTCCAAATTTGTTAATGTTTTAAATTTCTACAGCCTGAATTTCACAGTGAATCTAACCACCATTTACTTCCTTTTTGTTTGGGAGAGTCCAGCCCTTATGAAGTTGTGCTTAGGGTCTTCATAAAATTTGATTATTTGTCAATCATTGTTTATTGGAAACAGATTTCCTTGCTTCTTCTATTACCCATTCCCTAGCACTGAGAAATGCTTTATGTTTTTATAGTAACTTTTCTGCTTCTATCTAGATCAGCAGTGTTCACTCCTGATGTTGCTTTAGAATCATCCATGGAGTTTTAAAAAATTGCCAGTACCTAGGCCTCACTCCAGAATTTAGAGGGGTGAAACCCAGGCGTGAGTATGTTTTTAAAACTCTTCAGGTGATTCTAGTATACATCACCAGTTGATAACCACTGATTGAGAAATTCCATCTGTCTCATCCCATTGACCCTTAGAGGAAGGTGGTATTATCACAGATTTCCAGATGGAGAGCACTCTGTGGTCAGGACAGAGTCTGAGGCTTGAGACCTAGACCTAATCCTCAGACAATCCTCCACTCCCTCTCTCTCTTAAGAGCCAATTTATCTAAATATTTCACCCACCACGCTCCAGAATAAATCAAGTTGGTAAGTCCTAGTTTATAAACTAGAGAAGCAAAGAAGCAAAAGAAATAAACATGGTTTATTTAGCAGTCTTAGGCATTGCCCTATTAAACTTCCAATAAGAAAAAGATATGTTTCTCTCTGCCCCAGGATCGTGATATGTGTGCAGTTGCTTTATTGTCAATGGGTAGTAATGATTGAGTAGAATTGATGGAGGGAAATGGCATTTGCCAGTTCTGCCAGATGTGAGTAATAAGTGAGCTTCTTAAGGTTGTACATTGTCAAAGGCAGGAGGAATTAGGTCTTCTCTGATTTCCACGTTCATATGCATTAAGCCTCTACACTATAGGCTCCAGCTCAGAGTTAACACGAGACAGTGGAAACTTGACCCAATTCTATGAGTAGATTCTTGGATGTATTCACATGTGAGTTAAAATGTGAATTGGGTTTTGAAAAATAAAATTTTTCTATGTGGAAAAAGGAAGAAAATGTCCTACAAACCAAAGGTACTTCTGTAGGACCAAAACATGTATGTCTGGGAAACTTACATGGTCTTGGTATGACTGGAGCATGCACTGTGGGGGAAAGATATTTTATTAAAGGCAATAGACCAAAACTGCCAATAATCCACTTCTAGGCTGAAAAGGTAAAAGTATTTAGCTTGTTGTATCAAGAGAGAATAAATGGCAGAAAGTTTGTGGAGCAGCTCAGTAAGATGGAGTTGGGAAGGCCTTATTATGGGACTTGTGCTTTTGCTGAGTGGTTCTAAGGTTTAAAAAAGTGCAGGCCCATTCTGGATTGAGCGCCATCAAGAACAGAGACAATTCAGTAATTGGGTATTTAATAATTTGATTTAGGAGATAGAATAATTAAAGTGGGGCTAGTGTCATCAATAGCAAAGTCTTTTGTGTTAGCTGGGAGAGGGGGAGGGTTGTAGTCACTTTTGTGGTTGCAGGGTATCCTTGTCTCTGCTGCTTCAGACAGGGTCATGGAGGGAACTTGTCTGATCCTTGTGCTGTGAGCGTAGTTTATGTTCAGCTGGGGCATCAATGCAGTTGCTTTTCACTTTCTCAAGGGATCAGGCCCTTGATTGCCATTTTGAGGAGCTAGGACTTAAACGTTGAAAAGTTTTGAGGAGTGAAAAAACAAAATTTCTGTTTTGGAAAGACCCCTCAGGTGGTATATGGAGGGTGGCTTTTAATATAAGATGAGATACAGATGGCCCCATAGGAACAGAAGAAAGAAAATGCTCTGGGCAGTGAGACTAGAGAGCAAAGGACTGAGAAGAGATGCTTTCAGGGAAGAAAAGAGAAAACTTGTGCTGCTTAACAATTCAAAGAGAAACAACAATACCAAGTTCCTTGAACAAATCATAGGAAGCCTCTTTATCTTCATGATTTAATTGCGGAAAATAGCATTTTAAAAAGTTTCCTTTTTCGCTGGGCGTGGTGGCTCACGCCTGTAATCCCAGCACTTTGGGAGGCCGAGGCGGGTGGATCACGAGGTCAGCAGATCAAGACCATCCTGGCTAACAGGGTGAAACCCCATCTCTACTAAAAATACAAAAAATTAGCCAGTCGTGGTGGTGGGCGCCTATAGTCCCAGCTACTCCAGAGGTTGAGGCAGGAGAATCACTTGAACCCTAGAGGAGGAGCTTGCAGTGAGCCAAGATCGTGCCACTGCACTCTTGCCTGGGCGACAGAGCGAGACTCAGTCTCAAAAAAGAAAAAAAGTTTCCTTTTTCTTGAAAAGTAAAACCCAGTGTTTACTAAGTTCCTGCATGGACAAATAGATTCTGGGGTCACCTAAAACTTGTAGCCTTGTGGCTTCAGCTCTGGTAATGCCCCTACAGTAGCCTTTTCCCACTTAGGTTGGAAAGAGTTTGCAATATGTTCATCCTGGCACAATTCAAAGGAAATACACCAAAGCAAAGAGACAGCTGGTTCAGGATTTTCTTTGGGAGATAAACTCTGTTTGTCCGGGACTGTGAGTCCTAAATCACCTGCCAGGAGCCTGAACAGCAGAGAGAGGGACAGGTGAGGAAATGGGTGAGGTCACTCTGCTTAGGCCTGATTCTCCAGCTCTCACTTCATCTGATTTTGCCCCGAAGGAAGACTAAATGGGCCATTCTGGAGAAACAAGAAATTAGTAGAATACAATAAAATACTGGAAATGAGGAGAAAAAAAAGGAGAAAACTTTGGTGTCAGGCAGGAAGTTTGCAGGATCTGGGCAGAGAGGAGAGGGAATGGTCCTACTTTTAAAAACAGGGTCCTAATTATATTATTTTCCTGATTTTTTTTTTTTAAATCCACAAGACTGTCATTTACTGATGTAAAAACGATGGATAGAGAAGACTCACATGATAGAAGGAAAAATGAACTGAACGGTGAAATCAGTAACAGCAAATCACATAGTATTATAACTACTAATGACCATAAGGAATTTTAGTTATCTGGGGGGGGAAAAGGATATGAAGAGAACCAAAAGTCTTTTCTTTTAGCCTTTTTTTGGGGGTGGGGGGAAGAATTGCCTCAAGTCGCTTAACTATAATCTGTGACAGCACATTTATGTAAATAGCTTTGAGCAGAGTGCTTCTCGACATTTACTTCTATCCCATTTAACATAAATGTTTTGAGGAACAGATATTGGTTTGAGAGCAACATTTTATAAAATTCAGATGACTTATTTACTTTTACAAGCCTATTCTGCAGATTAATTTTTCTAAAACTGTTTTTTTTTTAAGCCAAATGAAACCCTCAGAAAGTGAGGATTCTATTAGTTCATGACCTTATGTTTTAGTGGCAAAAAAGTGGCTTTGCAACCCATAAAATGTGTTAATGTAGGGATAGAAATCTTTATCCTTCCACTTATACTAGGTCCAATCAACAGAATGGATTGGGCCTAAATAATCTGACATTAGTATTAAAACAAATATTTAAAAACACATGTATCCATTACTGGTACATTATGTGTGGAGTTTAGTTCTTGGTATTAAGATACATCTTGACCCCAAAAATGTTCAGTAGAAACCATCACTATATGTGAAGTTAGGCAGGGAATATAGATTATGATTTATATCCGTTTTTCAATTAGTAGCAGAGAAAAGATTTGATGGCCATTTACAAATTGATTAGCAAGACAGCAGATTAAAAAGACGGTACCTTGTGGCATTCTTTGCCTTATTGTCTTTGCCTGTGACTGGCTGCAGTGTTGAAGGACATGTGCCATAAGCAAACCGCGCATCAATTTTCAGATTTCACAAGTAAGCAAAGCTGGCACTAGCACAAAAGGCATGCCAAAGCCTCCAAAAACCATAAGCCAGTTCAGTGATCAACAAGGTGGAAGTGGCATTACCTATGGCTATATGGTTAATTTTAATTGTTTTCCAAAAATACAGTTTTACTTATTTCAAAATATATTTCACGTTCCATTCAAATGCCCAGGTTTTCCAGCACCTAATATATTAATTACCCAATAACTCAGCGGTCTCCAGCCTTTTCGGCACCAGGGACCAGTTTAGTGGAAGACAATATTTTCATAGGCTGAGGGGTCGGGGGGATGGTTTTGGGATGAAACTGTTTGGCATCAGATCATAGGCATCAGTTAGATTCTCATAAGGAGCACATAGCCTAGATCCCTCGCATGTGCAGTTCACAACAGGATTCATGCTCTTAAGAGAATCTAATGCCACTGTTGAAATGACCCCGAGGTGGAGCTCAGGTGGTAATGCTCCCTCACGTGCTGCTCATGTCCCTCTGTGCGGCCCAGTTCCTAACAGGCCAAGGACCAGTACAGGTCCATGGCCAGGGAATTGAGGACCCCTGCGATAACTCATTTCTTTAGCACATATCAGTTTGAGCACCTGCCATTTGTTTTCATTCTGTCAAACCCCATGGGAGTCTATACATAGATGCATAATACATGGCCCCTGCCCTCATGGAGCTTACACTTTACATGAAGAATCATTAAACATTAAATGGTGGTCTGTTAAGAAGATAACACTAAGTCAATAACCAAAGGCACAGTAAATTGCTTAAGTGTCAAATAAGTGGAATAGCTGGTATAAGTGCTCTCAGCTCATGTCAAGCAGGAAATCACTGTTGGGTTGGAGTTGTCAGTTGAAGCTTTATGAGAAAATAGGTAGCAAGCTGGTTCATGAAAGATGAATTGGGGCAGAGGTATGCTGGTAAAAACCAGCTCCTGGGATGGGGAGCCTGATTTGTAGCATTTGTCAATGTCCACAAATACTCCCACCATGGCTGACTTAAAACTACCAATCAAACATTAATGAATGTGAAGTGGGATGCCCACACTTGGCACACATGAGCCAGTGCAAGCCAACTTCCACACCACTAAATGGAAGATTGACAAGCGATCAAGATTCATTCAGCTCAACAAGTATTTTGAAAAAGGAAAGAACTGTATGGTTTAAAGTTCTCTCAATAAGTAAAATAGCATTTTGCCTTACTTCCTTCTCCTCCCCAATTCCCTCAGCACAGTCCTAATTATAAACTGAATACCTTTGAAACCTACGTGAAGCACCTTTCCTATTAAAGGTGACAATGCTGACATAGCACCAGCACTGCCTTTAAGGTGCTTTTCTCTGGAGTACTGGCCTCGCCCTAATCTATTTACTTCATCTTTCTCAGCATCTCTTATGAACAGGACATACATTTCCAAGACAATGGGTCCAGACCAGAAGTGCAGGCTGTGCCCCCAGAACACATGGAAGTTGCATACAAACGCAGAATTAGACCACATTTAAAACGCGGTGGAACTTGGCTGATTTGCTCCCTCTTGGCCGTCCATTTGAAGTGTGCAGTGAGGACCCCAAGTCCTGATCTCATCATTCAAGAGATGTTAAAATGCCTGCGGTGAATCTGACTTTAATTTACCACGACTGCTAAAACAGAGGCTTTGGAAACGAAAGCAGTAGCAAGTCTCCCATGTGAGGCCAGAGCTCTCGAGGGGCATTTAGCAGCAGCAGATTTTACGTGTATGAATCCAAAAAAATTAATGTGTCTTAAATATTTCTAGCAACCTTCCAGGTTCCCAGTTCATGGCTCAGCAGGAGAAAGGCAAGGGGCTCGTTCATTCATTCATTCACTATAAAAGGATTAAAATAGACCTCGGTTTTTCTGGCTTCAACCCTTGCCTCCTTTTTCCTTTTTCTTTTTTCACCCCTGCCCCACCCCCTACTTTTTTTTGTTACCTCCCCTTCCGTGAACCCTGACTAACAGACAACCCACATGCTTATAAAAACAGCTCTTGAAAGAACAGTTCTGACAGTTACTGGAATGAGATTGCTCCAGTGCTCCCAAGCAGGAGGCATAAAAAACCCAGAGCAATCTCCAGCTGTTCCAAAGGCAGATTGTACAGCAGTTAGAGATACAGAAAATTGCAACCTCCACCAGACCACAAGGACAGGCCCCCACTCTTCTCAATCTTTGAGACCCCCAATACTGCTTCATCTTGGGGAGTTTCTAGGTCTTCAGATCTAGATTCCCATCAGTTGAATGAAGCCTTTAACCTGAGTTTGGATCACTTGAACTATTGATTTTTCCCTGACACAACGAATGTGTATTGACCATCTCCTCTTGCCAACTACTTATCCAGGTGCTTCGGGTATGTTGGGGCTCAGATAACAATATGCCAAAGTGAAAAACTCAGAAGCAGCCTCAGAAGCAAACATTTATCTCTGACCTTCTCCTGCTCTCTTATCCCTCAGTTCCTTTCTCCCGCAAGGCAGGTCATAGAAACCAGAACCCCCTTTCCCCAAAGCCAGCCATAAAACCTAAAAAAGCCTTACTCTAACTTTCCCTCTGCCTTTCTATGTAAAAACTGGCCATAAAGAAATTATCTGACTTACCTTGTTTAGGTCATTAGGCTGCCATTCCAGAGAAGGAGGAAATGCATTCTCAGAGAAGCCAAGAAGAATCTAAACAGGCCTTGCTGGGCTTCCCAGCTCAGTCTATAGCTAGCATTAGATGTTACCCTTTCTGCCCAATCATATTTCGACACAATTGTCCAGACTTTGTTGAACCTAAGCATAAAAATGGACAGTTCCTCTGTTATCCTTGAGTCTTCATTCTGAAGGCTCCTGTGTATACACATTAAAGAAATTTGCATGCCTTTTCTCTAGTCTGCCTTTTGTGAGTTGATTTTTCCACAAACTTTCAGAGGGCCAAAGGGAAAGCTCTCTCTTGGCCCCCACAGCTCTATCAGTGAGCAGAGTAAAGAAAAGACTTCCTGCTCTCATGCAGTCTACAACCTGGCCATCCACAAAACCACGGGCTGCCTGCTTTTGGTTGGGACAGTGGTTTTATGTAGGGGAGCCATAAACGTAATGATTGAAGTAGAATTCTAAGTTTCTAGACCCACTGCCCATTCCCCAAATATTGTTTATGACCATAATCCTCTCTCTGACTTCCTATTTTCATTCTAAATTGGAATAAATGACTTGGTCTTTGCCAAACACTGCGTGTTTCAGAAAGGACTTCCAAAAGGACTTTCCAGAAAGTACCAGACTCTTAGGAATCGCATGAGGTGGGAGATTAAAAATACATTCTTAATTTATTTGATAGGAGCAATGGGAGGTCAAATAGCTTACTGATTTCTCTATGTCTAAGTCACCAACTCATTGTGTTTGCTGAGAATTACTAAACCAATAAATGAAGTACTACCGGAATGGTCTTTTATTGTCTAGAATTTCTGGTGTATGGTGATAATAAAAAGCGAACTGACTTTTAGTTAGTTTTGTTTTTAAATTCTCTCCAGACAATGTACCTCTATTTTGCCTGCACCCTGATCTGACATTCCCAACCTTTCCCCTCCCTTGGGACACCACAGCTCTTATTTCAAATATTTTCTTAGATCTATCTCATCTAGAAAGTCTCTTCTGACAAATCCATGCCAAGCTGACTCCCAATATCTGTTTCTTCTGCGTTTTTCTGTAGCTGTTATACTCTATATCTTTATAGCCCTTATTTAAATGCAGTGCTAAATGTGTTTAACTATTCCTTCCTATAAATCATGTTTCTCCTCAAACAGAATTTAATGAGGGCATAACTGGGTCTGGCATCCATCACCTACCAAATGACAGAAATTGTTCATCAATTGGTAGTGGATGAAGGTGTGGGTGGTAAGTGCAAACCAGTACCTCGCAAAGGCCCTGCTCCCCTCACTGTAGGAAAGCGTATCAATGCCCCAGCCTGGGCCCAGGTTGTGCTCCTTGCAGAGACTCAGCTACATCTAGCAATGTCTAATGACCTAGTGCAGCAGCCCACCAAGTGTCTCCTAAGAGGAAGTGGGGAGTCAGGCCAGTGAGCGTAATCTGGCAGCAACATTTCAGGAATAATGGGCAGAATGATTCTGAGTACGGGGTGGGCACTTAGGCTTGGGTTAGAGGGAAAAAAAGGAAGGATGTAAAAGCTCAGCGAAACTTCAGGGCCCCAGTTGTACTGCTGGGGACCTCTGTAACGAGTCTCACAAAAGGTTGGGACTCTGCCCCCCTTTGCCACAAATTCTTATGCAGCTTCCACAGCATGGTCTCCAGACAATGACAGGAGCCCTGTGCAGAAGCAATATGATGAGAAAAAATAGCATCAGGAAGGGATTGTAGTGTCTGACAAAGGCAGTGCCTGTCAGGGATGGTCAAGCCCAGCAGGTGCCACCTGTTAATTGTAAAACCATAATATTTATTAAAAACATAACTTTGCTCCCCGCACTAAGCTAGTGTACTTTACGCATGTTATTTTAATTGTTCACCATCCTATGAGATAGTTTCATCTCATGGATACGGTGTTATAGAATCAGCATGGTAACTGACTGGATTTGTTCAAGAACACACAAGGCACACCCCAGGAAACAGACACACTTGTGGGGTGAGCTGGCCAGGAACTGAATATCAGATGAGTGTTTCCGGTGGCTGTTTTATTCATGTGACCCCATTCAATTTCACAGATTGGTGAACCCCTGGAAAATGTGGGTGGTAATAATAAAGTAATCATACTGGGTTAAGGAGAAGGTAGATAAACACAAATCACAAATAACACAAAGTAATCTATGCTCAAATATCCGGAGGGATGGCACTGTCCTGACAACCCCAGGATAGCTCTGTAACTAGGAGGAAACTGATTAGCACTGATTGCTAGCAGATTGCTGTCCCCTGCAGGGCGAGAAGAGAGAAGACACGCCTTGGGGATGTGCATGAGGGTGGGAAGCTTCTCACCATCCTCCCTCTCTCCCTGCCATCCTTAGGGGAGGCTAATTAGCTGGTGCCTATTCCTAAGCCCCAAAGAAGTGACTGCTCCTTCACTACACTTAGGTCAGTGGTCTCAACTTCAGCTACTGGGTGTTAGAACCACCTGGGGGTTTTAAGAGCGTCCCCATTCACCCTTTCAGAGATATATAATGTACTCGGTCTGAGGTATGGCCTGGGGGCATCAGGAATTTTTAAAGGTCCCCCAGCTGTTTCTGATGTGCAGTTGCTAAGGTTGAAAACACCTGGGTTACAGCAAGCCCTGATACAGGAGAATTGATTGCACTTACATTTATTGAGCAACTATTATCCCCAGCCATTGTGTTGGGTGCTTTATACAGATCCTTTATAACCCTTAAAATCAACTTGCAAGTGGCTATGATCATCTTAAGGTTGAGTCAAGGTCACAGACAGTGCATTCCATTTGCCAGTCCCTAAACCCAATCTTTTTCTGCTAAATCTGTTTCCTCTTCTGGAAGGACAATACCGTCATTCCAAACACCGAAAGAGAGATAAAAAGAGATCACAGACTGTCTTCTCAGACACTCTTTGTTAAAGATATCTGTGAAGAATTGTGAAGAGAGGCTCTATGACACCTTTTCCACAAAGATTGCATAATTGCCATTGAACCTGCCTCCTTCCTCGCAGTTTTGCTGCCCATACCTCCAGAAAGGGTCTGTCTCTGTTACCTGCTACTTCCTTTTTCTCATCCTTATAATAGCACTCATTCCTAGTGCTATGCTAGGTGCTAAAGGATATAGCAGAGATGGGGTACACAGTGCTTGTCTTCAGGAAAATCCTGACTTCGGTGATTGAGTGACAAGTATTAAATGAAACTACTTTGGAATAGTAATATAGAGAAGGAGGCTAATCACGTGAAAAGGCCGTGAATTGCTCTAACTCCTTATTTAAAATGTGGACCTTAGACCAGCTGCACCAACATCATGTTAGAACTTATTAGAAATGCAGACTCTCAGGCCCCGTCCAGACCTACTGATTCAGAATCTGCATCTTCAACGATCCCTGTGTGATGCATTTGTACATTAATGTTTGAGAAGTCATGGTCATGAGCTGTAGCAGCATTACTTTGGTCCCATTTATTTGCAGTAGGAACACCTGTTTTATCCTTTCTTTCTTTTTTTTTTTTTTTTGAGAACTAGAACCGCCCCCCCCTCCCCCACAACACACACACTTTTTTTAAGGGCATAGTTGCAATTCTCCCTGCCCTTCTTAAAGCACAGAAAACCAAGATGAGCAGAGAACTGGGATCTTGTTCATAACTAAGTCTTTTGTAAGGCTTCCTTATATGGCCCCAGGTGCCCTGGCACAGCTGCTGATATTTAGTTACATTCTGCACCAGCAATTCTAGCATTTGGGAATGAAATTCATTTTTCTCTCTCTGGATTATGAAGGCCCGGGGCAAAGGAGGTGAAGAAAGCGGCACTCGGAGGAAATCTGTATTGGAAGTATCAGGTGTGGCAGTGAAGTCAGAAGCATTTTCATTTTAGGTTCTGGCCTTTTATTTAGGCCTTGGCAATCTATCCCTTTAAATGGAGATGGGAGAATTTCTTTAATAAGGCCACAAAGAAAGATTTGTAGTTCTAAATGGCTCAACATTTGACTCACAAGCCCTCATATTGAGTTACACCCTAAATAGGGTTTGTGTTCTGTTTGCAATAATTACTCTTGGAAACGTTCAGTGAAGTCTTCTCGATCATGATCTTCAAACACTTGTAATATTAATTGTTCCATTTAATAAGGAAATCGCAGCCCCATTTAACCTTACGTCAGTGTATGATTTTCATTTAGTCAAGTAATGAAGTGAATAGGTTCTTCAGATCCTGGATCTCTTTAATGAAACTGTTCTGCAACTTGTTTTATCATTAAGAATAAAGACCCACCTTTGCTATTGAACATAGCCAGAAACAAAACCTACTCAAAGGGAGGAATGAATTTGCACAGACTGGGAAACTCTGGAGTTCAAAGAATGTGGGTGACTTTGAAACAAACTGTGTTGATTCTTGCAAAGTTGCAGAATTATGCAATATAATGTTTGCATTTGGAAGAATTAATTATGATCCCAAGTCATGGGTTAGAAATATAATTAAACTGATTAGTGTCATAGGATAAAAATAAAAAGCGAGGTTGTGACAGCTTCCCGTGTCCCCCTTTCCCCTCCCCCAGAAAGGCTCTTAAAGGAACTTTTAAAACATAAGCCTTTGTTCCCTCGATCTACGGTGCCCAGGTCAGGCGGACCCTGCGGCGTGGCTGAAATATTTCAAACAGTCACTCACAAATGTGTCATTTGACCTGCTGTTCTTCCAAAGAGGTATGAAAAATATGTTTCTTGCTGAGATAACTTGAAATCAAATAAACATAATCTCTTTAATTCTTTCTAAATAGTTCCATATTTTAAATCTAAACACAATAGAACACAAAGCTTCTGGTTTTAAAAAAAGTTTTTTTATTTTTTATGTGTGTGGTGATGTTGGATTTTTCTTCCTTTTAGTTCATGTTAGTTTGAATGTAAGAGTATAATTTACATTTAAAACCGTGGGAATATATTTCCCTCAGTTTGGAGACACACACAGCATATGGCAATGAGTTTACTTGGTTAAATGTATAAGTTTGCTTTTATGAGTGCTATCTTTAACAAGGACAGATGTTCTTACTTATATTAACCATCACTTGACAGACCAGAGGAGTCTTCACCATGGCTTGCAACAAATTGAACAATATTTTCTTATGTAAAATTGGTTCTGGTCCATTGTTTTGATTTATTCGAAATAATGGCACTCACTCAAGTTTGTAATAACACTGTCACGGCTGAAGGGAGTTTGCTTTAGGTATTATATCTATTATCTGCTCCCTCTCCTTTCTTTAAACAGAATCTCTAAGGGGAAAGTCTAAATGTGGCTCAGATTTAAGAAGAAGAAGAAGAAAAAAAAAAACCCAAAAGCTTCGCTAAAACCTCACGGTGTAGGATGTTATTTTAGATTGTTTTAAGATTTTTAATAATTCTTGTTTGTTTGCCTTTGGCTTTGAGCATTGGATAAAACAGAACTTGCCTTATTCTTAGGGGAGAATTACATGGCGTGGAGTTGTCACACAGTGCTCCATCCATTTTCTTTGCTGTTTTATGAGGCAATCCTACCTAACCTTTTGCCCAAACAAGAAGTATTTACCTAGTACTCCCCAGCAGTGGATACAGATAGCAGTTTGGAAGTGTTTGCTTTTCTTCACCACCACTAGAGTATGCTCTAGTGCCATAAGATCTGCATGTTTTTTTCTTTAGATTGTTGGCAAGGTGGATGATGAAATCCCTAGAAAAAACAAAACAAAAAAACACCTTTCCATCTAATTATAGAAGTGTCCCTTTAATTGTCTTAGTAAGACTGGATTATGTTCGCCAATTTGATTAAGGTAGAACTGAAGACAACTTCAACATTCACGCATGTCAATATTTTGGGTGAGTTTATATTTTGTATTTGAAGTTGTTCTACTCAGCTCCAGTGCGGTGGTGAGAAATACTATGTCCCTTCCATCCACAAGCTACATTTTCTGGCAATAACTCTTTCACTTATAAGCATCACTGTGGGCCCAGCACATGAATGTGTGGTGAGGTTACTTGGGCAGAATTAACACCTTCGAAGACAGAAAGGTGTCTGCAAGCCAGGATGGATGTGTCTCCCATTTTTGTTCATCTCCACCATCTTTAAAAAACCAAAACAAACAAACAAAAAAACCTAATCGCTATCTACGTGGCAGACCTTCATCAATAGCAATACATTCTCTAGAATTAGAAGGCTTAGCTTGAGGGTCTGCTGCCCTCGTCTCAAATCCCTGGCAGAAGCCCCTGCACTTGATCTTGGGTGCCCGGGGTAGTGGTAAGAGCACAGTGCAGGATCCCCGTGGTGGCTGGCTATGCTGGAGAACTGCTCTGTGTTCATCACTGTGATTCCAGCACATTTGAGCAGCGCCTCTTCCTTCATCCCTCTATTAGAACATCTTCATTCTTATCTTCCATCTTCCTTTCTCCCTAGGAGAGGGCAGGTCATTGAGATTCTCTCTTAGTACTGTGGCCCTTCAGTTCCTTTTATGCCTCTGGTGACCTAACGTCCTTTTGCTCCTGGACATTTAAACAGCTTCAAACCCCAGATAACTTCCTCCTCAGGTACATTAATCATAATTTCTCCAGCAAAGGCTAAATCAAGGTCCTTATAGCTGGGACTGTTTGTCTCCCTGGATGTCTAAGACTCCTGCTCAGGGTCCAGTGACTACCACCTCTGGGTCTTTCATTCTCCTTCTGACCAGAGAAGGTTGCCCAAGACTGCTTTCCCAAAACTATGTGACTGGGTCTGCCTGGACAGATGGAGGCCCAGCTAAGAGGGAAGCTTTGTGTGCCAACTTGAACAGGTTGGCTCCAGAGGGACCGCAGTCCAGAGAGCCATCTGAGATGGCCCAGACTGCCACACTTCCTTTGCCTCTAGATGGGTTAAAGGGACCCCTGTAGATGTCAAGTACCACCTGCGTGGTACTTGATGATCCTCTATTCCTGTGAACATCAAGTTAGATTCAGAGTCGATGGCGTTCCAGCTTCCTTTTCAGATGGTGGTGAATGCTCTTCAGTTGAAGCTGTCTCTTGCACAACGGGGACACAAAGAGGTATCTTGGGAGATTTAGAAACACCCCTTCCAGTAATCTCCACCCAGCCCCTTTCAAAGCCACCCCAAATAAAAGTAGAATCTAAACAAAAGCAGTGCACCTGCTATGCAGGTACAACTTGAAGCCAAGTCATGTAACGAGCGGCCCTTCCAAGTTCTAACAACAGCCCCATCCCTACGGACATCAAGTCATCATTCTTCTGGTGTGGAGACCCCACGCTGACTCCTGAACAAATCCTTAAGACTTCTGTTCCAGAGACTTAGGAGAGCTAGCCCCTACTGGGCTCTAAGCCTCTGGGGATAAATGAGCACAATCTGCCCTATTCCTTATCCTGGGGTTCTGTCAGGACCAGGAGCCCCCAGAGTGCCAGGTTCTATGGACCTCAGAAACCTCTGAGAATACCCATGAAGATGGCTTATGTGGTTAACAAAGCTCCCGCACTGACTCTCACTGGCCCTGAGTCTCCTCCTACTCTCTTGAAGTTTCTTCTGCCTCTGTGCTTGTGTGACTTGCAGACATCTTTGGGCAGCAAAAGCAAAAGCATACCCAGCAATCTTCTTCTTCTTACCTGGGCAGCAGCATAAAACTATGCATAGAAAAAGCACAGGCTCCAAATTCCTCCACTTGTTAGTGGTGTGATCTAGGAGGATTATGCAAACTTTCTGTGCCTCAGTTTTCTTTTTTGAAAAAGGAAGGTAACATGTGACACCAGGCTTAGTGTGGCATACTGCCATCCCCAAAGTGAAAATCAGTGCTATCAACTGAGGCAGAGAATTCGTCAAGCTAAGTGCATTAACTGATCCATTCATCTGAAGTTGGTTTACTCAATCATATTTGACAAAATCTCCTTTAAGTAGGAAGTATTATATTATTCCTTCATGGATTGATATCACTTATCAAACAAGCTGTAATTCAAATGGCAAATGTTTGACAGACTTGAAAAGAAAAAAAAATTCTGAGGTTTGCAAAAGCATAAATATGTTTTCATACCATGCTATTGAATTTTCCCCACCAAACATGTCATAATATATTGAGTTTTTTTGGTCATTACAATTATTTAACTGACATTTATTAAATGTACTGTGGGAAAAGTTGGAGGTATAAAAATGAAAAAAAAAAGTTCCAATATATAAGCTACTCATATCCCACCTGGGGATACAGCCACACACCTAGGAGCTGAAAAGACAGTTTGTCAAATAGAATTTGTGCATAATTATGGTTGCTCATAGTTTATGACGATGAATGCTATTTGATACTCCTATATCAAAATACAAATGCATTTATATTTGGGAGTATTTTCCCCCAAGCAACTTTACCCGTTGAATATAGTGACAGGAATGTGTATTATAGAAAGAACTTTGGACTAAAACCCAGTTTCAGTTCTGCCATCAACCAGCTGTGTGGCTCGGGTGAGATGCTTAACCTCCCTGGTGTCAGCTTCCTTACCTGTTAAATGAAGAGTTGTTGCATGTTCTCACAAGTGGGAGCTGAACATTGAACACACATAAATGTGGGAACAACAAACACTGTGGATTACTAGAGGGTGGAGGCTGGGGTGGGTTAAAAAACTATGTACTGGGTACTACGCTCACTCCCCGGGCGATAGAATCAGTACTCCAAACCTCAGCATCACGCAATATTCCCATGTAACAAATCTGCATATGTACCCCCGTATCTAAAATAAAAGTCGAAACTTTAAAAAGCCCGAAGGGCTGTACCTTTAGATCAGTGGGACCCAGACCAAGCTAATCAAGACCTGGGAAGCTCTAGAAATGTTCAGCTATTCAGGCTCTATCTGGAACTACTAATTAGCATTGACAAGGGTAAGCCCAGGAATGGGCAGTTTTGAAAAGCTCCACCAGATGTTTCTGATAATAAGCCATGTTTCAGAAATATTAATACTGCATTAGAAGGCTGGGCGTGGTGGCTCATGCATGTAATCCCAGCATTTTGGGAGGCTGAGGTGGGCAGATCACTTGAGGTCAGGAGTTCAAGACCAGTCTGGCCACATGGTGAAACCCCATCTCTACTAAAAATACAAAAATTAGCCAGGTCTGGTGGCGTACACCTGTAATCCAAACTACTCGGGAAGCTGAGGCAGGAGAATCACTTGAGCCCAGGAGGTGGAGGCTGCAGTGAGCTGAGATCACACCACTGCACTCCAGCCTGGAAGACAAAGCGAGACTCTATCTCAAAAAAAAAAAAAAAAAAAAAGAAAGAAAGAAAAGAAATACCACGTTAGAAAACTGGCTACAGTTGGTCTTTCATTGGCATGGCTCTCTTCGTACTCTATTTAAAGAAATACCTCAAGAAGAATCTCTCAAATTCAACTCATCTCCACCATCACCCTCCTTGCTCCTTGCTGACTGATTTTGGGACACGTTGCTTTGCACCTGCAGCGTTGGCCACACACCTCTGCTCCTCCTGTGTCCTTGGGGCCCTCGTCCACTGGGAGTCCCACACTGTTCTGACTGCTTGCGTTCTGCCCCTGTAGCTCACTAATTCCTATGTCTGAAGCCACTTACGGGGATAAATCCAGTTCCTCCCACCCCAACCCCACCCCCACCACCCCTCTTATGCACATACTCAGGCTCTGGAGCCAATCCTAGCCCGAGACAAGGACACTTAAAAAACTAACTCCAGGACTCATATCAAATCAAGTGATACAGATGAGATAGCATCCTATCATAATTGGTATGTGGGCCCTGAGATGAAATTCCTGGGTTTGGATTCCTGCTCTGCTGCTCGTTGGCTATGTGACTTGGCTATGTCAGCTAACCTGTCTGTGGTTCCCTTTTCCCATCTGTAAATGGGAATACAATATTTTTCTATCTTTTTTTTTTTTTTTGAGACAGAGTTTTACTCTTGTTGCCCATCCTGGAATACAGTGGCATGATCTCAGCTCACTGCAACCTCTGCCTCCCCGGTTCAAGCGATTCTCCTGCCTCAGCCTCTCAGGTAGCTGGGATTATAGGCACTCACCACCACACCTGGCTACTTTTTGTATTTTTAGTAGAGATGGTGTTTCACCATGTTGGCCAGGCTGGTCTCGAACTCCTGACCTCATGTGATCCACCTGCCTCGGCCTCCCAAAGTGCTAGGATTACAGGTGTGAGCCACTGCGCCCAGCCAATATTTTTCTATATTAAAGGGTTACTGCGAATGTAAAATGAGATCATGTGTAACAGCTAAGATTTTTGAGTGCTTACTTTGCGGCGGGCATTTTTCTAAGCATTGTGGGTCTATTCACTCATTTCACTGGTGGAGATAGGTCTCAGACCCAGGCAGCCTCAGAATTCTTGGTCTCATCCACTATACTATAATTTATGTGATGTGTTTGATGAAGTACTTAGCATTAGTAGGAATGCAATAAATATTAATCTACAGAAAATCTGCCATGCGTTCATCCTGATTCTGATTCACTTTTTATTTAGGACACAGAATCTGGACTATTGCTTTATATGTTGTGACTATTCTTTTATCCTACAGTCCAATTATTGGTGGACTCTGCAGTGTTCTCTGAGACTCCAACTTACTACATTCTCCAGTCACCCATTTCCCTCAGGACCTGGGTTCCTCCTGTTTCAGCCATCTTCTAAGAGATCCTAGGGGATGGGCACAGTAGCTCATGCCTGTAATCCCAGAACTTTGGGACACTGAGGCGGGCGGATCACAAGCTCAGGAGTTTGAGACCAGCCTGGCCAATATGGTGAAACCCTGTCTCTACTAAAAATGCAAAAATTAGGCGGGTGTGGTGGCACGCACCTGTAGTCCCAGCTACTTGGGAGGCTAAGGCAGGAGAATTGCTTGAGAATCACTTGAACCCAGAGGGTGGAGGTTGCAGTGAGCTAAGATGGCACCATTGCACTCCAGCCTGGGTGACAGAGCAAGACTCTGTCTCAAAAAAAAAAAAAAAAGAGATCCCTCACGTGAGGCCTTGCTGACCCCTGTGTCTTTAACCCTGGCAATCTTTGTGTTCTGGCTTCTGTCATCACCATGAGAAGGACATGATCATGCTAATTTAATGGAAGATGAGAGATACATAGAAGAGAATTCAGTCACCCCAGTCCTCCCAGCCAAGGTCATCCTATCCCAGCTGGGAGCTAGCCAGCTGACCCTCAGACAGGCAAGCAAGTTTAGCCAAGATCAGCAAAGTCACCTTGCCAATTTCCCCAGATGCATGAGCAGTAATAAACCCTTATTATTGCATGCCGTTGAGGTTTTGTGGTGTTTTGTTACATAGCGTTATTGAAGCAATAGATCCATAAATGTTAAGTAATGGCACATGGATGCAATCAATGAAAACCAGAATGTGGGAAATTGTCCAGGATAAATAATGTAGTTTCTTCTCTTGTCCTGTATATTCTCTCATCCCTGTATTCTGGAGGAAGAAATGTTATAGATTAAAGAAGACTTAAGAGACATATGAGCCAAAGGCAATGTCTGCATCTTTTTTTTTTTTTTTTTTTTTTTTTTTTGCAACAGGATCTTGCTCTGTCACGAAGGCTGGTGTGTAGTGGTGTGATCGTGACTCACTGCAGCCTCAACCTACCGAACTCAAGCAATCCTTCCATCTCAGCTTCCCAAGTAGCTGGGACCACAGGCTTGCACCACCACGCCTGGCTAATTTTTAAAAAATTTTTTGTAGAGACAGGGTCTCCTTATTGTGCCCAGGTTTGTCGTGAACTCCTGGACTCAAATGATCCTCCTACCTTGGCCTCCCGAAGTTCTGGGATTACAGGTGTGAGCCACCACACCCTGCCGATGTCTGCAGCTTATATGAACTTTAATGCAAACAAAACTGCTATAAAAATATTTATGAAATAATCAGGGAAATTTAACACTAACAGCTTAGTAATATTAAAAAATTACTAATTTGGCCAGGCGCGGTGGCTCATGCCTATAATCCCAGCACTTTGGGAGGCTGAGGCGGGCAGATCATGAGGTCAGGAGTTCAAGATCAGCCTGCCCAACATGGGGAAATCCCGTCTCCACTAACAATACAAAAAATTAGCTGGACATGGTGGCAGGCACCTGTAATCCCAGCTATTCAGGAGGCTGAGGCAGGAGAATTGCTTGAACCTGGCAGGCAGAGGTTGCAGTGAGCCGAGATCGCACCACTGCACTCCAGCCTGGGTGACAAGAGTGAAACTCCGTCTCAAAAAAAAAAATTACTAATTTTTGCATGTCATAATAGTATTATGGTTATGTGTTTTTAAAGAAGACAATACTTCTGAGACATACATACTGAAACATTCATGGATAAAATGCTATGATGTCTGGGATTTTCTTTAAAATAATCCAGTGAGGTAGAAAGGAGAGAGGTATAAATGAAACAAGATTAGGCATATACTGATAAGTGTTACAGCTGGGTAATAGGTACCAGAGGCTCATTATACTATTCACACTAGTTCTATTCTATGTATGTTTGAACATTTTTTATAATAAAAAGTAAGAAAGGACAAAAAGGAAGGAGAGAAGGAAGGGAAGGATGGAGGGAGGAAATGAAACTTCCAGGGACAGAGGATGAGTCACAGAATGAGGTCAGGACTTGGGACCTGCTGTGGGATATTACTTATGACGAGAACCCCTGGCTGAGCTGTTAAGACCTACTTGTGCATCTTTTGGTGTTGAAGTAGGAGCAACCATTATATAGCCTCAGAGTAAATGTGGGAAAAAATACAATAGAAAATATGCATGCAAGCAATAATCTTAAGGCCAAAGAAGTTCTAATGGCATAACATAGAATCAACAGATCTAACAAATGGGAAAATTCACACCTGAGGAAATAAGTACAATAGAGCAATCCTTAAGACATTAAAAAGAAAATAGCAATAATACAACAAAAACTGGAAGTTATGAGAAAGAATGTGCAATTTCATATGCACAACATATAGTTCAATTATGAAGTAAGAATTAGAAAAGTGAAGAATAAGAAGAAACTAGAAATCATGAAAGTGAAGAATACAGTTGATTATTATACCACTAAAAAATTCATTAGATAGGCTAGCTGGGCGAGGTAGCACGCACCTGTAGTCCCAGCTACTTGGGAGGCTGAAGCAGGAGAATCGCTTGAGAATCGCTTGAACCCGGGAGGTGGAGGCTACAGTGAGCCAAGATGGCACCATTGCACTCCAGCCTGGGTGACAGAGCAAGACTCTGTCTCAAAAAAAAAAAAAAGACTGAAGAGGCAATAAGCACGTTGGAAGAAAGAACTAAGTCTCTCAAAATGTAGCTCAGAGAGATAAGAAACAGGGAATACATAGCAGATGTAGAAACAAGGAAAAGCCCAGAGTTCCAGAAGAGAAGGAAAGATGGTATGATAGAGAAACAATCTTTGAAAAGATAATGGCTGACAATTTCTAAAACTAAAAGAAGATTTGATTCTTCAAGTTGAAAAGAACAAATGAGTACCAAACAGAATAAACTAGAAAAGATCTATGCTCAGATACATTACAGAAAAATTTTAAAACAATAAAGACAAAGTGAAAAAAAATCCTAAAAGCTGCCACAGAGAAAAGACAAAATAGCTAAGGGAATGATAATTTGATTGATAACAGATTTCTTGTCAATAGATTCCACGGGGAAACGAAAATGGAGTGAAGAAAAAGTGCTAAGGGGCCGGAGCTGGTGGCTCACGCCTGTAATCCCAGCATTTTAGGAGGCTGAGGAGGGTGGATCACCTGAGGTCAGGAGTTCGAGACCCCCCTGGCCAACATGGTGAAACCCTGCCCCTACTAAAAATACAAAATTTAGCCAGGCATGGTAGTGGGCACCTGTAATCTCAGCTACTCGGGAGGCTAAGGCAGGAGAATCACTTGAACCCAGGAGGCAGAGGTTGCAGTAAGCCAAGATGGTACCACTGCCCTCCAGTCTGGGTGACAGAAGAAGACTGTCTCAAAAAAAAAAAAAAAAAAAAAAAGGAAAGAAAAAAAAAAGAAAAGAAAAGAAAAGAAAAGAGAAGGCCGGGCGCGGTGGCTCACGCCTGTAATCCCAGCACTTTGGGAGGCCGAGGCGGGTGGATCATGAGGTCAGGAGATCGAGACCATCCTGGCTAACAAGGTGAAACCCCGTCTCTACTAAAAAAAAAAAAAAATACAAAAAATTAGCCGGGCGCGGTGGCGGGCGCCTGTAGTCCCAGCTACTCGGGAGGCTGAGGCAGGAGAATGGCGTGAACCCGGGAAGCGGAGCTTGCAGTGAGCCGAGATTGCGCCACTGCAGTCCGCAGTCCGGCCTGGGCGACAGAGCG
Organism: Homo sapiens; assembly: GCF_000001405.40. NCBI lineage: Eukaryota > Metazoa > Chordata > Mammalia > Primates > Hominidae > Homo > Homo sapiens. The sequence continues at coordinate 56,564,796 of NC_000014.9, forward strand.
AGACTCCGTCTCAAAAAAAAAAAAAAAAAAAAAAAAAAAAAAAAAAAAAAAAAAAAAGAAAAGAGAAAAGCACCGAGGAGGGAAAATAATGAATCTAAAATTCTATACCCAGCTAAATCATTCAAAATCAAAAATCAAGATAAAGAAGAAACAAGTTCAGATATACAGAGATTCAGAAACTACTAAAAGATATCTTTCAGAAAAAAAGGAAAATGAGCTCATAAGGAAGTGGCAGATATAAAAAAAAGTTAGTAAATCAGAAAATTGCCTGGAAAAGCAAGCATCTGTATTTAAATATGAATATTATACTGTGTTTAATTTTGTTTTCCTTCATTTCCATTAGCACTACCCTGGATGGGACCAAAGTCAGCTCTCACCTAGATTACTGGGATGGTTATTTCTAATCACTTTCCCCACCTCTATTGTTACCCACCTCTTCTTCTCCACTCTATAGCCACAGTGAACTTTCTGAAATACAAATCATAGAACCCTTTAAATGTTCCCTAATGTGTTTTAGGATAAAGCTTCCAGAATAATATGTGACAAGATGAGTTTTGTTTTGAGTGTCATTTTTGCTGCTCTAGATATTTTTCTTTCCCCTATCCCAAGAAAGTAGTCAGATTTTTGTGTTTTCTTGGAGTCTGTGTTAGAGAACTGAAAGGAGAGGTTACCAGGAAGAAGATAACTCCTGTCCCAGATTTTATTTGTGACATCTGGGCTCATGGATATTAACTTGTCCCAGAGAAGGAGAGGAAGAGGTCAAGAGCTGGGTGTTTAAGAGAGACAGAAGTAGACAAACTAGAGGGCTGAGAGATATTTCCAGAGTTAAGAGATCAGTTTCTAAAAGGTTTTCAATCAGATGGGGACCCTGAGTCACTTGTTAGTAACACTTCAGACTAAGGACTGATGGAGGATGGTGGAGTGGATTAATGGGAACTAGGATGGTGCTATTCACAGAGAGCCATCTCTTTGGTATCTAGGGGGGAGAATTTCTGCAGGCTCAAACTTGGCACTGGTGTCGCTTGCACCTGCTTTCAAGAGACCATGTGGACGTGGACAATGAGCACATCAGCATAGGCCACTGTGCAGATTAAGCCCAGAATGCTGTGGCTGTGTAAGCTCCCAAGACTCATATATGAGCCTGGTGGGGTGGGGCTGGAGAAGAAAGGAGCCCCAGTAATGACTGAGTGAATATTCTGATAACCAAGTGGGACATGGATTCAAAACAGATTAAATTTGCCTCATTAAAGTAAAGTCAATGGGCCCTTGTGGTGTGAATTAAAATTCCTGTCTCCTCCACCTGAGTTACCATCTCTGCATAACGTGTTCTCTCACAACCCACGCCCTCAATGTCACCCTTGACTGCCTACCCTGTCCTCAGCACACAAGGGCCACAGACCTATTGGCTTCAGTGCATCATTCCTCTTTAACTCCAGGTCTTCATGTGCGCTACCCTTTCCTTCTTCCCCCAGCAGCCCTCACCTGGTGAACTCCTGTTCTACTTCAAGTCTCAGCTTCTTTGAAGCCCCTGTGATCCCATAACACCCTGCATTTTCCCAATCGTATCCCATTTTCATACAATGCTGTCATTGCCAGATTGCGTATTGTATCTCCCGCTGGTCTGTGAGCTCTGGGAGGACAGAAATAATGCATGCCATACTTAAAATTGTTTACCAGTGCACAGAGCCTGGAACACAGTACACTCAATTGGTATTTTTCAAGTGGATAATAATAACAATAACCCACATTTCTTGAGTGCTTACTCTGTGCCAAGCTGGGTGCTAAACTCTGAATCTAGATTATTTTTATTTAATTCTCATGATATCTCCATTTAATAGATGGGGGAAAATAAGGTAAGTGAAGTAACTTGCCCAACTGGTGAGTGATGGAGATGGCATTTGAACTCAAAGTCTAACTCCAAAGACCATAAACGTAACTATCACCCTTCAGTCGTGAAAGGAGCATAGCTCCTGGTAGGCCAGGCACTCCATGCTGCTGGGCTCTAGCAAGAGTGGCTTTCTGATGAGAGAACCATCTTCTTGCTCAGGACAGTTTCCTGCAACCCATGCATCCTGCCTGCTCCTTCCATGTTCCCAACCCTGCTGCTCTTGCGACCTTCCCCTACTTCTATAAACACGTGTGCTTTATGTACTTCTCTTGTGTCTAAGACATTGCTTTTCAAGGTGAAGTCTCTAAAACCTATTAAACCTGTATTTATTCATGTACACAGGGAAGAAAATTCTCATGTGTCCCTTGGGTAGTATATCTGAATCTTAGTAACATTTGCAAAATTGTCCCCTGGACTACCTCCACTGATTTATAATCTGCTTATTCCAGATGTTCTGAGCCCAACCTCATGGTTCAACAGAATAACATACTCAACATGGGGTATTACCACAGAGAAACAAAGCCCTTTTATTGGGTTTGTGGAAAAAGAAAACACTAGGAATGGCATTACCTGCCCAGTTTGCCATTCCCCTTCCAATGCCTGTTAGAAGTCTTGCATGTTCAGACAGTCTTCATTTCAGCATATCTTTGGTTTACTATGGACTTGCTCTTGATATCCTTCCAAGACAAGGACTCAACTGTTGGCATGTCACTTTTCCCATGTGGGGAGATGCAAACAGTAGGGACGGATCTATGGCGTCATCTAATGTAAATGATATAATGCCAGTCCCAGAAGCCTTGGTGTATGTGGGTCCCCGACCTACTGAAGTATTTTCCTCTCTCTACCCCATTTGCATTCCCATTCTTATTGGCACTCCCATTTTTCAGAGAAAAGCCAGTTTCCCACTGGGGTCTGTTATGTGGGAAGTAAAGGGCTTCTCCCTCACTTATTCACTCCTAAGACCCAGGCAAATGAAAAATGATCTGTCTTAGGAAGATAAATTTAACTATGACACTCTTCCAATGGATTGTGAAAACAGTAACTTGTCTTTTGACTCTTGAAACATTTTTGAGCCAATATTTGCCTTCTTATAAATCCCAACAATTAGTGTGGCTCTTTTCTAAAGGGGTAGGAAAGTATTAGTCTCAGACAATCCTTAAAATACAGTCTGATACCTATTATGCTTTTTTTTTTCTTCCCAACTTCCAAGATTAGATAATCACAAACAAACTGACACTTCTGGAGACATTTCCAACTCTAGTGTTTAGTGTGGCTGAATGACTCGAATCATAAGAATTTCAGGTCAAGGAGAAGGAGAGCGCATTAGCATATAGCAACGTGGGCCACTGGGCTCTTGGATTATTGATGCTCAAATAGCACCATCCAGGAACTCCATTGCTATAAGCACAGAGACCACTCACTGCATAGCCCATAGCAGGCAAACTTAAATTTTATTTGGAATTGCCATTTGTATGCATATGCATGAAACTATTCATTTTATCAACTACTTTAAACTCATCAAGATGTTATACACCTATCCCTTGGTTATTTTTCTTCAAATCTTGATGACATCAATGCAGGAAACATGAGATAGAAGAACATGTACTAGAGCAGGAGCCAAGTACTGGATCATTAACTACGTCTGTGATCCAGAGCATGTAAATCCTGTCACATGGAAGATCCTTTATTCTACTAACTAAATACCTTGATGATGTTGGGTCATCAAAGGTAGTTTAGAGATAGCTTACCCTAAGGTAAACTAACATGCTGGGCAGAAGAGAGGAGAAGAAAGAGTTTGCAAGGGCAAATTTGGGAAAAGGAGAAATCAGGGGAGAGTGAGCAGGAACCTGGGGAGATGGTTGTTGGTTGAACACTCTTCTTTCCATTCTCTCAGAAATCAGCTTGTTTGGAACCAGTGGGTTTCTCTGGAAACTGAAGAAAGGACTGAGTTTGAGCTATGCAGAATAATTTTTTTTTTTTTTTGAGACAGAGTGTTTCTCTGTAGCCCAGGCTGGAGTAGCAGTGGCACGATCTTGGCTCACTGCTACCTCTGCCTCCCAGGTCCTGGTTCAAGCAATTCTCCCGCCTCAGCCTCCTGAGTAGCTGGGATTACAGGCACATGGCATCATACCCAGCTAATTTTTGTATTTTCAGTAGAGACGGGGTTTCACCATGTTGGTCAGGCTGGTCTTGAACTCCTGACCTCACGATCCACCCACCTCGGCCTCCCAAAGTGCTGGGATTACAGGCGTGAGCCACCACACCTAGCTGCTATGCAGAATAATTGAAGAGCTAGAGATGAGTGGAACAAGGCAGCAAGATTTCCTGGAAATATTGGGATGGAGTTTGGACTTGCACAGACCACGGAATTGAAGTTTTTATCCAAGGCTGACTAAGTCTCTAGGGAGCACGAAGCTTCCCAGATCACTTCCTGGTCACAAATGGATAGTTTGTCTGTCTCATATATTTTCAGTTCTAGCTAATTACCTTTGAAATGGAAGTAGAAAAGTATCATTTTTACTTGCCCTATTTTCAAATAATATCCTATAGAATTTCTTCTAAATGTTAGATAACAGTTAATATTTATTGTGACTCACAATGTACCAAGTTCTGTTCTTTTTTGTTATTTTACTTAATCTTCACACAAAACTTAAGAGGAAGGCACTGTCATCATTCTCATTTTTCAGATGAGTCATATGGGGCCAGTTAATTTAAGAACTTTCAGGATCACAATGATATTAGTAGAGCCAGGATTTGAACACAGGCTCCTCCCTGAATGACTATGAAAATGCTTAATATTTTATAAGTTCCATAATTACCTTCTACATTACCATTTATAATTATATACCTCTTACATTTCCTTTGTCATTTGGTTTGTATCTTGGGTCTGGGTTAGGAGAGACTTTCCTTAGGGTTGGGGGTTTAGATGTAATCTTTTCTGAAAGCAGTTAGCAAGGTTAGATATCCTCTCTGTGTCCCTTCTATAGTCAATCTTCAAATTATTCCCGGTACTTACTATGTTCTAGGTACTGTGCTAGGTACTTGAATACATTCACAGTCCTTGTATTCAATATTCATTTTCTATCTGATAGATATATTTTACTATCATTTTCTTACTAAATGTAAAAACTTTATTCTTTGAACTTGAAATAGAACAAAAAGATTTTGAAAATAACACAAACCTTTTAATACTCTGATTAAATAATTCAAATATTAAGTGAATCAGATTTTGAAACAGTATTACCTTAATATTTGTTAGAAGACTCTTCAGTGTTGAGGCCAAACAATATTTATTTTCCAAACTGCATATTCAGTTAACGATTTGAATTTTCCCACAATTCTGATTCACATATGGTTTTTTCCCCCTTCAGGCAGAAAAAAAATATTTGCCCCATATATATTTTTTATTTTTGTATCACAGGTCCTGTTGGGGGATGTATAGATCAAAGGTAGCTGCAAATTCTTTACATTTGAGAGGTAAAGTCGAATTCCCCTTCCCTTGAATCTGGGCTGGCTTTACTGACTTGCCTGATCAAGAGAATACAGCGGAAGCAACATTCTGTGCCTTCTAAGCCTAAGACATAAAAACCTTGCAGCTTCTGCCTAGGCCTCTTATAAGTCTCTGAAAACTTAGTTCAACTACTCTGAGACTGCAATGTTGGAGAAGCCACATGGGACCATGCAGATCAAAAGTCTCAGCTGAGCCCAGCATTCCAGCCATTCCTACCAAGGCATCAGGCATGAAATAAAGGCATTTTGGACTTTCCGGACTGGCCTATCTGCCATCTGAATACCATCAAGTAACCCCAGTCAATGCTACATGAAACAGAAGAATCTCCTAGCTGAGCCCTGTATACATTTTGGACCCATAAAATTATAAGATATAATAAATGGTTGTTATATGCCACCAAGGGGGATAGTTTAACATAATAACAGGTAACTGGAACAAAGATTTTTGAAATACTTTATGAACATTTAATTTCTCTAATGTAGAAAAAATTATATTTAGAAATTAAAATACAATGATTAAATAAGAGGATTTTTAAATGTAATTTAAACAGGAGAAAATTCATTTAGGGCAAACATTTTTGTAGCTCCTACTGTTTCAGGTTCTTCACATGCATTATAATGTCTAATTCAAAAGAGCTGTAGTTTGGCTTTTTTCCTTCTCATTTGCTTATTTACAAATATTTTACTCTTCTTTTTTTTCTTTTTCTTTTTTTTTTTTTTTTTTGAGATGGAGTCTCACTCTGTCACCCAGGCTGGAGAGCAGTGGTATAATCTCAGCTTACTGCAAGCTCCACCTCCCGGGTTCGAGTGATTCTCATGCCTCAGCCTCCTGAGTAGCTGGGACTATAAGCACACGCCACCATGCCCAGCTAATTTTTATATTTTTAGTGGATATGAGATTTCACTGTGTTGGCCAGGCTGGTTTTGAACTCCTGGCCTCAAATGATCTGCCTGCCTCAGCTTCTCAAAAGTGTTGGGATTACAGGCATCAGCCACTGGTGCCTGGCCATACTACTCTTTATCAAAGTAATACAATGCACATAGCAAAACATGTAGGAATACAGAGCAATTTATAATGTAAGCAATATCTCCCAAACTTCTTTGCTTCTCCACTAGTCCTCTCTTCTCAGTGGCAACCACTTTTAACTTTTAATGACTTTAGTTCTACTCAGGATTACCTCCCTGAACAGTAAAGTTCTGGTGCCCCTAGTGCTATTTATCTCTTGATTTATCAATATAAGATGTTATTTATTAGGCTGGGTACAGTGGCTCACACCTGTAATCCCAGCACTTTGGAGGCCGAGGCAGGTGGATCACCTGAGGTCAAGAGTTCGAGACCAACCTGGCCAACATGGTGAAACCCCGTCTCTACTAAAAACACAAAAATTAGCCAGGCGTGGTGGGGGCACCTGTAACCCCAGCTACTCGGGAGGCTGAGACAGGAGAATCGCTTGAACCCAGGAGGCAGAGGTTGCAGTTAGCCAAGATGGCACCACGGCACTATAGCCTGGGTGACAAAGCGAGACTCTCTCTCTCTCAAAAAAAAAAAAAAAAAAAAAAAAAAAGACATTGTTTATTGACTCCCCAGTGTCAGAGTTCATTGCCACTATCCTCACCTTCACTCCTAATTTTCACAGTTGTTATTTTAACTAATTGTTTACTTTTGTGCCTTTAAATAATATTTCTTTTTATGTGATGTCTTAGAGTTTTGTTTAGAAAAAAATGGGTTTACTAAAATTGTGAAGATTACTGACAAATATCAGACTATAAAACTGAGTGGGTTTTTTTTGTTTTTGTTTTTGTTTTTTTTGGCCAAAGATCTAGAACAGAATTCATAAAGTTTATGTCTGAAAAGTAAATTGGTTTTAGGAGAGAGTTTAGTACTCGATTACATTAGATTACCACAAGGAATTTTGAAAGAAAATTTACTTTCCTTGAGTAGAAAACACTTCCACATAATCACTTATATTAAATGGCACTAAAAAGATGCAGGAAAATTCGTGAGTTATTTCATGTCAACTCAGGGTAATATTCTAGTTAGTATTCATTACAGGCCAGGCGTAGTGGCTCATGTCTGTAATCCCAGCCCTTTGGGAGGCCAAGGCGAGTGGATTGCTTGAGCTCAGGAGTTCGAGACTAGCCTGGGCAACATGGCGAAATCCTGTCTCTACAAAAAAATACAAAATTTAGCTCGGTGTGGTGGCACGTGTCTGTAGTCCCAGCTACTGGGGAGGCTGAGGTGGGAGGATCACTTGAGCCTGGGGAGGCCGAGGTTGCAGTGAGCCATGATCACGCCACCACATTCCAACCTGGGTGCCAGAGCAAGATGGTGTCTGAAAAAAAAAAAAAGAAAGAAAGAAAAGTATTCATTACAATACTGTCCATTAGATAATTCCAGAATCTTCCTTCCTAGCTATTTTGAAAAATATGTGATATGTAGATAGAAACGTGCATAAAGCATTTTTAAATGGTTTAAAGAATAAAGAATACACCCATGTGACCACCACTCAAATCAAGAACAGAAATATTGACAGTACGTCAAAGCCCATATGTACCCCTCTCCGATCATAGTTCCCACTTACTTACCTGCAGAGGTACCATTAACCCAACACCTGCAATCTTGATTTTATTTTCTTTATAGTTTTAAACCCTATGGAGATATATATAGAGAGATATATGATACAGTATACAATTTTTCAATGAATACCTATTGTTTAGATATACATTGTGCATATATAGCATATATAATATTATATATACACAATATATATCTAAACAATATAGTTTAGTTTCACTATGGCTCACACCTGTAATCCCAGCACTTTGGGAGGCCAAGGCAGGTGGATCACCTGAGGTCAGGAGTTCGAGATCAGCCTGGCCAACATGGTGAAACCCTGTCTGTACTAAAAATACAAAAAATTAGCCGGGTATTGTGGCACACGCCTGTAATCCCAGCTACTTGGGAGGCTGAGGCAGGAGAATCACTTAAACCCAGGAGATGGAGGTTGCAGTGAGCCTAGACCATGCCATTGCACTCCAGTCTGGGGAACAAGAGTGAAACTCCATCTCAAAAATAAATAAACAGACAAATAAATAAGTAAATAAATAACTACAATCATTCCACATGTGTTCTATCATAACTTGTTCCTTTTGCCCAATATTTTGTTTGTGAGAATCACCCAGATTGTTCCATGGTAGCTAGCTATAGTTTGTTCATTCTCTTTGTTGTATACTATTTATTGTATGAATATGAGAGGATTTATTTCTCTATTCTGCCACTGATAGATGTTTGAGGCTGTTCCTGTATGGGGGCTATTATGAACAACACTGCTATGGACATGTTGTACGTGTCTCCTGGCTTCTCTGGGTGTAAACCTGGAGTGGAATTACTGAGTGGCAGACTCTAAACACCTTTGACTCTACTAGAAATGCCTGTTTTCCAAGTGGTTGGAAGTGATTTCCAAGTGGTTATACTCCTGGTAACATTTCTATTGCTCCAAACACTTGCCAACATCATATATAGTTAGACTTCAATTTTTGCAAACCTAGTAGGTGTGTAGTATCTCATTGTGGTTTTCATTTGTATTTCTCTGATTACTAGTAAAGTTAAAGATGTATATGAATATTTACTTACAATTAATTCTAGGTCAAATTATATGAATATCTTTATAAATTTTTGATACACATAGATACATTGACCTCCAAAATATTATACCAAATTCCCTTATCACCAATCCCCCATATCTATTAAATACCTTTGACAATTGGAAAGGTGGAAATGGCATTTGTTTATTTTTATTTCAAATTCCTTTGGTTACTAATACATTTATATGTTTAAAATTACTATTCTGAGGCATTTGTCAGGGATATTTGTATCTCTTGCATTTTCCTATTGTAGATGGATTACCGGATGGTATTCTAGGCATCCAATTTCTAGTCTAAAGTTGCTAACCTTAAATTTCACTGATATTAGAAATATTAAGACATTGACTTTATATCAAGTGGGATTTGGGGGAATTAGACATCTAAATTGTAATTTGTAGGTGAATTTCAGTGCATTAATGTCTGTGAAGCTACTCTGAATGCTCAGAATAAAACAAAGAGGAGTGACTTTTGCTTTCAGAAAGATGAAATAGGTATTTTTTTTGAATTCTTCTTGCTAAGTACAACTAAACACACTGGACATTATATATAAAACAAAGATAATAAGACTTCAAAATGTGAAGAAAAAAAGGCAGTTGAGGCAGGAGCTCTGAAATCTGAAGAACAACAGAGTGGTGAGGTCCCTGGACTTCTTTTTCCCCCTTATATCACAGATTGGTTGCTAAAGAAGCTAGCAACCCAGAGATGCCAATGGGCCCAGACAAAAAAAAAAAAAAAAAAAGCCCCAACAAAAAGCCTCGTCCCTCTAGCTAAAAGACCAAGAAAGGGGCAAGACAGATACATTTAGAAAACAATCACTCTACTGTAGCCAAAACCAAAGAATAAACCATGAGGAAGGCTGAGTGGGCAGCCTAGACTTCTACCCTCTCCAGGTGCCTCCACATGCCACCAGGGTCATGTCAAAGAAGGCAAAGGAAGAAGCCAGAACTTTCATTCTGGTTGGGTGGTAATGAGACCCCTCTTCTCCATGGTGGCAGTGGAGACCACGTGGGGATCTTTGACTTCCACCCCTGCCCAAAAAGAATGAGGTCCCCCTTTCCCTCCCTTCTGGGGTAGTATCAGAGGCAGCCTAGTGAGAGTCAGGACTTTCACCACTGTCCAAGGAAAAGGAGGCCATCTCCATACCCCCATAACCATGTGGTGCTAGTGGAAACCACAAGTGGAATAGTGACGAGGACTCCTTTACCTTGCAGCAGGGAGGCAGCAGTAGAGGCCCGGCAGGTAGGTGGAATGTCCACCTCTGCTCAGCAATAATGAGGAGCCATCTCCTTGGTTTCAACAGAAGCTAGATGCTGGCCATAAATCCCAGGAAGACTCCCAGAGCCAAATTTAGGGTACCATAGGGCCATGGATCTATGTATTTACTTTCCGTCAATCTGATGTTCTATATCTAATTGAGTGTTCCCTGGCCTCTGTGATGTTCTTCGAATGTGTCAACTTGGCTTGGCTACATTCCTCAGTTTTTCAATCAAACACGAATCTTGGTGTTGCTGTGATGGTATTTTGTAGATATGACTAAAGTTCATAATTAGTTGACTTTTTTTTTTTCTCCAAGCAGAGTCTTGCTCTGTCACCCAGGCTGGAGTGCAGTGGCATGATCTTGGCTTACTGCAGCCTCTGCCTCCCAGTTTCAAGCGATTCTCGTGCCTCAGCCTTTTGGGTAGCGGGAATTACAGGTAAACACCACCACACCTGGCTTTTTTTTTTTTTTTTTTTTTTTTTGTATTTTTAGTATTGATGGGGTTTTGCCATGTTGGCCAGGCTGGTCTCGAACTCCTGGCCTCAAGTGATTCTCCCACCTTAGCCTCCCAAAGTGCTGAGTTTACAGCCATGAGCCACCATGCCCAGCCTCATTTGTCTTCAAAACCGTGAGATTATCATAGTTAATCTGGTAGGCCTGATTCAATCAGTGGAAAGGCCTTAAGAGCAGGGATATGGGTCCCCTGATGAAGAAAAACTTCCAGCTGTGGACAACAGCTTTCTGCCATGCCCAGGAGTTCCAGTCTTCCCTTCCTGATGGCATGTGCTACGGGCTTCAGAGTTACTTAGCCAGCCCTCAAAATTACATTATACAATTCCTTGCAATAAATTGTATCATACATATCTCCTACTAGTTCTGTTTCTCTGGATGAATCCCAAATTATTTACATATTTTTCTGCTTTATGGTTTGTATTATAGTGGCTAACTCTAAGCCATCATAGAATGATGTAGAGCACAAACAATAAATCAATACTCGTTATATGTCTTATTGGTCTGTCTCAGGATCAAGTCCAACGATCACATGTTTACACATCATGTGTAAAGAGAGACATCATGAGGTCTCTCTCTTTATCTCTAACATTTTCTATCTTCAACCCTTCTCTTCTGTCCTCCTCAGTCCCATCCTCTCCAATAACCTGTACATCTTTACTTCATCACTATGTCTCTCCAAATACTCCCTTGAGTTACAAACAAAACAAGACATTCAAAAATCTTCATTTGACACTTCGATCCCTGTGAATTTTCATGCTATTTCTCTCTTTCCCTTCACTGCCAAACTTTTTGCAAATGTATTTTATTTTCATGTCTTCCATTTGCTCACTTCTTAGCCCACTAGTACCTTGTTTCTGTAGATACTACTCTACTGAAGCTGACCTCTTGAACTTTCAAGGTTCAAATACCTCCAGGTCACCAAATCCAACCATGCAGAGCCTGCTAGTTGCCCCTCAGTATCCATTCTCCCCTTCTTCCTTTGTAATAGAATTCTAGGCAAACTGTCCAGCTGAAAAGTCTATTTCGCAGCATCCTTTGCCCCTAGGAGTGACCTGTTATTCAATTTTGGCCAATTAGATATAGCAAAATTGTGGAATAGCATTTAAAAAAATAGTGCTTTTTTAAAAAAGCTGGAGCAGGCCTTTCTCTTCCCATCCTTTCTTTTTCTTCCTCAAGAACAGATGTAATGTCTGGAGCATTAGCAGCCACCTTGGATCAGTAGATGACCTTGAGAATGTGAGCTGAGTGGGATGGTGCAGAAAGATATGAGGACTTCAGCTGTGTCCCTAGTGGAATCAGGGAGTTGCCAAGCCAGTGGTAGACTGACTTCCTATAGACTTCTGACTTCTTTTATATAAGAGAATGATTGTTTTAATGTTTAAGACACTGTAGCAGGATCTGTCACTAGTAGCTAAATGCAATCCCTAACGGATATGCCAGTGATCTCTGATTGTTCATGTATTCATTTATTACATAAATATTTGTTTAGCACCAATTTTGTGCCAGGCATCATTTTAAATATGGTGGAAATTAGACAAAGTCCATCAGGTTTGACAGGCTATTTAGACATAGAAATGGAGAGGTCGGGGGCAGTTGGGTTTTTTAAAATAATCGGTCGCTAAAAAAGAGAAGCAGAGGAGGTCTAATTTTGAGAAATATTGCCCCATAGTTGCCCTTTAAAGCTTCAATATGATCATCTCGGGAAAGAAGACAGAAAGAGAGAAAAGTCTAGAACAGCCCAGGAATACTTCAGCATTTGGGGGACCGACAGAAGCAGAGCCAGGGCAGGGAGGCCATTGATAAAAGGAAAACCAAAGAGTGTGCTATCAATGAAGGCCAGAAAAGAAAATACTTCCGGGGAGGAAGGAATAGTCAGATGCTTACTGAGAGGTAGAGTCAGACATAAACAGAGAACTGGAAGTTCTTAATCTTCAAAGGAAAACAACCATGAAGCTAATGAAGCTTAGGCCTCACAGTTCCTCTCTAGCCCAGGTGTCTTCCAATATCTTGTGCCTAATTCTGTATCTGCAGTTTTATATCAGTTTACTTACATATAATTCTCCAAGTTTTATACACTTGAGCTTCACAAAATCTAGACGTGCCTCTCTTCATTGTCCTTTACCTCTCTGTAACATCCTGACCACATGTACTTCATCGACTTTTCTTCTTTAGCTTCTGGTGATGCCTCATTCTCTTACACTGTTCTCTCCCCTTCTCCAGCCATTCCCTAAATGAGAATATGGGCTGACATTAGACCTCAACCTTGTTCTCTCTACACTATCCCCTTATCAAGTTAGTCATTTATATCATCCTTACACGAGCAACTCCTAAATTTGTACTTCCAGCACTGATCTCTACCTCCCAAACATGGACAAAGAATTATTCCCCTCCAAAATAAAAAAATTTTAAATAAAACTCATGAGCAAAAGTGAAATGCATAAAAAGGGAAAGAAGTATATGCTTGACCCAGTCAAGGTTACTCATTGGCATGTTCTTTCAGCAAAGAAATAGAAGACAGCCTATCTTAACTATCTATTGCTGATAACTAACAAATTAGCCTGCATTTATCAACTTAAAACAACATTTATTATCTCGCGGTTTCTATAGGACAGCAGTCTGGATGAGGCTTAGTTAGGTCCTCTGCTTCAGGGTCATCCACAGGCTGCAATCCAAGTCTTGACAGGAGTTATAGTTATCTCAAGGCTTATGTGGGGGAAGGATCCACTTCCTAGCTCCCTCACATGGTGTTGCCTAGATTCAGTTCCTCTAAGGTTGTTGGACTGAAGGTCTCAGTTTCTTGCCAGCTGTTGGCTAGAGGCGGCTCTCAGTTTCTTCCCATGTGGACCTTTCCACAGGGCAGCCTACACCATGGTAGGTGGCTTCATCAGAGAGAACAAGTGAGAGGACAAGAGGGAGTGCCAGCAAGATGAAAGTTAGTCTTTCATAACCTAATCTTGAAAGTGACATCCATCACTTTTGCCTTATTGTATTGATAGAAGCCAATCCTTAGGTTAAGCTCACACATAAGGCGAGCAGCTTATACAGGAAGTGAGTGAGGAGGCAGGGTTATCTGGGAATCCATTTTAGAAGCACTCTACCACACAGCCCCTCTCCTCCAGGAACTCACAGTACAGCTGAGAAATTACCTGGAAAAGGCTGGAAATTGTATAAGTACCTGGAAAAGACTAAGGTGTGCTGGCCCCATGACCGTCAAGGTAGGTATATGTTACTCTATAGTTTAGTCACTGTGTCTCTATCAAATTGCGCGTAACACGTTTGAGATTGTCACTGGTTTTCAGTGTGTCTTTGAGATACATTTTATGCGGGTTGCTCTCCTCCCCGCCCACTCCAGGATAATTGCTTTAATAATAAAACATAAGCTTAAAAAGCTTAACTGCGCTGTTATGTAGTTGTCCTTATTAACGGCTCCGATTCTTTTTTTTTGCGTTACAGCTCATTGTAAAATATGGTGATTCAATTTCATTTTCCACTTTGCTGTGTTGAAAGCTCCAGCAAAACACTCCTCTTCATTAAACTAGGAGACACCTTTATCATGGTTTGAGTTATCTGCATGAATACAGGAACTCAAATTTCCCGACTCATCTACAGAGTTTTCATTATGCTATGGAATGAAAAAAAAAAAAAAAGACGCACTAGCATATTCTAATCTCTCTAAAAATTACTCAGTGATTTAATAAGTAGCACACAGACTTATTGTAATTAGTCATAGTAACGTAGTAAATCGTAATAAATACATAATTGTGATTAATGTATTTATTGGCTTACTTTGCACATACGGTAAATACACCACCCTTTTTTTTTTTTTAGCACAGGTAGGGGCTCCTGGCTGATCGTGGCCCTTTTGTGCAGTTCCACCCCGCACCGTAGGGGGCAGGAGCAGCCCTTCCTCGCTCGCGGTTTTCGACGCTGCTTTGGTCTCTGTCAGACCCAACCAAGTCAGTATAAAAGGGGGGAATAGCCATGGAGAAGGTAGGCCTGTGGCCGGGCTTGCTTTTTAAAGGGAATGCTCTCCTGGTGATTAGGAACCTTAAATCACATTATAAGTAGGTGAACGCCAATGCGTGGTGCACTGCGGGAAAACTCGCAGGGCCTGGCTCAAGGGAGGCCTGGCATTTTCTCCTCCCCGCGCTCAGGCGGAGAAAGGTGCGGTCCAACCCGCGGAGGCTCGACCCGGAAGCCGCCGTGGCCGCCGCACAAGCTGCGCTCGTCTCTCGGCTGGGGAGCTCCGTGTCGCACCGGGTTCTTGGGCTGGCCGTGTCCTTCTCCCTCGGTCGCCACTGGCCCATGAGTCCCCATGGCGACGGCAGGGGCCAGGCCCAGGGGCGGGCAGTCCGAGTGGGGCTGCGGCGCTCCGGGGGCATCCGCGGCGGCGTGGCGGTGTTCGCCGCCGTGGCCGCAGTGTTCACCTTCACCCTGCCCCCTTCGGTACCGGGGGGAGACTCCGGTAAAGTACTCGCAGGGTTGCCCCTTCTGTCCCTCTCCCCTGGTCCCAGAACGGGCAGGGTCTGCGTCTGGCCCCTGCTCTTGGCATTCGGTCTGGTCAGCTCTGGGCCTCCATCCACCCCCCTGTGCACAGCGCACTATTGTGTGTTCCAGAGCCCACTTCTGTTTCCATTCCTGTCGTTGTGGTTTCTTTAGTTCTCAGGTTTTCGAGATGGGGCGTATTGTTGGTTTCGCCTGGTGGGGCTTATCGACCTCTCCACTTCCCCAGATCTTTTATCCTGGTCCTGAGTATTTACTTTCAGTCTTTTTTAGTCCACAGATATTATTCACGGTGTCCTTATTATGTTTCAAACAAAAGAACAGTAGTGGCGAACAGATAATTGCTAGTGTTCCAGTGCGGTTAGACAATACACAAGTTAATGAATAAACAGCATATTCACTGGTGATAAGTTATGGAGACAGTAGGAGGGAAATATGATTGAGAGTGGGGGTAAGTAGTGGGTCCTTCCGAATGACTATTCAGGAAAGACCTCTGAAGAGGTGGTGTTTTAGTTGAAACCTGAATATTGAGAAGGAACTAGCCATGCAGAATATTTGCAGGAGAACTCTTAAAAAGGTGGAAGCCAGGTGCGGCTGTTTCTATGAAAAAGAAAAGCATGACTCATTGGCCCTTAAATCACACTAATTGTTTTGTATTTGATGCAAGAAACAAGATCCATGTTTTGTTTTTGGATTCAATAATGCCATATCATGGCCAGTAATTTTGTCAGAATAGTGCTGTAATTTCAGGTGGTGAACCTATGGACTGAAGAAGCAGTTTTTGCTGCATGACTAGTGATCCCCAAATTGAGCAGCTTAAACAGCAAACGTTTATCGTCTCCCGTTTTTGTAAATCAGGAGTCTGGGTGCCGTTTAAGCTAGATGCTCGTACTCAGAAAAAGGTTGCTGTCATGGTGTGCGATGGGGCTGCGGTCTTCTCAAGGCTCAATTTGGGGAGAAACGCAATCTAGTTCTTTGCTATGTGGGTCTCCATAAGTTAACTGACTTCTGTCAAGAAAAAGATGAAGGACACCTCTCTGTCTGACAGCTCTGTCATTTTGTAACCTAATACTGTAAGTGATATACCACTTCTGCATTTTATTCCTGGAACTTCGTCAGTAAACCCAACCCATATTCAAGGGGGAAGGATTACACAGGTGAGAATATCAGGACTTGGGGATTAGTGGGGATCATATTTAGGGCTGCCTACCACGTTGAAGATCTTTGATGTTACATCTTCAAATTGTTACCTTTCTTCTTTCAGGTCCTGTTGCACAAGTAGGGATAGTGTTTCATT